>NC_000010.11:128793707-129105187 GCF_000001405.40 Homo sapiens | reverse complement strand
AGTACTTTAGGAGGCCGAGGTGAGTGGATCACCTGAGATTAGGAGTTCAAGACCAGCCTGGCCAACATGGCGTAACCCCCTCTCTACTAAAAATACAAAAATTAGCCGGACATGGTGGCGTGTGCCTGTAATCCAAACTACTTGGCAGGAGAATCTCTTGAACCCGGGAGGCAGAGGTTGCAGTCAGCAGAGATCATGCCACTGCATTCCAGCCTGGGCGACAGAGTAAGAATCTGTCTCAAAAAAAAAAAAAAAGAATTTTTGAAGTTGTGAAGTCCATGGGACGTGGGGAGCCAAGTGGCTCTGCCTGGGCTTGGGAAAATAAAACTACAGATGGCAGCGGGCCTCTTCTCTGATTTCTTGTGTGACGCAAAGGTGTTTTATGTTGACAGAAGAACAGTGTTTTCATCTTGAGACGCCCTCTAGTCATTGGAGACGTATTTTCCTATTTTTATTTCTCATAACTGTGTGCTTCTCTTGCACTCCATAATGTGTTTAATGGGTCGATGCTGATTGAATGCGAGACTCTGTGGTGAAGTTGGGAATGCAAGAGGGAGTTGGTGATAGAGTCTGTTTCCAAAAACTGTTTAGTGCATAGGATTTCCAACAGACTCATTCCTTGAAGCTGAAATAAATGCAAAAAAAAATACAAAGCCAATGCTGAACCAGCAACTTAGGACTTGAGTCATGTGAAAACTTGAGTCAGTTTGCATCACCTGCTGCATGTGGAGTGGAAGCTGACAGTGGCTGGCAGCCAGGTGCCTGCAGGGGAGGGGCCTCCTGTGGAGTATGGGAGAAGGTACCCAGGTCTATGCCCTGGAGGACATGGATGTCAGGAGGCTTCCAGAAAATTCCCTCTCTGATCCCAAGCTCTTCCCTCTAGCTAGCCATCAGAAGTCAGAATGACCTGGAAGGGCCAGGGGCAGAGCTGTCGTGAGCAGGGCCTGGGAGTGGTTATGTTATTGCTCTCCAACACCATCAGAATCCACCAGGCATTTTCCTCCTTCCTCCTGCCAGCATTTGCTGGGTTCCTGAAAGTCCTAGCGAGCAGGATCCCAAATGGCAGAGGGATGCACCCTGATGTCCATAGGTCACTGTGGAAGAACAGAGCAGGGAAGAGAAAATTCCTCCTGAGGTTTCCCATGGTTTCATGGAAAAGGCCCTAAGCTGGACCTGGGAAGTAGAGGATTTAGCTGTAGCCCAGATAGGGCTGGTGGGGCTGGGCAGGGGGATGCCCTCACCAGTGTGCTTCCCCGAGCCATCCAGGAGCAGGGGCCTGTGGTGGAGACACATCCTGAGCTGCCTGCCTCCTGGGCTCCATACTCTATGAGTGAGTCTTCTTTGATATAATCAGATGCTGTTTGTATACAGCATGGTTTGGTTTTTTTTTTTGGTGGAAAGGTTATTCTATGTTATTCACACATTGGGGAGGCAATTTTACATCTAGGTCAAACATCATACAATTTGTGACCCTTTATTTCCCACTCCCTATCCTCAAAGGAGTTGCTGAGCTTCTCGTGCTGAGGAGCTGGCTGTCCTGGGAAGGAGGAAGGTGTTCAAAGCAGTCCCTCAGCCCTCGTGGAGATGCTGCCAGGGCTTTGCCTCAGAGTGAGCAAGGTCTTCCCGCAGCCTGAAAGATGCCCACAGTTCTGTGTCTGTGTTGGGTGAGTCAGGGTTCTCCACCAAAGCACAATGGGATGGTACATATTTAGAAAGAGATCTATTTTAAGTAACTGACTCATGTGTTTATGGAGGGTAGAAAATCCCAAATCTGCAGGGTGGGCTGGCACAGGCTGGCATCCCAGGAAGGAGCCGGTGCTGCCATTCAGGTCTGAGGGCAAGTTCAAGTCTGTTGCAGAATCCCCCTTGCTTAGGGAGGTCAGTCTTTGGTTGTATTCAGGCCTTCCACTGATTGGCTGACGCCCCTCACATCATAGAGGATAACTGCTTTACTCAAGTCCACTCATTTCCATGTGAACTTTGGCCAATAGCACCCACACAGAAACATCCAGAATAATGTTTGTCACCTATCAGGGCACTGAGGCCCAGCCAAGTCACCACATGCAATTAATCATCCCCTATGCTTCTAAGTCCCCACACTCCTGACTCAGGCATTCTGGCCTCTTTGCTGCTCCTTGAACATCCCAGGCAGGCTCGGCCTCAGGACCTTGGCAGTGGCCATGAGCTCTGCTAGAACACACTTCCTGCAGATAATCTCATGGCTCAGCCAACGTGTCTATCAAATCCTTGACCAGAAGTCCCATTCTCATGGTGGCTACCCTGAGGATCTGTTGATGGGCAGCCTGCCCTGACACCCTGAATGCCAATTTGCCTTACTCCATTTCATTTTTCTACATTTTCCCATAGCAGTTACCAGCTACTTCACTATGTGAGGTATGATTTGACATTTCTTGTTAATTTTATGTCTCTCCACGGAAGGAAGCATCTTTGTTTGTTCCCTAATGGACAAGCACCTAGAATCATCATGAAACAGAATGGGAGCTCAATAGATAGTTTCAAAGTGGCAAAAGGGTCACTTTGCTCAAGGACTGCTCTGCCTCATGGTCCTTCCAGCTCATCCCAACTTCTGACAGCAGGCTGGAGGGAGAAGCTTGGGTCAGAGAGGGACAGAGAAATGAACTCCTGGGCAAGGATAAGCCCAATAGCGTGTGGATTCTTGTTTTCCACTGGGGTGATTCCCCTGCGTCTCCAAGCCAGCCTAAGCTCTGGGAGCCATCATCATCATACACACATCTTTCCTATAATTTCCAAAAAGCCTGAAATTAGAATTTGGAGTTTGTATAGCCTTTGGGTCCAATATTTCACCTTTTAAGTACAGGTGAAGAAATGGTACATTCAAGATACTAATCCTGAGGGCCAGAATCTCCCAGCTTTGCAGCAGAATTGAGAATCAAACTCACATCTCTTGATTCTCATTTCACAATGCTAAGCCTCACACCATATTCTTTTTTGTTAGTTTTGGTTTCTTTTTAATCAAAAGCATCTAGAAAATGAAACTTATCCCGAAGTCCACTTGTTTCTTGCAAAAAGTTCAATATGCAAACCCAATGTCTTAATTCAACTGTGAAAGACCAGGCCTAGGCCATCCTTCACTGCACAGAAAGGTAGCATCCTTAACCCGGGAAAATGGCAAAATGCCTTGTGAGTGGTAAATGCTACCTTCCATTGTGGCCAGGCCCAGGTTTTGAGTGGCTGTGGACATCATCCTAACATAGGAGGAGGAAGACGCATGAAACACATTGTGCAATTAGAAGAATCTCCCATGCACAGAACCTCCCACCCTTCCCCACTAGGCACACATGCACGCGGGCAGGCGCACACACACACACACACATGCACACACACTTCTGAAAGGCAGGCTTTGGGCTGAGTGCTTTGGTGCTCTGCTAAAGTGGGTGAGGAGAGGGGTTTCAGCACAAATCCCTCACTGCCTTGGCATTCGGCCAACGGCTGCCACAGACCTGGTTTTCCTTGCGAAGGTTTGAGCTCATTCTGCCTGGGTGACCCTACAATGATCTTAAGGTATCAAAAGCAGGCTGATGTGTATGTCTGAGCAGATAGCTATTTCATTTTGGACCTGGTTTGTAGTTAAATGTTAAAGTGAGGTTCTCATCTGCTCTTTCCCATGTTCTTACAGACAGGAGTGGAATGAGGAAAGGAACAAGTTCAGGAAGTGGGCCCTTTACTGCACAGATCTGGTTCTAGATTCAAGCAGGCCGCAGCTCGCTGGGGGGCCCCATCAAAGAGTTCTCAAGTTCCTCTCTGAACACAGTGTGAACTACCCCAGTGTGCTTACATGGCTCCAATAACCCTCCCTGCCTGACAGGGATAATAGAGCCATTGATTGTCTGATTAGCCACAGAATTTTGTGGGTATTTCTCAGTCTTTCTTTCACTCATTTCGATCACAAATATTAATTGGTCATCTATAAAAATGCCAGCATTGCACGAGGTGATGGGGATTGTCCTGCCTCCCAGGAGATTAGAGGCTACGAGGGGAGACAGCTGTGAACAAACACAAGTGTTTCCCAGAGAGCTGGGGAGGCTCCTGGGTGAGCAGACTTCAGGGGCGGACAGCGTGGGGTGCAGGAGCATTGAATCAAAGAAGAAGAAAGTTACAATATCTCCACGTGGATTCTCTTTGAATTCTTCTGATAATGACAGAGAGAAAGGCTCTCACTTGCCAGTCTCTTTTCCTAATATGAAAATAGGCCTCCCCAGCATCTAGTTCTAATGTTAATAACATTGCTTCATTTCATTTGCAATTACAGTTTTATTTTAAAAAGCAGTTTGGACCCCCGCCCCCATTTTATCATAATGGTACAAATGATTTTTATTTTCAAAATATACTTGATTAAAAAAGAATCATTTTAAAAAATAATAAAATAAAGTGCAGTTGTGCAAAGATGTGGAAAATCCTGGGGAAGGGTGGTGATGTCAGAAGTTTGGAAAACACATCAATGAGTTGAGTCAAGTTTTAGGGTATGATGCACTGGTGGTTAAGGATATCTGTCCAGAGGAGATGCCCTCTGAGAGGGATCTTGCAGGAGAGAGAGTGGCAGGATGAGGGAGCCAGGAGGCAGTTCAGATGGGGGACTGTGCATACCAACACCAGGAGGTAAGAGCTTGCTACCGCAACCAGAAGATTCCAAGCAGCTCGGTGTGACTGAGGCTTGGCGTGAGTGGAGGGAAGTACAGGTGTAGGTGTGTGGGGAACCATGTTTAGGAGCCTGGTCACGGTGTAGGAAATGGAGTTTCTATGGAAGGGGTTTAAGCATTGGGCTATGTGATGACTGGACGTATATTTTAGGAAGGTTTCTCGGGATGCAATGTGGAGGAAGGCTGGGGAGTGCTGCGGTATGCTGGAGGGAGGAATTCTGGTTCAGAGGCTGTTAAGATAGCCCAACTGTATGAGTGTCCTGTGGCTACCATAACAAATGACCACAATGTGGGTGGCTTAAGACACTGGAGATTCGTGCTCTCATAGGTCTGGAGGCCAGAAGTTTGAGAGTGTCAGCAGAATCCTGGTCCTTCCAAGGACTCTAGGGGAAGATCCTTCCCTGCCTCTTCCTGGTGTTCCTTGGCTTGTGGCTGTGTCGCTCCGATCTATGCCTCTGTCGCCATGGCCTTCTCCCTGTGTCTCTGCATCCTCTCCTCTTCTGATAAATACACACAGTACTCATCGGATTTAGGGGTTACTCTAAATCTTGGATGATTGCACCTTGAGATCCTTAATTAATTATGTCTGCAATAATCCTGTTTCCAAATAAGGTGATATTCTGAGCCTCTAGGTAGACATGAATTTGGAGAGGACACTCTTCATTCCACTCTACCCCATGGAGGGTGATGGTAGTCGGGCTTAAGTGATGGCCTGGAATGGTGCGATGTGAAAATCTACAGAGAAGTAGAATCCCAAGAACAAGAAAGCCAGGAGTGAACTCCACGCCTGCCTCTGCCTCACCCTGCCCACTCAGGGCTGGCGACTCCAGCCAGGTTAGCAAAGTGCAGCCCAAAGGCCAAATCCAGCCCACCACCTGCTTTTGTAAATGAAGTTTTTTTTTGGAATAGAGTTACATTTATTTGTTAGATACATTATCTATGGTGGCTTTTGTGCTACAACCACAGAGTTGAGTAGTTGCAGCAGAGACCTGCAAAGCCTGAAATATTTACTGCCCGGCCCTTTACAGAAAAGGTTTGCTGACCCCTGGACTTGAGGAATCCCTGCCTTGAGGCAGCAGGGCTGCTCCCAGGGGAGATGGAAGATGAACCACCCCATGCCCACGAGTTGGCCTCTTCAGACCTGCACCTCTCAGGTAGAGAATCTTAGAAACAGCCAGGGGTATCTCTGTACACTAGCCCTCCTCTGGGCCTAGGGTAGTCAAGTCCCTTCCTCCTGGGCAGCTTGCTCCAGAATTACCCACAAACTGGCCAACAGGAGGGATGACTATGCCATCAACAGAAGATGCCTGCATCCTGCCCTCCATTGCCAGAAGGCAGCTCCTTGAGTGCATCCCTTAATTTCCAGGCCATTAAATCAAAGCCTGTCTATTCGAGTGCAGGTATCACAGAGGAGAGGTGGTTCACTCCAGCCCTTCTTTGCAAATTTCTGCCTCGTAGCCAAAGCTCTCCTGTGGTGAGGCAAACTGTTGTGATACCCATGAGGGACACAGGGCACAGTGCCTGGCGAGGAGCGGGTGCCGGTGAATACACACTGCCAGATCATGGTGACTATGGCCATAACAGCCAGTGCCCTCCTCATGCTAGGGCCCATTCCTGGGGAGGTTGGAACCCAGACTTTCTCCCCAAGTGTCTTTTCACCAAAGGTGACCACTGTCTTCATGCACTCAAAGATTGGCCAAAGCTTTATGCTTTCAGATTTTGACTTGTGGCAAGAACAGTTCTAACATGGCCCCCAAGATTCCCACCTTTGGGCACACATGGCCCGTATGTTCTCCCCTTGAGGGCGGGAGGTCCTGTTCTCCAGGGGAGGGATCACAGGCCATCGATCATATTTGGAGTGGGAAGAAGAGTTAAGTTGTGGCACATGAAGAGTTGGAAGTGCCTTTGGGACACTGGGGTGAAGACGGCAAGTGCTGAGTCCACCACGCTGACTGCAGTGATTGCTGCAGAGGCAGCCACCCTCCCTGATGCCTATAGGCCTGGACTTAACCATTCTGATCCTCTGCTTCCCCTGCCTGTGTTGGGCTAACTCAAAGGAAGCATCTAGAAGCTGCCTGGCACTTGCTCAGTGCTGGAGCATGGTAGCTGTTGTGAGATGCCCGTCTGGACCGCAAGAGAGAGTTTCAGGCCAAAACTTCGATTTGTGAGTTATCAGCAAAAACAGTAAGTGAAGTCTTTGGGACAAATAGGGTCATGGGGGTGAAAGTGTCCTCATTCTTAGAATTCCTTCCTCACATGTCTCAGTAATGCTGAAAAAATCAAAACGTTGTTTGCTTTACAGTCCGAAGTATAAAAATTAAATGCGATCATTTCTGTCTTGTTGGTCCTTCTCCCAGGATTTTAAATCTGGACTTGCTTCAGATTTCTACACTCATTGAGGAGCATCACAGGCAGCACTTGGGCTTTGAGTTTATGTACTACTATTCCCCAGCTTCTGTTCTTTGCATCCTGACTCAGAAGCCTCAGAGAAGCCCATTGGGGTTTTTGTGGTGTTCCTGGGCCACTTCCAGTGGGGGAGTTAAGGGTGCCTCTCACAATCCAGCTGCACCTCACCGGGGAAGGCCAGGGTGAAAAGAGCTGTGTCCACAAGCTACAAAAAAGCCTTAATAGTTGCAGTAGGAATAAAATGCCATCTTTGAGTCTGATGTATATGCGTGTGGGCACACACTTGCAATACATATACACATATACATACGTGCACATGCACATACAATACACATACATACATATGTATACATGCATTCATGTGCCCACGTAATTTCCCTGACATAGTAGCTGTCTCTGCATATCAGCTCTCCTATTTTGAAATTCTCATTGGTCATAACTCAGCCATCTCCAGTATTCTGCAGGGCATCTGCCAGGCACCCAGTTGCATGCCCGCAATAAGCCACAGCCAGGGAATGTGCCCCTTTGTCCAAACTGCTTTAGACTCAAAACCTGGAGAGGGTGATAATTTGGGATTCACAAAGTTTTGAGATCCGTGTTGGGTGTGGGCTAACAAGCTGCACTAACTCCTAGGTGTGCAAAGAGGGTTTTCTTCTATTATAAGCAAATGCAAAATATCTCAGCTAAAGTAAAATCCTAGTGGGTGTCAACATTTGCTACAGCAGTATGGCTAGGTATGAAATGTATAGAGAAATGGACAAAAATGGCACAGGCATAGTCGGAGTGCATTCTCGCCAATCAAGAGATACACCCAAATGTGTTGAACCAGAGTCAACATTACCCAGCATTTGAATCAGTGAAAATCCCAATAATGACAATAGCAGTCCCGTATTTGTCAAGCTTTTAGGCGCCCAGCACTTTATACATGCATTAGCTCAATTCACATCTCCTGGTGCATTTTTTGCTTGGGTACATGGTACTGTCTGGACTTCAGAAAATTGAAAGAAAACCTTTGCAAATTAAAGCAACAAAAGAATTTTCACCATATAAGATAAATTACTGGAATCAAAAGTCCCTGCAACGTCACCAGGATTATTCAGACACATTTAAACTCACAGCAAACAGGGTATTCATCCTCATATGTTTACTGTGATGATACACTGTGGAAAACTGGTGGCCCTTAGACTTTCTTATTTGATTAATACCTCAGCGTTTTTTCTGCCAGATCCTGCTCTCTTCGCACATTGCCCGTGTCTATAAGAAAACACTGTCTGGTTTGGGACAGAGTCCAACTGTCTGCAGGCACAAAGAGGACCTGATACGACCCCTTCCTCCAGAAGAGGGTTTCCCAAGCCCCTGCACATTCTCTGTGTTAATCTAGGCTATTTCGAAACCTGGGGTTGTCATTGACACTTTTGGCATGGACTTTCCTTGTGAATCAGAAATGAAATATGCTGTTTTCCTGCCATATAACAAGAGCCTGCACTCCTTGCGTAAGAATGCAAAAAGCCATTTTAAAACGTGTGTGAATAGAGTTCTAAGTGCGGTGGGCTGAACTGGTAAAAAATAATATTCAGCTCAGCACTTTGGCAGAGATGACAATTATGAGGCAGACTCATTTGTTTACCTTCCCAGCTAGAGAAGACACGTGGAGGCAGCAGCCAAGAGGAGGGTCTAAGTTGGGAATAGGGAACAGGGCTTGGCTCTGGTTCTATTGATTTTGGCAAAACTTCCACATGAAAAATTATGCCTCAGATAAAAATAAATTATAATCTACAAGTATTTGAATGAGAAGGGTTCCCTGTGAAAACTTCATAAATGAATGCTAATTCAGTTACCCATTTGTAGCCATGAAACATAAGCAGTCACGTTATTCTGAGGAGCTTGTTTTGGAAAAGATTGTACAACCCATGAAGCAATTCTTCACGAAGTGCATAAAAATGTCAGCTTATGTATAATTTATACGGCTGATGTTAGTTATGGTCTGTTTAATAGTATTTAATGCTGTCATATGACATCATTCTTTCATTTACCAATTGGAAAAAAAAATAAAAAGACCAATCAAAAACATTTTATAGAGTAAGAAATATGCTTATTGAATTTGATTAAAATTGTAGGAGGTGATAAACAGATTCACTGGGGGAGGTATCTTTAAAAGATTTTTAAAAAGAGTTATGGCGGTGGAGCATGTACAGTCTTTACTCTATGGTTATTTTAATCATAATTTACTTACTGCGTGTGTGTTATCTAACGTCCTGCTAATGTGCCTTAAGCAATTCATTTTGCCGACAGCACAGTAAATTGCTATATAGCCTTGGCCCTTTATTAGTAGCGATGATTAAATCCAGTTTTAGTTGTACTTACTACATTTTCTCCACTGCCTACCGGGCATCCCTGTAGCGGGGAGAGGAGTTGCTGCCTCCATCCTGAATCTCTCCATCCTTTAACCAAAAATTCATTCTGCATATTTTCAGCAAGCTATACTTCACCTCTGTTTACACTAACTCTATTTTCCTACCACGTAGGATATTTTTGGTGCTGTGTGAGAAAGTAGGACAAAATATTTGAAAATGTTGTATTAAATAAAATATAGCCCTTGCTTTTTCTCTATGCAGTAGAAGCACTGGATAAAAGAAAACCTACCCTTTCTGCTGTGGTGTGTGTGTGTGTGTGTGTGTGTGTTTGTGTGTGTTTGTGCGCACGTGCCTGAATCCTAGAAGAAACCAAGCATTGACTTCATATATTATGGGACCAAAGCATTTGCCTATGTTAACTCTGTGGGTGAATTCTTATAAGTACCTGTATTATTTTAGCCCAGGAAGCAAGCCGGAGTGCATTTGTGTGAAATGGATTATAGAAGATGAAGTTACAAACTCCTATACGTCATGAACACTGGCCCACAGTTTTGAGTTTTACTGGTGGGGGTGGGTATAACACAGATTTAGTTTCCAGGCCCTCACTAAACCTGTGCAATGTGTCTAAGACCCTCATTCTACTTGCAAGTGGATTTCCTTGCCTCCACATTTGGGTTTGATCCAGGGTTCTGTACTTAATCTGCGGAAGACATTTGGCAAGTTTGACCTGGAGTCACAGAATGAGTCCTATTGAAAGCTGGCCACTCAGACCCAAATCCAATCCTGATGCTTCCTGGAAGAGGCTGAGTCTCTGCATCTGGTGAGACAGACTTCTGGGAAACTGGAGGGTTCACTTTCTCACCCCAAATCTCAACATCAGGTAAATTGGCTTGCATTGTAGCTGCCTGCGAGGCCCTAAGGAAATATCTCCCATGCAGTGGTCCTGGAGGTCACCCTTGGCTGACAGGCATCTCAGGGTTTTATGAATTGGCTGACAGGCAACTCAGGGTTTTATGAATTGGCTGACAGACATCTCAGGGTTTTTATGAAGACTTTTCCAATATCTTTCCTGGTCCAGTGGTAGTGCTATCTTTTGCACTAGGAAGAGAGAAGGAGACATATCCAAGTCATTTTCCTCCTGTCCTAAGAGGCACCCAGGTCTCATTTCTAATGGTGGTACCATGTTCCATGGCGGGGAGATGGTGCTGGCAAGCTCTCAATCACTCCTATCACTCTGCCATGCTGGCTGCCTTTGCAAAGCGTCCTGGACCAGGGTGACTTCTACTGCCTTGGCTTGTCTATGTCCATCCTAGGCAAAGCTGGGGAATGTGCCCTCTCAGTCTTATCAGCTGCTAGAAGCGCTTCCCAGTTCACCTTTGTCCACTTCGCTCTCTCTCTGTCTGTCTCTCATCTTTTTCCTTCATCCGGTCTAGGCACTTGGCACCTGCCAATGAAGGGCTTCCCAGTTCCTGGGGAAAGTTCCCTCTGCCCTATTTCTCACCATGACTACTCTCGGCTTCTCCCTCCCTCCCTTTTTCTCTGATCCAGATGTTCCAGTACTGAATGTCATTCCTTTTGGGTCCTGCTGAGTGCAAATTTGGAAATGTGGGCTAATGGGGGATCCTGAGTTAATGGGCCTCCCCTCCCATGCAATGCTTCTCAGAGCTTTTCAGACGTGCGACTTAGCCTAAAGGAGGAAACTGAAAGGTGGGAATTTCTTTCTCAGTGTCAGGCCTTGAGTGAGGGAGAGATTTTGACAAGAGGACTTTCAGTTCTTTTGAACTCATATTGTAGATACGACCACCCACGTCTGCGCCAGGGAAGGGGAGGGGACACACGGAGCCCGTCCACAGCCTCCGACACCTCCCTCTTCTTCTTTTACTTCTCTAGCTCTGGGGACACCGCACAGGGCCCAAGCCCAGCACACCTGTGTGTTCAGGGTGTGAAGTTAGTTAGGACAGGCTCTGGATGAGTCTTCAGCAGCATCTGAGCTGTGTTTGAGCCCTACTCCTCAGTCCACCTAGCTTTTTGATCTTGGGGAAGGTGCCTCATGTTCACTTGCCTAAACAGCAGTGGTGGCGATGTCAGCTTCCCAGGGAGCTGTGGAGGTGAAACTGAGGAAGGCAGCTCAAGCACATTCCCAACTATTGACTGATACATACGTATGATTTACATAGCCTGATTCACTGGGGAGGTCAGGTAGACCTTGTATGTATATGATATACATAGCCTGATTCACTGGGGAGGTTGGGAAGGTAGAAAATCCAGAAGGAGCCTCAGAAACAACCCTCACTATGGTGCAAAACATCATGTGGTGTGAGTATGCTGTATTTTGTAGCTGACCATAGAACATGGAAGGGATTAAGAGAAAAGCCAGTGCCAGGCAAGATGTCAGATGGGAAGATACTGAGTCCGTCTAGCTCTGGGAGTTGCAGATGAGTAGGGAATCTGTCTTTGAGTCTCCAACTCTTTGGCTTTCAGGCCTCTGTGCTGTTGCATTTCTTTTTTTTTGTGAGACGGAGTCTCGCTCTCACCCTGTCACCAGGCTGGAGTGCAGTGGCGCGATCTCAGCTCACTGCAACCTCTGACTCCCTGGTTCAAGTGATTCTCCTGTCTCAGCCTCCCAAGTAGCTGGAATTACAGGCATGCGCCACCAGGCCCAGCTAATTCTTGTATTTTTAGTAGAGATGGGGTTTCACCACATTGGCCAGGATGGTCTCTATCTCTTGACCTCGTGATCTGCCCGCCTCAGCCTCCCAAAGTTCTAGGATTACAGGCGTGAGCCACTGCGCCCGGCCTGTGCTGTTGCTTTTAAAATGCCAAGATACAGCCTCTCCAGGGACGATTGAAACCTCAAGAGACAATTTAATTCTTTTGGGTAAATTACTGAGAGAATTACCAAATCCATCTGATAATTTTGGAGAGTGCCTTGAAAAGATCCACCCCAGATGGTAGCACTGAGTGGGTCTGGAAGCCATGGCCCTCCCTGGGGCCACCTTGCATTGTCTCCATAATTAAAGCACTCACCCACACTTCCAATTGAGGTAAACCAAAATTGCATGGAAAACCCAGAATGAAACTTTGCTTCTTTGTCATTTTCATATCTCTTCGTTCTGAAGATCAAAGCCGCTGTCCTTTGGAGTGATTACTTGACTAATTGCATGGGTGTAGCTTAGACCCAATTAATAGTTAAAGGGCTTTGTACTGTTGAAACTACAACTTCTGCAGGCATGGGAAAGGAACAATGACTGTGGCCAAGTCTGGTTGCTATACTATTGATATCCTTCATGAATAGCAAAAAGATTGCTTTTTTTTTTTTTTTAACTTTCCTTGGTTAAATTGATCTCTTTTCTACAGGGATTTATAGAAATGGGTAGCTTATAAAAACAGCCTAAACAGTGGCTGTCAGGATGAAACAGAAGTGAAAGGAAGTAATTCCTCCTGGAAATCCGTGAAGCAGCAAGAAGTACCCACACAGAGGAGGTTCATAGAAACTTTAAATACTTTGTCTTCTTTTTACCTGGTCTTAGAAGTTAAAAATGTTGTTTGACAGTTTTTTCCTGCCCATGTTCTCTACATTTCCCTTCTAAACAAAAGCATATGATGTATTTTGGGGGGGCCTTCCTGTTGTCAGATGTTTAATTTTGTGTGGTTCATCCAGAATCGCCCCCATTAACAAATTCCTAGTACAGTAATCCGTCTAAAATGAAACCATTTCCTGGAACTTCCCCCACAGCATCTCTGTTCTGCTCTCTGGCCTGGTGGGCAAACCCACCTGATACTCCTGAAGGAAAACAAGGACGTGAAATAATCCCTGTGACAAAGGACTTCAGCGTCACTTTGGATAATAGTCTGCAAACTGCATTTACCAAGGAAGAGAAAAAAGGCATCTTGTTCCCCCATGTTGAAACGTAGACAACTAACAGCGTATTTTTAATTACCCGAATGCTTTAGCAGGGAAAGTAGTCAGTTTATAGTTACCTTCAATATGTAGACTACAAATTATTAGTGCATGAAAATGGCATCCAAGTTCTGTTGCTGGGTCTAGTAATTTTGGATATTTTCCATGCTATTACTGCCTGCTCCATATACCTTTACTGGTTCTTTTTGAAATTAACTTAATGGCACTCTGCAGAAATGGACTGCCTACTGAGAGTGAGCGCTTGCCTGCAAAGATGGGCCGAGTTCCCACTGAGAAGCACTGATTTGGCACAAACAGAGAAATGCTTTAGCATTAATTTACTTGAGTATCAAATTATTCAAAATAAATAATTAAAGTCTTTTCAGGAGCTGGAGTCAATATTTGCTTTCAATATTTTGGGTCCATTAACGCGTATCCTGTATTGAAGGGTCAGCCCCACCAAGGTCTCCCGCTACAGCAATACATCCCAAAGCTTCCCACAGGTTTTTCCCTTCAGGCATCAAATGTCGTTTCCCTGTCCTGAAATTTCTCTGCAGCCCCCATTATGCTCATCTGGTGAGCTGTCATTCCCCCACGGCTCCTTTCAGCAGTGTAGGATGTCCTTCTTCTTTCTCTAGCCTGATGCCTGGAGCCCCACTCCCAGCGGGGTTTCTCTGTGGAGACAGGGACCCTGGGGACAAAGGGTGTGGGAGCAAGAGGCTGTCTGATCCCAGGGAGAATGGAAAACATGTTAAGGTCACGCTGGGGAGACAAACCCCTGGAGGCCACGCCTAGAGCTGTGGTTTGACCTAGTCCTTGATCAAATCAAATTGCATCTCTAGGAACACCACCAGGACTTGCCCTCCCTCAGGAATCAAACTGCATCTCTAGGAATATCACCCAGCCTTGCCCTTGCTCAGGAGCTCCCCTTCCTCAAAGTCCCTGGGATTCCAGAGTAGCTGGGCTTGGGTTTTTAAACATTGCTTCCAGCATGGGGAGCATATGGTCTTCCAAGTGATTGTGTAAGAGGCCACAGAGTAGCTCAGGCCCAGTGGTTCCTCTTTATGAAAAGATGTGGCTGTTGCTCAACTCAGTCCACTGTGTGTATGTGTGTATGGACCCTGCAGCAAATGGTTAAATGCTTGACATGCAAAGACGTGGTTGTCTTATATTATTATTTGGGGGGCACTGGTGAGGGAACTCAATTCTTTGAGACTGGATGGTCTCTGAGTATCTTGGTTGACCCACTGAGCTTGTGCTAGGAGAAAAGTGTTATGAATATTTCTTTAATTTGCTCTCTCTCCCTTTTCCCATCTCCATTCAGAATCATACAAGGACCCAAAGAATCACAGAGAGAAAAGAGAAAGCATTAATTCTATGAGGGGCTCTCCAGTCACCCTGCATAAAGGCAGAACAATTTCCATTTGAAAAGGACAATTGTTAATGAGCTCTGTTCTCCTGGCCTATCACCCCACAAGTGTGAGGGCTGCTTTGAAGTCAACACAGTCTATTATGGGTGAAATAAACCCCTTAGAACAAAGGGCAGTTCAAGTATGGACTCGTGGGTGCTGATGGCACCTGCCCACCCTCACTCCAGTCCCAATGCCGCTCCACATCTGATGACGACATGGAGTCCTTAAGACGCACGTGTCCTTGAGCTTCGTGGGATTGGAGTCAGTGCCTCCCCTGGGACTGCTCCCTACCCGAGACCCCTGGCAGCCATCTCATAGGTGAAAAAACTCCCCAAACAGAGGCCTCTCACTGGTGAATAAACTCCTCAAACAGAGGCCTCTCATTAGTGAATAAACTCCCCAAACAGAGGCCTCTCATTGGTGAATAAACTCCTTTCTTCATTGTTTTCAGGTTTTAGAGATC
Organism: Homo sapiens; assembly: GCF_000001405.40. NCBI lineage: Eukaryota > Metazoa > Chordata > Mammalia > Primates > Hominidae > Homo > Homo sapiens. Next base: position 129,089,972 of record NC_000010.11, on the reverse strand, counting down.
CTCAGGTAAGGACGTTTTAGTTTCATCACATTTTTCCTTTCCTAAAATCTTTTATTCATGGAGAAAATAACATAGCTATATATTTGGTAGACAAACCTTTTTGGCCACATCTGAAATGAATATTTGCTGCCTATAAGTTCAGCAAATAGCAATGAGCAGCAGTGACTGGAGAGCGTGGTCTCTATCTCCACCTCTTTGAGCAGTAGGAATCTGGCTTCAGAGGCTAATCATTTTAGGCATGGATTTCATTTAGATATCACTACAGTATCAGGGACACTCGGAAAGCAGGGAAACATACAAGGTTCTGTACCCAAAAGGAAAAAGAAAGAACATGGGATTTCCCCCAACTCAAATCTGAGCCAGGAAGGATGGTTCCACTCTGCTAAAATCCCCCAGCCCCGTCCTGCCTTGGCTGCTGTTGGCACTGCCTGGGCACTCATAGACGGATGTGTGTGTGCAAGCCTTTGTGAGCCATGGGTCTAAGGTTCCACCTGTACCCTGTTTGCTCACTCACGGAACACTCAGATTGCCCCCAGACAGGCAGGATGGTTTTGAGGATCAAGTCAGTAAGAAGCTGGAAAAATAATTTTTGTGGCATTTTAAAATTGGCATTTAAAAAAAGTGAATTCATAGATTTTTCAATTTCATACCCCCTTAAGTTATATATAAAAGAGGAATGCTAATAACTCTACAGATACTGGGAAAGGTAGATAAATCACTCCTAAACCAGTGCGCGTCTTGTCATGAAGGTGGAGCAGTGTGTTCTATTTGGAGCCCTGATTTTTTTGTGAGCTCTCTATTTGCAGCATGAAAAGCAATGTTCTTTATAATTTAGATACAAGTGGGGGTTTTCCTTACTAAACCGGAGACAAGTCACCTCCTAGCAGTATCCTATCGCCAAGACATTTCTTCCCTTCTGTAGAGCTAATCATATGTTGTAATTGTCTTTGATAAATGTACTCACTCACATTTCCCATACGCTATTACATGAACCCCTGGCTTTCTCTTCTCAGGACCAAAGAATCACAGATCCTTAGGCAATACCATGTTTTCCTCCAAAACTTTAATGAGGATGAGACCATCACTGAGGTTTCTGTGTTTGTATCAACAGCTGTGATATGGTGCATCCTTCATCATGAGTTTCTTCTGCTTTCTATATTCTTCATCACCTCTCTCCTTCAACCCTGAATAGGTGGGATAATTTTCTGATGTCCTTAACAAGAGCTCCACCCATTCTGGTGCTAACAACATTTAATGTCATTGCATTTCTCCTTGTTGAGCCAACAGAAGCCTGCTTCATGCTCATTGTAGTCACTACCTTGCTAAAGGACGACTGTTCTGACTTCTATCCTCATAGATAAGTTTTGCCTGTTTCAAAACGTTATGTGAATGAAATGATGCATTCTCTACTCCTTTGTCTTTGGCATCTGGCTTCTCTATTTCCACATGATTTCTGCAAGATTCATCCACGTTGTTTTATGTAGCAGCAATCCATTCTTTTTCATTGTTGTCTAATATTCTACTGCATGAGAGAATCAGAACACATTTATGTATCCTGCTGTTGATGGACATTTGTGGAGTTTTCACCCAGCTCTTGGCTATTACAAATAGTACTGCCAAGAACATTCTTGTGCATGTCCCCTGGTGAGTAATATGCATTTTTATTGGGCATATATCTGGAGGTGAAATTGCTGGGTCATAGACTATATGAATGTTCTTTGTTATCAGACACTGTCAAGTAGATTTCCAAGTGGCTGCATCCCTCATCAGCAGTGGGTATGAGTTCTGGTTACTCTACATCTTGCTAACACTTGGAATTGTCATTTTTTTCCCCCTTTCATTCTGGTGAATAAGTAGTGGTATGTTTGTAGTTTTAAATTACAAATCTCTGATGACTAATTAGGTTGAACACATTCAATATGCTAATTATCCATTTGTTTAAACTACTTAATAAAGTGAATATCAGCTCTTTTTTGTTTTTTGGGGTTTTTTTAAATTGGTGTTCATAGTTACCTTTAAACTAAATTTTAAAATGTGGTAATTGTAGATTGAAAACAATTGAAAGAAATAATTTGGAGAGATTCTGTATACCCTTGACCCAGTTTCCCACAATGGCAATATCTTCCAAAACTAAGGTACAATATTACAAGCAGGGTGTTGATTTTAATACAATCAAGACACAAAGCATTTCCACCACCCCAAGAGTTTCACATGCTGTCCTTTTGTAGCCGCACCTCCCACCCTGTTTCTAATCCCTGGTAACAATGACTCCATTTCTATAACGTTGTCATTTCTGAAATGTTATATACATGGAATCCTCCAGGGTGTAATCTTTTGAGATTGACTTTTTTGACTCAGCCCAATTCCTTCGAGTTTCATCCAGGTTGTGGTATCAATAGTTTGCTCCTTTCATCGTTGTGTAGTGTTCCATGACGTGGTTGTACACAGTTGGTCTAGACATGTTGAAGAAAATCCAAGTGGTTTCCAGATTTTAGCTATGAACACTCATCTACAGGTTTCCATGTGAACCTACGTTTTCATTTCTCTAGGATGATGATCAAGAATTCAACTGCTGGGTGATGTGATAGTTGCATGTTTCATCATAAAAAAGCTGCTAAGCTGTTTTTTGGAGTAGCTATATCATTTCACATTCCCACCAGCGATGGATGCATAATACTGTTTCCTTGCATCCTCATCAGCATTTGGGGCTGTCCCCGTATTTGATTGTAGTCATTCTGGTAGGTGTGTAGGGATATCTTGTTGTGGTTTTAATTTGCATTTTCCTAATAACAAATGACATTAAACATTTTGCTCTCGCGCTTATCGGCCATCTGTATAGCTTCTTTGGTGAAAGGTTTCATCATGTCTTTTTCCCATTTCCCAGTTGGATTGTTGGTTTTATTGCTGTTGAGTTTTTATATATTCTAGATACTATTCATTGGTCAGATGTATAGTTTGCAAATATTTTCTCCCACTATAGCTTATTTTTTCATTCTCTTACCAGGATTTTTCACAGAATAAATGTTTTTAATTTTGATGAAGTCTAAATTTATCAATTTTCCTTTTATAGGTTATACTTTTGATTATTTGTAGAAAACTGAGTTGTCTATTTCTTATTTAAGTGTAGGAGTTCCCTTTATATCCAGGATCTGAGTTAATTATTGTACACATGTATGGAAAATATTTTCTCCCACACTGTGCTTTCTTTTATTCTCTTAATGATATCTTTTAGTAAATATAAATTTTTGTATTGAATTAAGTTCAATGAATCATATTTTCCTTTATGATTAATGCTTTTTGTTTTCTATGTAAGAAATTTTTGCCTACGCAAAGGTCACAATGATATCCTCCCATATTACCTTCTAAAAGCTATTATTGATTTGCCATTTACATTTAGGTCTATGATTCATCTGGCAATGAGTTTTGTGTATGGTGGAAGATAAGTGTCAGGTTCATTTTTTTGCTCATGGATATCGAGTCTCTAGAGCACCATTTTTTGAAAAGGCTATCATTACCCCACTGGCTACCAGAGGCATTTGGTGATGTATTAGGTTTAAAGGTCATACACACATGCGTATACACATCCATGCACACATACACGTTTATACATATACAGTCACGTGTTGCTTAAAAATGGGGATACATTCTGAAAAATGCATCTTTACGTGATTTCATTGTGTGAAAGTCAGAGAGTGTGCTTGCACAAACCTAGATGGTATAGCCCACTACACACCTAGGCCATGTGGTTTAGCCTGTTGTTCCGAGGCTACAAATCTATACAGCATGATACTGTACTGTATACTCTAGGCAACTGTAACACAGTGCTGATTATTGGTGCATCGAAATATTGGAAAGGTACAGTAAAAATAAAAGATAAAAGATAAAAAATGGTATGCTTGTATGAATGGAGCTTGCAGAACTGGAACTTGCTCTGGGTGAGTCAGTGTGTGAGTGGTGAGTGAATGTGAAGGCCTAGGACATGACTGTACACTACTGGAGGCTCCATAAACACTGAACACTCAGGCCACACTAAATTTATTAAAAATTTCTTGTTTAATAATAAATTAATAAATAATTAACTAGCATACCATAATTATTTTTACTTTATAAACTTAACTTTTTTAACTTTTTGAGTCTTGTAACAACACTTACCTCAAAACACACATTGTACAGCTGTACAAAAATATTTTCTTTCTTTCTATTCTTATTCTATAACCCTTTTTCTATTTTCAACGTTTTTACTGAATTAAAAAAAAATTTTGTTAAAAATGAAGACAAAAACATACACATTAACCTAGGCCTACACAGGGTCAAGATCATCAGGAAGTCACTAGATAACAGGAATTTTTCAGCTCCATTATAATATATGGGACTGCCCTTGTATACGTGGTCTGTCTTCCACCAAAACATTGCCACGACTGCATGTATAACTGTATACGTTTGTGTTTGTTGATTCTTTACCCTTGCATCATGAGTTTTAGTTATTAATTCCTTATCCTATTTAAGTATAATAAATCTAATTTTCAAGAGGGCCATTTGCATTATCACATCAATTTAAGACCAGTTTGTTAATCTCACACACACAAATCCTCCTAGGATTCTAAGACAGATTTTATTGAGGCTCTAGAGACCTGACATAATTACACTATTGAGTTGGTTAATCAATGTGCCCAGGATAGACCTTCACTCATTTCAGGCCCCTATCATTTCTCTCAGTGATGTTTTGCTGTTTTCTGTGCAGAGGTTGTACATCTTTCAGAAGATTAATTCCTTGATAAATAATTTTTCATGCTATACTATAATTAATATCTGTGAAAAAATCATTTTCTCTTGTTTGATTCTAGTATATAGAAATGCAATTTTGATTTTTGTATGTTAACCTTCAATCCAGATACTTTGATAAATTTACTTATTAAGTCTAATAATTTATCTGTAATATTTTCCACATACATAATCACGTCAACTAAAAGTAATAAGTTTCAGTTTTTCCCTTTTAACACTTAAACCTTTATTTTTCTTGTCTTATTACAATACTTAGCATGTCTAGTACAGTGTTGTGATTATAGTGATACTAGCAGACACTTTTGTCTTCTTTCCCAATTTCAGGGGGCATGTTTCAGTATTTCATCAGTAAATGTAATCTTTGCTGGTGTGTATGTGCGTGCTTTGTCAAATTAAGAAAGGTTCTTCCTAGTGCTAATTTGCTAAATTTTTGTCATGAATGAATGCTGAATTTTATTAAAGTCATTTTCTGCTTCTGCTACAATGCTTTCAGGGTTTTTCCTTTCTACTATCAATGTGGTCAATTATACTGACTAATTTTCAAATTTATACCAAACTTGAACCTAAAATTAACACTGTGGAGCTGTGATACACCCACCTTTTCTTTATCACTGGATTTGGTTTGTTGATATTTTATTTGGGATATTTGTATCTATGTTAATTAGAGATATAAGCCTATAGTTTTCTTGTTCATTAATGTCCTTGTCACATTTTGGTGTCAAGATTATATTGGCTTCAAAAAATGTATTGGAAGAGTTGTTTCTCTTCTGCTAGCCTTAACAAGGTGTGCAAGATTCATGTCATTTCTTTCTTCAACATTTAGAACAATTCACCAGTGAAGCCATGTGAACGTTGATTTTTTTTCCTTTGAAGTGTCTTTGAACAATAGATTTAATTTCTTTAATAGACATTTAACTTTTCAGACTTCCTATTTCTTCCTGAGTCTGGTATGTTTCAATAAATTTGCCCATTCCACCTAAATTCTCCGAATGTATTGACATAAAGTTGTTCAAAATCCCATGTTATTACTTATCTTTTTAATGTCTGAATATCTCTATTGATGGGTCCTTTTTTGTTTCTGCTGTTGGTGTTATTATTGTTTCTCTTTTTCTCCACTAGTCTCACTATATCCATTTATATAATTTGTTGGACTTCTCAAAAAGCCAACTTCAGGCTGTGTTTGTTTATTTTCTGCTATATTTGCTTTATATTTTACTGGTTTCTGCTCTTACCTTTATTCTTTTTTCTGCTGCTGTTTATAATATGTTGTTAAATCCATATATCGAATGGTTAGTTTCTCTTATACTTTTCATTTCTTTGGGCTCACTTTACCTGTCGTTTTTAGGCTCGTGATACGGGTACTTAGATCGCCAGATCCCAAAGTGTCTTCTGGGAACTCTGGGGATCTTCAGGATAATTTTAGGAGCTCTGTGAGATCAGCAATATATTTATAATAACATTAAGACAATATTACGTATTTATTACCCTTTCTACTTTGTTTTCTTGTGCACTGATGATGCAGAAATAATGGTGAATAAAACTGTTGGTGCCTGAGGTTGAATTAGCATAGTGACAACCGCCATGTACTGGGAGTCACTTTATGCTTTAATGCCACTTACTTGCAAACAAAATCCTAGTTTCAGTTAAAAATATATCTGATGAGCAGCCAAAAATTATTAATTTTAATATTCTGTATGGCACAATGGGAAGTATGCATAGTGTTTTGGCCGCACACTGAAGCCTAGTGATTGCCTCAAAGTAAAGTAGTTTTGTAGTGGTTTGAGAGGCAAAGTGAACTTGCCACTTTGTTCATGGACTTCTATTTTTACTTGAAAAAAAAAACACAAATAATAGACAAGTTATAGTTATTCTAACTTGGGTATCTGACAGATGTTTTTTCAAAAGAAGAATCAAATGAGTCTGTCATTTCAAAAAAACCTCCAAAAGCATTTATTGCTAATGATAAAATTCAACGATTTAAGCAAAATTACAAATTATGGAAAATGTGCATCTACCAACTGTCAGTCCACCATGCTGGTTTGCCTGAGACCATGGGATTTTCCGGGTCGCAGAAGTTTCAGTGCTAAAGTTATAATAGTCCCAGGAAAACTGGGAAGGTTGTTCCCACTATTAACTCAACAGTTTCTCAGTACTTTAAGACTTTTATGATGAGATAGGTAGAGATATTAATGAATATAATTTTAAAATAATTGTATGAAGGCACATATAAACATTTACAAGATGTGCACAACTCACTTAGCCAATATTTTCCAAATAACCATTGCATTATGTTACAAAATGATGCATGGGTGAACTATCCATTTAATGTGCAAAACAGACCAATAGGTTTTAATGTAACAGCATGCAAAAGCTGTATTTATATGGATTCAGATTCACATTGCAATTAGCCTTTAGAAACTATGCCTGCCAAATTTTGGTGTAGTATCAAAGAAGACCATACACAATTATTTGACAAAGACATTAAAATACTTCTCCTTTTTCCAACTAGATATCTGTATGAAGCTAGATTTTCTTTATATACTTTAACCAAAATAAAATGTAACAATAGATTGAATATAGCTGCAAATATGAGAATTCAGCTGTCTTCCATTAAGCCAGATATTTTAGAAATTTTCAAAAATGTAAGACAATGCTACCCAATGCCAAGGCACTAAATAGTCTGCTTTAGAATACATTTTTCTTAACATAAGATTATTTACATTAAGATGTTCTGGATTTATTATTATTATTTTAAGATAAATTAATAAAAATTTAAAAATTTCTCAGGTTTAACTTAGAATGTGGTAAATAAAAATGGATATTAGCCACATAAACAAAGGTTCTTTGTAAACTTTACTAACTTTTAAGACTACAAAGAGATTTTGAGACCAAAACATTTAAATACTTTTGGCTTGGATTATCATTTTTTAGAGTTTTTGTTTCTAGCATGTGCATGTAAGGCTACACATTTCTGTCTAGGCACTAACTTTATTTGCAAATTTTGGTATATATTATATATATATTATTATTTAGTTCAAAATATTTTCTAATTTTCATTATAATTTCTTTTTTACCATGCTTTTATTAAAAATTTCTTTTCTTAATTTCCAAATAATTACAAAATAATTTCTTACTAACCTTCTGTTATTGATTTCTAGCTCAATTCTACTCTGGTCATAGATTATATTATGTATGATTCCAGTCCTCTGAAATTTGTTGAGACTTATTTTATAATCCACCATATAGTCTACTTTAAAAAATGTTTTATGTGCTCTTGCAAAGAATATATATCCAGCAATTGTTGGGTACAGTGTTCTACATGTTAAATAAGTCAGATCTGTTCATTGTGACTTTCAAATCCTCTATAAACTTACTGATTTTCTTTTTTCTGCTTTGCCTACCTTCCACTGAAAGGGGTGTGTTAACATCCCCATTTAAATTTGTGGATCTCTGTGGCTTTACTTTTATTTCTTTTTGGTTTGTATTATATATTTTGAGGACATTTTATTAGATGAAACAAATTTAGGATTGTTTTATCCTACTGCTGAGCTGTCCGTTTTATCATTATGGACTAGCTCTCTGTATTTCTAGTAATGCATTTTGTCTTAAAGTCTATATTAATATAGGCTTATTAGTCTTCTTTGGGCTGGTGTTTGCATAGGATCTCTCTTTTACTTATTTTCATTGTTTTACTTACAATTCAATTTTGTTCTTGTAATCAAAACACGTATCATCTAGCATATATGTAAGCAGCCTATAGTTAGGCTTTAACAATTTATTTAAAAGAAAATATTAGTCTTCTAATTAGCATATTTATTCCATTTACATTTAATGTAACCTTTGGTATGAAGAGATTTTATTTGACCTCTTATTCTTTGGTATTCATTCGTTTCTTCTATTTCTCTCTCTTCTGACATCAGCCAATTTAATTACCATTTATTCTTTAATTTTCACCTTCTATGGGCCCACCTCAGTCTGGGAAACTTGTACATTTTTGACTTCTTAGAGTCGACCTCAGTTTAGTTCTTTTTCCATTTCTCCAATGGTGCAACTACATTTAACTACATTTATTCCCCTCTTCTCTTTTATACTGTTGTTGTTTTGCATTTTAATTCTATATATACTTCAAACTCTCCACATATTATTATTATTGTTTTAAGCAATCATTATTCCTTCAGATTTGCCTCCACATTTCTTCTTTCTGATGTGCTTTGTTTATTCCTACCTTTGCCTTGTGCCTGAATAATTTGCTTTACCATTTCTTTTGGTGTGAGTCTACTGGAAATGAACATTCGAATTTTTTGAAGCTTATGTGTTATTTTTCAAAGGATATTTCAATGAGCATATAATTCCTAACTTAGCAATTATTTACTTCCAGCATCTTCAAGATTTCTTTCCACTGTCTTTTGACTTTTTCATTTCTTTTGTGAAGCCAGCCGTCCATTTTCCTCTAACATTTTTCTTTCTGTCTTTGATTTTTAGCAGTTTTTACGTGAAGTGGTTTTTGTATTTATCCTTTTTGTGGGTTCATAGAACATCTTGACATTCTTCTGTCAGAAGTAGAAAATTCTCAACTAACATCTCTTCAAATGATGCTTTTATCCTAATCTTCCCATTTACCATATGTTAGACTTTTTTTCCATATCCCAAATACCTCTTATGCCGTTGACAGTGTTTTCCAATTTTCCCCTCTGTTCCCATTTTGAAGATTTCATACTGATCTATCTATCAGTTCAATTATCCTCTTTTTTGCTCTCTCTAATGTTCAACTGAGTCAGCTGATTGAATCTTTACATTCTGTCTTACATTTTCCACTTTGATTCCTTCTTATGGAATCCACTTTGGTGGGGCAGCTCTCTATTTTTCACCCATTTTCTTAAACATGTTTACTGGAGTCATTTTAAAGTTCATGTCTGATTACTCCAACGTCTGGATCACCTGTGAGCCTGTTCCTATTATCATTTTTTCCCTTGATTTTTTGATAATTTATTTCTACTGCATGTCTTGCCTGATATTTTTAAATTGAATGCCAAAACTTGCATGTAAAAATGCATTGGTAAAGACCCTGGATACTGTTATCATTTTCTCCTTGAGGGGGATGGAGTGCAGGAAGATGGCCTTGGCCCTTCCAGGCTTCCATCTGGCTTTGGAAGGGGTGACCTATTTTGGGTTGCCCTTGCTCCTGGGCTGTGTTCCTTCAGGAATCTCAGCTAAAAGCGTGCAGTACTTACCAGGGCCCCTCCTTCTCAGCGGGCTCTGAACTTCCATTTTTGTGTCCCCAGGGCTGGGAGCCTGCCAAAATCCCTGCTTAGCTTTTAAGCCTCTTAGCAGCTGCTTTCCTCTTGGTTCCTCTTCCTCTTGCCCTGTGTCTGGGAAGCTCAGCATTAACAAATGCCCCAGGGGGAATTGGGTGCAGAATATCAGGCTCCCTTCTCTAGGGGTTCCCTTTACACTAGAAGCTTGGCCCTTCATTTTCTGGCCGTACAACACTTTACTTTTTGTCTTCTCAGCCCACTGAGACTTTTCTAGGTTCTCCCATTTTTCCTGTCAACTCTGTGCCCTGTGCTGTAAATTGGCATATTCCCCAGTGGGAAAAAAGCATCCGTGAGTGAGGACTCATCTCAGCGCTTCCTCTTCCCTCTGGGATCTCGCACCCTCAAGTCCTGCCTGTCTTGAGTGGTCTCCAATGTCTTCAAACAGATTTTTTTTTCTACCTAGCTTTTATAGTTTTTCTCAGTGGCAGGATCACTCTGCTACAAGCTACCCTGTTACAGCCCGGAATGTCAGACATGTTCATTACTTTATAAGAGTTTCCCAAAATTCCCTTTAAATTCACCTTTGGACTCTTTCCAACCCTAGGGGCTAATACTGGACTTGGCATGTTCCTGGGGGAGGACGGGCTGATTTATGCTGGGGCTTGATATTTGAGAAAGGGTCATATCCTGTTTGTTTTTCTGTGGATTTTCTTTCACTGATTGAAATATCCATTTATAGCTTTAAAATGCCAAGCTAGGCGTTACACTTATTCCGAAATGGGCTGGTTATGTGTCGGGATCACAGCCTCCATCTCAGGTGGAGAAAGAATTGCAAGCATTTTCTCTTGGAAAAATTAGATCTGGAGATACTGGGGCCCCTAGCACGGGCTCTGGCATGGTTGGGCATCTGGCAGGTTTACCAGCAAAATGTGCTCTGGCCTTCACGAGCAGCCCAGCAGCCTAATTTTTCCTAACTTATCATCCAGGTTACTTCCTGGGTAACCTCCATGCTCAATTCTACCCAGGTGGGAGAGAAGGAGAGCGCAGATCTCCTCAGGCGACTGGTGCCTTTGGTTTTGGGCTCTGCCTGCGAGGCCCAGCTTGGTTTAAACTGCATGCAGCATCTTGGTGATCTGCTTTGGATTTTAACTGTCAAAACAAACCAGTTCTGGGTCATTACCCACGGTGCCAGCCAGAATTATGATCCTGGCGGTTTCTCCCCAAATCTCTGGCTCCCAAACAAATAGGCCCCAGATCTTTGCTTCTGTGTGACCCTGAGCATTTTAAAGCCTGTGCTTTCTTACACCAGCCAAAGTCACCATAATAACAAAGCTCTGTGCTTATTTTCCAGTTTTGTCTATTCTTTCTCCTGGCTCAAAGGCTGTATTGTGGTTGGCTCCATCCCATGGCCTTCTTTCATCTTGAGCTCCTGGCACCGGGTGCTGGAACAAAGTTGGAGTTGCCACTTAAATTTAGGAAGCTGGGAGGTATGAAGTAAGGATGGGTTCCCTTAGAAAATGCTCGTTTTGCCCAGTTTGCAACCTGAAGTTGCTGACTGATGGGGTGTTAAGCTCATGGCACCCCCTGGCAGGGCCCTTGGCATCTCTGCCCTGGACAGACCCCTTTGGCATTTGGAGTGGCCTCTGGATTCCCTTCCCAGAAGGATCTTTTTAATCTGTGAAATGAAATCGAACATTGAAATGCAGTTGTCACATAAGAAAATAACCAAATAGATGGTATAGATGATGTAAGAAACATGTGATATGCCCTTCTTTAACACATCCCAGAGCTAGTCTGTGGTGGGCAAAGAAACCACCTTTTCAGAAGAAATGTGAGAACTGCTGACATTTCCTGGTCATAATGTAGTTGTTGCAGATACCTCAAAGCCTCTCTCGACTTCTATCACGATACGCTGCTAATACCGCACTCAGAGGAAAAGGATACGTCACGCTTCCATCATGTTTCCTGAGTTTAGGAATCCCCTAGTTCTGTCTTGGTTAAAACCTGAGTAGAGGTGGCTGTGCCCGAGGAGGGAATTTCAGTGTCTGCACGTGGAACACCAGCAGGTCAGCTCTTGCAGCATGTTCAAATTTAGCTGGCTCCTTTGGCCATGAGCCCAAGGAGCAAACTTCATCCGTCAAGCATTTATCAAAAATCTATGACTTCATGCCCTTTGCTTGCTGGTCCAAGCCACTGTGTGCTACCTGGACCTTCCAGGTCTCTGAGTCTACACAGTGTGGTGTCACTGCCAGGCCATTTAGGCAGTGGTTTCAGAGCCAGTGTGCTCACTGCAACAGCCAGAGTCACTAGGGTCCCGTCCATCACAGTCACCCTCCCTTAGGGTACAGTCCTCTCAGCCCACAAAAGCCAGGCAGGTGCACCATTCCAACCTGTGAGGGCATCTCCTTTCCTCCTGCACATGCACAGTCACACACACACACACACACACACACACACACACACACCTAGACACAAATGCACTCAGAAACACACACACGGACACAACACAGATACACAGACATGCACACAGAGACACACATATAGACACAAACACACACACACATAGATACAACACAGACACACACACACGTAGACACAACATAGACACACACACATAGATACAGACACACACACGTAGACACAACACAGACACAGACACACAGACACACACACACACCTAGACACAAATGCACTCAGAAACACACACACGGACACAACACAGATACACATACAGGCACACAGAGACACACATATAGACACAAACACACACACACATAGATACAACACAGACACACACACGTAGACACAACATAGACACACACACAGACACACACACACAGACACACACACATAGATACAGACACACATAGACACAACACAGACAGACACACAGACACACACAGATACAGACACACACACGTAGACACAACACAGACACACAGAGACACACACACACAGAGACACACACACACACACCTAGACACAAATGCACTCAGAAACACACACACGGACACAACACAGATACACAGAAACACACAGAGACACACATATAGACACAAAACAGATAGACACTAACAGGTACACACCAACACACTCAGATATAGTTGCTCACAGACACATAAACACACAGACACAACACAGACACACATACGCAGACACACATTCACACAGATACACACACACACACACACACACCCAGACATATACATGCACAGGTACACACAGACACATATAGACACACATAGACATGCACACAGACACACGTCCACACACAGGCACTCTTATACACACAGACACACAAAATGATCACAGAAACACACACACATACACATATTCACACCAACATACACACACACAGGCACAGTAACACACATATGCACACACAGACATGTAGACATGCACACTTATATATACAGACACATGCATACACAGATATATACACACAGACATACATACACATACATACACTCATGCAGACACACTCAGACACACAGGAGATGGAGAGAGATAGGGACTGGCCTGGTGGGAGACCATGAATGAACTGGACACCCCGTCTAACCCCGTCCCCTCGGGGGGAAGGAGGGTCACCTCACCACAGGCAGCCAGGCAGATGCTTTGGAGTGTGGGCCAATCGGTCAACAGAGTTCCAGCGTCTGCCCAAGGCATCAGGGCGGGTGTTTTTGGAAAAGCCCCCAGACCCTTGAGAGGAAGTGGAATGCAGGTCTCGAGGATGCTGCTGCAGGAACACTCGGGATGGCAGGGGTCGGGGCCTCTGGGCCCAGAAGAGCCTGTGCAGGGGCGGGGCCCACAGAGGTCCAAGGCCTGAGGCTGATGCAGGTCAGGGCGCCTGGCAATGTGGCGACTCCGGGGGCCCAGGCATGAGCTGACGGGGATGTGGGCTGGGGATTGCCATGCTGTGCCCCCCAAAGGAAACCTGTCATTTTGGTCATTTTATGACCTAATTTCTAATTTTTGTAATAAAAAACCACTTATAACAATAGTAAAGAAAATTAAAACATCATCGACCACAAGAAAATTCTGATATCCTCATGACCCAAGCCACCCCTGACATTGCGGAGCCCAGAGCAAGAGTCTATAAAAGGCATGCACAGGCTGCATGTCCAAGTATTGAAAAGTTATACATCAAACTAACCAGGCTGTTGCATAAAGTGTGATCACTTCTCCTCCTTTGACAAGCATGCCTCCAGAGGTTCCTGGAAGGCTGGGCTGGAGCTGAGAATGGCTGGCCTCCTTGGTGTTTGTGCCTGCGTGTGACAGCTGGGGAGGGATGGCTCCTGACCTGTGGACCACGCGTCTATCTCTCCACCCCAGACAGCATCGTAAATATTTTCTTTGTCTCTACATCGTTTTCAGAGTTAAAATATATTTCATTTGTTTCATTACCCTAGAAATCTATAATCATTGTAGATAAATAAGAACATACAGAGAATTATGAATAAAGAATTACTGCATATTCCCAGAACCCACAGATAGGTGCTATTAACATTTTGCATATTTGTTTTCAGAATGCTTATGATACATATTCATATATTTTTCTTTTCAAAAATAGAAATTCCCTGCAATTGTGGTTTTGTAGCTTGCTTTCTCTGTATTTACTATATCTCAAATTTCCCCAGGTGAATACACAAATTTCTCCAACATTTTTCTTAAATCCACTTGGTATTTCATAGTATGGCTAAACAACAACAACAACGAGACTAATAATATGATACAGGCTGGCTGTGTGCCATGCTCTGCACCTATTTCCTGGTATCGACTCTTCACAGTGTTTCTGAAAGGCAGGTGTTACTCTGCTCACTCTTTGGAAGCTCAGGCACCTAGTGGACCCAAATGTAGCATGTTTCTGAGTTTCTGATACTGTAAGTGATACTGTGTTGAACTTGATGAACACAGGGCGTTTTGTACTTGTCCTATTTTCCCTCAGAAATAGTTCTAGAAATGGAATTCTAGGTTCAAAGACTATGCATGTTTTAAATTACCAACGGTGGCTCATGCCACCTGTAATCCCAGCACTTTGGGATGCCAAGGCAGGCGGATCACGAGATCAGGAGATCAAGACCATCCTGGCTAACATGGTGAAACCCCATCTCTACTAAAAATACAAAAAATTAGCCAGGCACGGTGCCGTGGCGGGTGCCTGTAGTCCCAGCTACTCAGGAGGCTGAGGCGGGAGAATGGCATGAACCTGGGAGGTGGAGCTTGCAGTGAGCCTTGATTGCGCCACTGCCCTCCAGCCTGGGCGACAGAGTGAGACTCCGTCTCAAAAAAAAAAAAAAAATGCTTTCACCAATTTACGTTTTCACCAAACAACATAGGAGAATTTCCCCTTCCTTCCACTGGGTTCTTGAGAACAGTGCTATGGCCATTAAAGAGCAAGGCGGAATAGAACAGGCAAACAAACCTCTCCTAGGTCTCCTAGGATAACGACAGGGAAGACACCACGGAAACACCAACGTGGTGACACCTGCAGCCCCAGGTGAGCTTGCGCGCTCCTCTATTCACCACTCCTGTTTCTCTTCTGTGAATCATCTTTGCCACAATATTGGCCCATTTTCCACATAGGGATTTATCTTTTCCTTATTGATATGTGAGTCTTTTCTTATGTCCAGGGTAATAACCATAGGCTACTCACACATTTAGCAAACGTTGTCTCTCAATTTGCTTTCATTTTAATTTTATTTAGGTATTTCTTCTTTTAGCAGTGTTTTCATCTTTATCCAGAGAAATCTCTAGTCATTTCTTCTGTTTTCTTATTTAGGCCTTGTGCTTGGAAAGGCCTCACTCAAAATGTACATATATATTTTTTTAAATCATGTATATTTATCCCATTTATTTATTTATTTATTTATTGAGACAGAGTCTCGCTCTGTCGCCCAGGCTGGAGTGCAGTGGCACAACCTTGGCTCACTGCAACCTCCACCTCCCAGGTTGGAACAATTCTCCTGCCTCAGCCTCCCAAGCAGCTGGGATTACAGGCACCCGCCACCACACCTGGCTAATTTTTTTTTTGAAACAGAGTCTTGCTCTGTTGCCCAGGCTTGAGTGCCATGGCACGATCTCAGCTCACTGCAACCTCCACCCCCAGGAATCTAGCGATTTTCGTACCTCAGGCTCCTGAGTAGCTGGGATTACAGGTGCCTGCCACCATGCCCAGCTAATTTTTTTATATTTTTAGTAGAGATGGGGTTTCACTATGTTGACCAGGCTAGTCTTGAACTCCTGACCTCAGGTGATCCACATGCCTCATCCTCCCAAAATGCTGGGATTACTGGTGTAAGCCACCAAGCCTGGCCTTATCCCTTTTATTATATAATACTATTTTTCATTTACTTCTTTATTCCATCTGGAGTTTATTTGTTGTAAGATGTATCATAAATATCTAACTTTTTTTGAAAAATAGTTTACCAGTTATTTAGATCATGCATTGAGTAATCTAGTCCTCCTGCATACATTTGAAATAACTCCATTATTTTATTTTTAAAAAGAATTTTCTTTGTAGAAACAGGGTTTTGCTTTGTTACTCAGACTGGTCTTAAACTGGGCTCAAGCAATCCTCTGGCCTCAGCCTCCCAAAGTGTTGAGATTAAAGGCATGAGCGACTGTGCCTGGCCTCCATTTTTTTTTTTTTAATGTTTTCAGGGCTTATATTTTTAGTCTAAGTTCTTTGTGTAGCTGTGGTCATCTGGAATTTCTGGAGTCACATGGTTTGCTGCATATGACATGCATGTTAGTATATACTAATATGTGAAAGTGGAAATTCTTGTTTATTTTCATATTTCAAAGTGTTGTTTTTCTTGGGGGGATGTTTCATTGATTGCAATATTTACTTTTATCAGCTGCATTATATTCGTCAACCAATATGTTAATTTTCTAAAGCATGTCTAAAAATAGCTTTAGCTTCTTTAGATTTCTTTAGAAGGACAGTTTTGCTTTTGTTGAATTGCCACTTGAAGATATATCCCCAGGTATCATCATTTGGAAAATATTCTAGTCCTTTACCTCATATTAAGCTGTGAAGCCAAAATTTCCTCCTCTTTTCCATCGATGAAAATACCTTTCACCTTCCTCCTTGGCTACCATCAGCCTTTTTCTCTGGGGAGTGGCTTTGAGTCCTTCTTGTCTTCACAGCTTCAGATCAGAGCTCAGTTGAGCCCCAGGTTCTGTGGGAGCCCACAGCCCTGAGCGGCTTGCTCTGCAATGCCTATTTAGAACTGTGGATTGCCAGGGACTATAGCATCATAAGGGCCTGAATGTGTAGGGACTGTAGGCTTGGGGCCCTCTGTTGTGTCCTGTCCTGCATAACTAGGGGGTCAATAAAGGTCTTCATAATCCTGTGTGTTTGCTTAATAAAAGTTTCTTGAGAATGTGTTGAGCCTAAGAAAGCATAAAAAGGAAAATACAGGAAGTGGGGTCTCTCCTCCTTCTGAAACTCAAATGTTACTGCATCCTGTGATCTCTGCTAACTTAAGAGAAGCAGAAAGCAAATTTTATGTTTGAACTCAGAATTATTTGGGATATATATTAGTCTGTTCTCACGCTGCTAATAATCCCAAGACTGGGTAATTTATAAAGAAAAGGAGGTTTAAGGGACTCACAGTTTCACATGGCTGGGGAGGCCTCACCATCATGGCGGAAAGCAAAGAAAAAGACACGTCTTATGTGGTAGCAGGCAAGAGAGCATGTGCAGAGGAACTCCCATTTACAAAACCATCAGATCTCATGAGACTTATTCACCATCACGAGAACAGCATGGGAAAGACAGGCCCCCATGATTCAGTTACCTCCCACTGGGTCCCTCCCATGACAAGTGGGGATTATTGCAATTCAAGATGAGATTTGGGTGGGAACACAGTCAAACCATATCAGAACAGAAAGGGGAGATGGAAAAATCTAGTATCAGAATGCCCTGCAAGACATAGGAGCGAGAACTAAACCTACCGTGTGTTCAGTCTGGAGGCGCAACTCTCCTCGATGTGAGGTGGATTGCTGGAGTCCTTCTGAGAGGTGACAGCGTGCTGGCAGTCCTCACAGCCCTCGCTGGCTCTCGGCGCCTCCTGTGCCTGTGCTCCCACTTTGGCGGCACTGGAGGAGACCTTCAGCCCACCGCTGCACTGTGGGAGCTCCTTTCTGGGCTGGCCAAGGCCAGAGCCGGCTCCCTCAGCTTGCAGGGAGGGGTGGAGGGAGTGGCGCGAGCGGGAACCGGGGCACGTGCGGCGCTTGCCGGCCAGCTGGAGTTCCGGGTGGACGTGGGCTTGGCGGGCCCCACACTCGGAGCAGCCGGCCGGCCCTGCCGTCCCCGGGCAATGAGGGGCTTAGCACCTGGGCTAGCGGCTGCAGAGGGTGTACTGGGTCCCCCAGCAGTGCCGGCCCACCGGCGCTGCGCTCGATTTCTCACTGGGCCTTAGCTGCCTTCCTGCAGGGCAGGGCTCGGGACCTGCAGCCCACCATGCCTGAGCCTTCCACCCCCTCCATGGGCTCCTGTGCGGCCCGAGCCTCCCCGACGAGTGCCACCCCCTGCTCCAGGGCGCCCAGTCCCATCGACCACCCAAGGGCTGAGGAGTGCGGGTGCACGGCGCGGGACTGGCAGGCAGCTCCACCTGCAGCCCCGGTGCGGGATCCACTGGGTGAAGCCAGCTGGGCTCCTGAGTCTGGTGGGGATGTGGAGAACCTTTATGTCTAGCTCAGGGATTGTAAATACACCAATCAGCACTCTGTATCTAGCTCAAGGTTTGTAAATACACCAATCGGCACTCTGTATCTAGCTCAAGGTTTGTAAACACACCAATCAGCACCCTGTGTCTAGCTCAGGGTTTGTGAGCGCACCAGTCGACACTCTGTATCTAGCTACTCTGGTGGGGCCTTGGAGAACCTTTATGTCTAGCTCAGGGATTGTAAATACACCAATCAGCACCCTGTGTCTAGCTTAGTGTCTGTGAATGCACCAGTCGACACTCTGTATCTAGCTACTCTGGTGGGTCCTTGGAGAACCTTTATGTCTAGCTCAGGGATTGTAAATACACCAATCGGCACTCTGTATCTAGCTCAAGGTTTGTAAACACATCAATCAGCACCCTGTGTCTAGCTCAGTGTCTGTGAATGCACCAGTCGACACTCTGTATCTAGCTACTCTGGTGGGGCCTTGGAGAACCTTTATGTCTAGCTCAGGTATTGTAAATACACCAATCAGCACCCTGTGTCTAGCTTAGTGTCTGTGAATGCACCAATCAACACTTGGTATCTAGCTACTTTGGTGGGGCCTTGGAGAACCTTTGTATGGACACTCTGTATCTAGCTAATCTGCTGGGGACGTGGAGAACCTTTGTGTCTAGCTCAGGGATTGTAAACACGCCAATCAGCACCCTGTGTCTAGCTCAGGGTTTGTGAATGCACCAATCGACACTCTGTATCTAGCTACTCTGGTGGGGCCTTGGAGAACCTTTGTGTCAACACTGTATCTAACTAATCCAATGGGGACGTGGAGAACCTTTGTGTCTAGCTCAGGGATTGTAAATGCACCAATCGGCACCCTGTCAAAACAGACCACTCGGCTCTACCAATCAGCAGGACGTGGGTGGGGCCAGATAAGAGAATAAAAGCAGGCTGCCCGAGCCAGCAGTGGCAACCCACTCGGGTCCACTTCCCCACTGTGGGAGCTTTGTTCTTTCGCTCTTTGCAGTAAATCTTGCTACTGCTCACTCTTTGGGTCCACGCTGCTTTTATGAGCTGTAACGCTCACCGTGAAGGTCTGCAGCTTCACTCCTGAGCCAGCGAGACCACGAGCCCACGGGGAGGAACGAACAACTCCAGCCGCGCCATCTTAAGAGCTGTAACACTCACCGCGAGGGTCCGCGGCTTCATTCTTGAAGTCAGTGAGACCAAGAACCCACCAATTCCGGACACACTTCCAGGAGCCCCTACCAGCAGATCCTGCCTAAGTGCTCCCCGCTGGGCTCCTCAGTGGGTTGGAGTGCATGAAGTGAGGGTCTGCAGCCTGGGGAGACTTTCCTGGCTTTATCACTGGGCTTGGGGTGAAGGAAAAAGAAAAGGGGACTGCACCCTCGGGATAGAGTGGCCTCGGTGCTCCCACCACAAGTCAACGCTAAGCACCCTCAACCACAAGTGTCTGGACTGATTTGCCTTGCCTTTGGGTAATGAAGCCCATTTCTGCATCCCTCCTCTCTGCCTGGTTTCACAGAATTGCTCTGTTTTCCAACTGTTTTGCAAATGCATGAAAATGCCTAGAAATTGTAGTCACCATGTGAGTCCTTTTAATACAACTGAAAAGTAGGAAGGAATGTTTTTATTTCAAACAAATGGCATTGAGGCACAATATGTTACATTAAGAAAGGCTAATTTTGTATTATTAAATATAATCAGAAACACAACGTGAGGCTCATCGTGTTGACATGGTGTGCCAGGTATCTCAACACCACTCAGCAGGCTGCCTTGTTTGCACACTGCTTAAACTTCCTCATCGATGAGACTTTGCATGATAACCAGAATATTAAAAATATATTAAAAGTGGCCTCATGCTTCTCAGCAAATGCAAACTTGGGTTACTGGGAGATGGCTCCCCTCAGCCAGAACTGCAGGCTCCAAAGGCACGGCAGCCACTCAGAGGCTTCTTGGATAGGATCTTGGTGGAGTTGCCTCACAGAGGACGGGACACACTCTCTGATCCCGACAGCTGTTTCTTTGGTGGCAAAGCTGTAACTGCCTGTTGCTGACTCCCTGCCACCCTGTCCCCAAGCATGTCCTCAATATTCCCCCTACCCCTACACCACTCTGGATGGTTCTGGAAGGTTCCTAAGAAGATTGGGGTAGGTAGCTACACAGGTAGTATTTTCTGGATGTGGGATTTGCACTGATTTTCTACAAAAAGCAGGTATCTTGGGGGAAAGGAGAGCAAACCAACAGACAGATAATGTTTTGCTCCCAAAATAGGCCTCATAATCCTCGGTTTCCCTTGCTGTTCTCTAAATAATAAGAGAGGCTTTGAGCTCTTTTCAATAGTAGGTGTGATGGTCACCTACCTGGACCACAGGCGATGCCCAGCCCTCCTCCTGTGAGATGTCAGTCCCATGATTAGGTTACATTATTCGCTAAAGGTGAAGGGGTTCTGCAGATGGAATCCAGGTTTCTAATCAGCTTGATGTTGAATTAATCAAGGGTGATTTTCCTGAGTGGGCCTGAGTAAATCAGGTGAAATTCCTTAAAAGAGGACTGGGCCCTCTCTGCTGGCTTTGAGGAAGTGAATAGCCAGTGAGCTGGTGGCAGGGAACCATGGGAGCCTGTAGGTGCTTAGCGTGGTCCCCATTGACAGACAGCAAGAAAGTAGGCACTGCAGTCCTACAATCACAAGGAACTGAATTCTGCCAACAGCCACATGAGCTTGGAAGGGAACCCACTTGGAAGAGTGCAGCTCCACTGCCAACCTCTTTATTGCGGCCTGTGAGCCTGAGTACAGGACCAGCTAAGCCACGGCCACTCTTGGTGGTGAAATGATGAATGTGTGTTGTTGTAAGTGGCTACATTTGTGGTGACTTCTTAGTGAGCAACGGAACACTAGCTCACGTAGGAAAGAGTGGATATTTCCGTGCTTAGGAAATCTGTGCATTTCCAGGGTGACTATTCTGCTGGACCTGGAGGGGTGTGTAGGTCTGTGGATTTAATCACCTAGGAGGGACCAGGAAGAGTCAAACGGCCCTGAGTGCATACCTTCCAGGGCCAGTGAAGTGACCAGCCTCTGAGAAGCTCATGAGAGGCACAATGCAAACCAAAGGTGACTTGAACTGAATAAGGTTCCAGTGTCTCCTCGGAAGTGTTTCTGGTGAAACTGTCACTGGCAAAAACGTGCCATTTTAAAACCCCATTGTCTTGACTGTACACTGTGATTCATCATGACCACATTTTTTTTCTGCCAAAACAAAGAACAAATGTAACCTTCACAAGGTAAAATTGGTCTTCTTCATTTCAACCAAGTCAGGGGCCTCACAGTCTCTACATTTATAATAAGATCTTAGTTTTCAAACTAAAGCTGTTTATTGGTGGCCTACTTTTTTCAGCGTATTATAGTAGCATGTCAATAAATTGAAGAATATTTCAGTTTGTTAGATTTCCCCAAGCATTCCGGAGAAATCCTTAGACAATTTGCCATATAAACTCAGTTAATTGCCTTATATAGTAGAGCTACGGCAGCTATTTAGATATGTCATATGACAGATATTCCTAAAGTACCAGAAAGACACATTTGTCAATACGGTGATGTATAAGATAATTATTTTTATTATGTGAATTTCTGAGTTGAAATCAAGATAATCTCCGTTGTACTAATGACTAGCATGGCCTTAACTAGTTGTCAAGAAATAAGAAGAAAAGGCTCTCTGGATTATTTTCTGATTCTTCTCAGTTCTTCCTCATGTCTGGAATATAAATCTCAGGGTACCATAAAATTGAATAAAAAAACCGTAGGTTTAAATTATTTTTTATTTTAAGTCAGGTAGGAGCATAATATAAAAAGATCATCAAAAACAATGAGAAGGAATAATTGTTAATTTCTACAGTACCTTGAAACAGAAGCCCAAGAGAATAAATGGAATAAGGATACTATTAAAATTTCCTCTTTTATTATATCTTCTCTGCCAGAGTAATTGTTGCTGTGTCCAATATATGCAGGGGACAATTTACTAGCTGTTTTCTATTAGTTTTTAACATTAACATGTACAGAAATAAAATGAATAGCAAGCTTTCTTTGCTTAATTAAATGACTGACAAGGCATAGGTGTTGCTGGACCGCTCTTCCACATAATATCTAAAAGCTAGGTGAGCCAAATGGAAGTAGCATAAGCAATGCAAACTTCCTCTTTTATTAAGTGAATATTGATGCAATATTATAGATTATTTTCAGGCTACCAGATAGAAAGGGACACGTGATCCTTTTTTCTCGAGAATTATATATTAGTATTCAGAAAGAAAAAAATCCTAATATATCATTTATGCACAGGTTGGAGGTTTTCATGGATTCCTTCCTCTGTGAAGTCCTTGCTCTTCACAGACACTCTTCGGTGTGGATTTTTCTAGTGGTGAGAAGGCACAGGTGACAAGATACAGGAAATTATGGAGGACACACAAGCTTGTCCCAAACATCAGAATTCCTACACGATTTTTATTTTTTTTAATTTTTATTTATTTATTTTTTTACTTTTTTAAAAATGTAATTTAATTTTATTATTATTATACTTTAAGTTTTAGGGTACATGTGCACAATGTGCAGGTTAGTTACATATGTATACATGTGCCATGTTGGTGTGCTGCACCCACTAACTCGTCATTTAGCATTAGGTATATCTCCAAATGCTATCCCTCCCCGCTCCCCCCACTCCACAACAGTCCCCGGAGTGTGATGTTCCCCTTCCTGTGTCCAAGTATTCTCATTGTTCAATTCCCACCTATGAGTGAGAACATGCGGTGTTTGGTTTTTTGTCCTTGTGATAGTTTGCTGAGAATGATGGTTTCCAGTTTCATCCATGTCTCTACAAGGGACATGAACTCATCGTTTTTTAAATTGACTTCAGTAGGACCTCAAGATGTGTTCAGGACTGAGTCAGCTCAGTATGCCATGTCAACAAGGTGTGATCAATGCTAACCCCAAATCAAATGGATGACGGTGTAAGGACAGTGTATTCTTTTTCTGAGAATAGGCTACATAGTGGATATCGTGCTATTCTCTCTCTTCTCTCTCTGCTGCTGTCTGCCTGCATCTATGCATACACGTGTGTACATATATATACACACCACGAATATCATTGTTTAACCCAAGAGCAGCTCTTTGAGGTGGGCACTAGTATCATCCCCATTTTACAGATGAGGAAACAGAGGCACGGAGGTGTGAGGCCAATAAATGCATCCAGGTGTGCTGAACTCAGCATTTAGAGAGCAGCACCTGGATGAAGCGGCTGACCAGACTACTCACTCAGCAGGTTCTTAGTGAGCCCCATTCTACACCAAGCACTATGCAGAGCATGGGGACATAGCATGAACACCATAGACACAGTCCATGCCTAGTGGACTCATTCTAGGTTAGTCTTAAGTATCTGCTACCTAGGGTGATATGACCAACACCACCACCCCAGCCAAACTCAGCAAATTAGTTACATCTCAGGAAGTTTAATTAGGTATCACAGGAAAATACCTGACTTCCTTACGACTCTGTTTGGGATGGCCCTGAGACTTGGTGAGCCAGCCTTCTCTACTTTTAATGAGGACATGGCATGCTTGAGTGAGCCTTGGTGTTGGTGGGGGAGCTGTGTGTGTGTTGGGGCTAGCTAACTATTTGTTTCTTACTCTATTTATCCAAAGTATACACAGTCCCTCTAGGCATTTCTTGGTTTTCTGACTTGGAAATCAAAAAGGCTCGAATAAAATGTAAAGCATGTCTATAGTTAAGTTGACCCATGTTTGCTTTATCATCTAATTCAGTAAAGCCCTTCCCCATGTAGATATTAGATGTTTTAGCAACAAGGGTGAACTCAATGGACAGAGGCTTCAATTTTTCTGATTTGGAAATCAAAAAGGCTCAAATAAATTGTAAACCATGCCTATGGGTAAGTTGATCCATGTTTGATTTATTATCTAACTCAGTAAAGCCCTTCCTCATGTAGATATTAGATGTTTTAGCAACAAGGTTGAACTCAATGGACAGTGGCTTCAATTTTTATGACTCTGAAAATCAGGGACCTCCAGGAAGAAGCCATTCAGGCTGGGGGATCCC
This sequence comes from Homo sapiens, assembly GCF_000001405.40. Classification (NCBI taxonomy): domain Eukaryota; kingdom Metazoa; phylum Chordata; class Mammalia; order Primates; family Hominidae; genus Homo; species Homo sapiens. The sequence continues at coordinate 129,065,144 of NC_000010.11, read as the reverse complement.
TGGGCCATCGCCAGCTTCACATTTCTTTGATGCTCCCAGTGGTATTTTCTGCATTAGCCATGATTTCTTCCCAATTGCCTTATGGTAGTGCCTGGGCAGCCCCCATCGAAGTGTAGACGCTGAAAGGTTTACAATGGCTGTATATAGTGCCACCAGTGATGTGTGAACTCCTCAAAAGAACGTCCTGGCTGCAAAGATATAGTAATTCACATTTCCAATATTGCTAATAAAATTTAACAAATGGAAAACCAAAATGTCAAACAAGCAATAACACTGATGGTAATTTCTCTTAGGCCGAGTAAAGAAAATCACAGTGACTCTAATTGGTTAGAATAGTGAGAAAAGAGAGAAAGAAACCACCATTAGTTACAGTCACTCAACTAAAGTGAGAATGAGTATAATTTTATTAAAAGTAGGTGGTAATGATGCAACATGCCTAGAAGAGGAGATATTTCAGAATGGTGTAATTGACTTGAGTTAATTATGAGGGTGATGAATGGTGTTCCAACTATGTAAATGAGCTATGCCTGAGACTCCAGACCCACGAACATGCAGCTGTGCTCTAGTGGACTACCGCATCATATTTCATGAAGTTCAAGTTGTGAGGGAAGAGGACTAATATTTATGGAGTGCAAAGCACTGTGGAACTTTGTGGGAAACCACATATATTCAACATGTCAAAAAACATCTTAATATTTCCTCCTGCAACCCAGAGACTGAAGCCTCCCACATCTGAAGCTGTCATTAACCCATTTTCCAGATTGAAAGAAAGCTCTGGTAAATCCACCGATGCTGTCCTGTGCCCTAGAATGTCCTTTCTAGATTTTTAGTGTGTTCTTCTGCCTTACCAGGAATAACTGTTGATCATGATTTGGGTAATCTCACTGAATAATCCTCTTGTTGTTGTTTGCTGCAATTGAATTTGATGCTGCTTATGTATCGCTTGTTGGTGATTTTTCCCTTAAAGCCTTCAGCCCCACCGAGGGCCGCCATCCACACAGAAGAAATTGCAACATTTTTGTAAAAAAGGAAGTATCATTTAGATTGCAAGAACATAATGCTAAAAGAACAAGACAGCACTTGGAATACGCTGGTTCAGGTGTCTGCAAACGTGTAGAGGCCCTGTGGTGGGTTCACAAATGGCTGGGTCAGTGGCTGCAGGCTCCCTGGAGAGGACATGGTGGGGACACAGTCTCACAGTTGTAGGCACTGATGATTTTGAAAAGGCTTTGTTGTGCTTGGTGTTACAAGCTTCAGACTCTTTTCCATTATTCTGAACTCTAGCTAGCACCAACTCCAGGTTGGGTCACCTTTGGAATAGGTTACTGTTTCTCCAGTTTTTTGTTTATATATGTTCAAGGGGTGGCAATTAGATGACAATTCCTGGCTTTTTTTCTTCTTGGAATTTACAATGATGTTGCTAAAAATCAAAAGACACATAAAATGGGGAACATGTCCAGATACCTACTTTGATCCATGTTTCACACAGAGTTATCACATTAAGAAAGGTTAATTCTGTATTAAATATAATCAGAAGCACAACACGGGGCTTGTCAGGCTGACATGGGGTGGCGGATACTATAATTCTGCTCAGCAGGAAGGCTTGTTATATTTTTTATATGTTGGTAGATGTCTACTTAGAATTGATCAAACCTTTGCTTCCGAAACATATATGCCAACACCTGCACTACACACCATAAACCAGACTCTCAGAAAACAATAATGATGCTTATCAGTCACTCGCCTTGAGGTTGCTTGTGAAAAACCCCCAGCTAGTGTGCTATTGGAGATCTTAAAACATAGATCTTTTTGCTGTACTGATAATTCACTCACAGCTTGAGATTGATGACTATGTGAAGTCCATAAAAGATGTTACCACTATATTTTGTTCTTATGATTTATTTTATCATGTTGTCAAGGTTTGCAGAAAACAAGAAACAAATCAATGAATGTCATGCTTAAATATTAAAGAAGGCTGTAATACACATTTTTATTCAGATGCCTTATTCAATCTTGTGGCTCAGAAAAGAGTAGTGGCAACCAAGCTTTTATTTGAATTACTTTTGGAAAAATTAATTTAGGAGGACTGTTGAATTGTGAATGGCAAAAGGCAGCTAACCTTATTTGCTTAAATAGGAATAGATGGTTGCTGGACTCCTTGGAAAAGCAGTTCTAACAAACCACAGGGAAGGGAATGGATTTTAAAGCATCAAGAACTTTGGGGTTGGAGTGTGCTTAACAAGTTCAAGCCTATGTGTGGATAGAAAGGTATTTGCAGAGAAGCAAACCGATAAGACTTTGCTTCAGGGATGGGGGATGGGTGCTGTGTGCTTTGCTTTTGAAACGAATCATTTCCCTCATCATTATGTGAAATCGAGATCACCATCTATTCCTAGGGCAGGCACTGTCTGTGAGTGTGGCCTATTCCAGAACTGTTGGCCTTGCCCCCACCTCATTAGATAGCCAGCAGAGAAGAACAGCTCAATCTAGATTTTCTTTCTGAATTTGACTGGCTTCCTGAAAAAAGGGTCTACCTGTGCCAACGTTGTCAACGCCACATCGAAACGACCCAGAGAGCTGGAGACTGCACATTTCCAGGACATGAAAAAATATGCTCTGAGCTTCAGGGCTTTTGTTTTTCTTTTCTGAAACAAGATGAGGGCAAAAAAAAAAAAAAAAAAAATTAAAAACATCGATGTCAAAACCAAAGCTCCCAGGTCATGTCCTGTCCTGTCCCAGCCTCAGTAAAATTCAGCCTAATCTCTTTCTCAAAACTCAGCCTGTGTACTTCGAGGTCCTACATGCCTTTGGATTATCAAAGAAAAAGTAATTAGGTTCAGCATCATTTCGTTGTTAAGTGTATTTTATTGTATTTTATTATATTCTTGTTTCGTGAAAATTGGTAATCAACGCATGGTATATATGCTGATTCCAAATTAACATGAATATTCAATTAACCACAAGACCCCACTCTTTGACCATTCTGAATAAACTAAAGTTTATTTGAATTTAGAAAACAGATAAATTAGGAGGTGATCATTTGCATTACAATAGCACTCTTCATTCTAAGGGAGGATTCCTTGTGGGATTCTTTTAAATAGAAACCTCTCAAAGTACTTTGAAAAATATAATTTGATTTTTAAAAATTCTTTTCTCATGTAGTTTCTCAGGACCATGCCTATTGTGTGAAATGGAGGCATCTCGATTTAATTTGGTCATGAGTGAGTCTAATTGCAAATATTTTGGACTTAAAAAAATTCAGATGGAGTCACATGAAATGCATACCCAGACATCAAACTGAAGTTCTGTTTCATTACCATTGTCTTTCCATCGTCATCAGCCCGAATGCAAATTCCAATTTTGTGGGTTCCCCATTTAACTTGTCCTCACTGTGCCTGGAGCTGAACAAGAGGAGATTATCTGAGGGGCAAATGAGATGCCTCCATGCCCAATGGCGACTAGGTTATTCTTGCCTTCCCTTTGGTATACCAGGGATGGAAACATAAGGACAGGGCCTGGGGTTCACAGCAGCCGCCCCTGGAGCCTCCAGGATTACTCAAGCAGTTTTGGTGGGAGAAGATCCAGTTGCAATTCCACAAAACTATTATTTGTTACATTCAGCAAGCTCTCCGTGTGTGTGTGTGTGTGTGTGTGTGTGTGTGTGTGTGTGTACAGTCGTTGGCATGGCTGCTCTGGTGCTTAAGACCACAAAGAACACGCCAGGCGCTGTGGTTCATGCCTGTAATCCCAGCACTATGGGAGGCTGAGGTGGGCAGATCACCTGAGGTCAGGAGTTCGAGACCAGCCTGGCCAACATCATGAAACCCCATCTCTACTAAAAATACAAAAATTAGCTGGACATGGTGGCAGACACCTGTAATCCCAGCTACTCAGGAGGCTGAGGTAGGAAAATCACTAGAATCTGGGAGATGGAGGTTGCAGTGAGCCGAGATAGCGTCACTGCACTCCAGCCTGGGCGACAGAGGGGAGACTCCGTCTCAAGGAAAAAAAAAAAAAAAAAAACCAAAAAACACAAAGAACAGAAATGCTGAGTGATGGTGAGATTCTCAAAAGGATGGGCCTGCAAGGCTGTGGCACAGGGAAGGAAGTCTGGTGTCTTGGTGGAGAAAGCCGGTGGGTCAGGACCAGGAAGAGCTGGCTATATGTCCGCCATTCCTCCTCGCTCTCTCCTGGACCCTGGGACCACTTCCTCTGCAAGTTGTACTCCTGGGCCTGGTCTCCAAAGGGAGAGAACTCTTGCTCAGATCAAGGGAACTCTAAGATGAACTCTCTCTCCTTAGTGCAGCATTTCCTAAGCCATGCATAGGCCCAAAGGCAAAAATGGTCATATAGTCAAAGAAGTTTAGAAACTTTGGGGAAGCAAAGTGAACAAGGTTCTGAGAAGTCCTATCCATAGTCTTTTCAGGAAGCGTCTCTTATACAAAGTGCTTATCAAAACATACTTTGGAAAAGGCTCTCTCAGTCCTTGCCTCTGGGAGGTGCGGAAGGCAGTCTGATTAAACAGAGTCCTTCTGTGACAGGGAGGTTTCCTCCTCTGAATTCTTCCTGGGATGTTTGTACATGTGTCCAGAGAGCTCGTCAGCCAGATGGATGTCTTCACTGGGAGATTTAGGATGTTGTCGAGACACTTTTTAGAGTAACAGAACCTTCCTAAACCTAGACTCTGGGCCACGCTGTGTCGGCGGGACTCAGAGGTTTCAGGAGAGCCTCGAAGCCACTCTCCACCCCGCGCCCACCTTCCTGTGGCCATATTTTCTAACTGTCCTTAGCTTCTCCCTTGTTCCCACGTTGCCCAGGGATGCAAGCCATCATTGGTGACCTCAGGGAGGTTGCTCCCTGGACAGGAGAAGAAGGCCTTTCCATCTTTTTTGAGCTGAAATACCAAAAGAGGCCCCGATGACTCTCGAAGCTTTTGGACAGAAGCTCCAAGTCCTATTCCTCGATGGCGTGGGAGGGAGCTGCATCGAATCGTATTGAGGAGTTCAGTAGAAAGGAGCACCGTGGGCTCTGCTCCCAAGCGGCTTCTTTCCAGGTCTGTGTCCTGAAGTTCTTGATGTGTGCAGTCTTTGCCCTCCCATCCAGCTTCAGCCTGTATCCTCACCACCCAGAACCCAGACAGACAGCAACCTCAACTCCCCCTACCCCCAGCCTGCCACATTCTGTGACTGCAGCTATGTGAGTTAGAAACTGCATTTAGATTTTACAACTAAAAAATGGGATGGACCACATTTCTTTAGGAACAATACTTGGCTACTCCCCATTAGAATGTTTTCACCAAAAGATTGTTCTGAACTTCAAAAAATTAAGCATTTACTCAGCCCCTCCAACTTCTTTTCTAATGCTTTTTAAAAATAGACAGAGGGACCTCTGAAGGGATGTCCACTCCAATCCCCTTACTGGGAGGCCCAGAGCGAGTACATGACCTCTCACCCTGGCCATGAGGATGCTGGAGTGAAGCCTGCATTGGCCCAGCTGCCAACTCCTGCTCTGCCCATCCTGGAGCCCTACACAGCTCCTCAGGCAACAGGACCACTGTTTTAAAGAAGCCTCATTGTTCAATAATTTGGCAAAGTAGCCAGATTATCCAGGTGCCTGGGGTGTGGCAGAAAGAGCCCTGCACCAGCTGGCAGAAGGACTGGCCTTGAGACACCTGCTTGGTCCACTCTAGTGACTTTCTTGGGTAAGTCACATGTCAGGGCAAGGACAGAAAGACCCACCATACTGCACAGGTTTGGGGGATGAGGAAATCATGCCTGCAGAAATACCGTATAAACCATAAAGCATCATACAAACGTAAGGTTTTATTTGTACTTCGTTCAAGGTAAACTAAGATGGAAGGAGAACCCTTAGGCAGATGGTAACATTGGTCCATCCCCTGGCACACCATAATCCACGGAAGAGTTCATAAATCTGCCACATGCCAAAATCAGGCTCATCCAGGAAAGGAGCAGGAAGAACTTGCTTCCTCCCGTTCTGTATCTACTGGACCTTGGAGGTGATCCTGCAGCTGCACCTGCCCAGGCACCTGTGACTCATGCTGCCTTGAGGTCCTCATTCAGAGGGCCTCTACCTAGAGGGCATTGCTGTGCCCGGCCCCTTGTCCCTCCTCACACCAGGTCTGTGCAGGGGCATGAACACACCCAGCCCTGGGAGCCATGACTTGGTCATCGCGGCTTTCTGTGACTCCAGGAATCACCCGGAATTCACTCTATACTTTATGAAAACAGTGGTCCCCAGGAGGCACGCCCACAGTGGTGGAGTGGTACAACCTGTGAGCCAGAGTCAGAATTCCTCTGCAGACTGGACCCACGTTGAGGCGCCTCATAGAAGCACACACACAGGTGGAAGAGGTGAGTAGAACGCCCTTGGTCCAGGCTTCCCTTCTTCTAATTATCTGCTTAATGGCAGGTGTGGAAGATCAGCTGCAAATGACTTTGAGTGGCCTCTCAATAAACCAGAGGTCCGTAAGAAGATGCAGTGCCAGGCTGTGCTTGAGTGAAGCAGGCGGGTGGCCAGAGATGTGCAGGTGCTGACATGAGGCCCTCTCGCCTGGGACAGTTTCCTGTGGTCAAGCCCCCCAGATGCTGTAGCAGGGAGGCTACTGGACCCCGTGTGAATTCCTGGGAGTGGGGGCACACCCCCTGTCATTGCAGAAATGACACTGGAGCTGTCCTGCCCAGCGCTAGACTGCAGCTCTGGCCTTTTGAAAGGTTCCAGCCTCAAGATCATCATGTAAATTTCTGGTGGCTTCTCAGTAGCTTTGGAAGATCTTCATTTCCTTTTGCTGAGTGTGCCATTCTTTAGATGGGGACATTTCTTAAAGGGGGCAGCCGAAGGCCACCTGGAAGCTCACTCCGTATTTGAAATGGTGCTTCTTGAAGTTTCATTAGGCTGTCCTCCAATCTCCTTTCCAAAGGGACCTTGTGACCTTCCTCAAAAAACACCACTGGAAGTTTAGGCTTGACACAATGCTGTACAAAGGAAGCAAGAGAGATCAAGCAGCAGGGGTGCGGTGAGCGGCCTGGCCACAGCACCCACAGCAGGTGCAGCCCTGCCGACTGAGATTTCCTGCCAGCAACCACATGGCTTGTCCTCCCTGAGCCTTGCCAGCCGGTCGGCGTACAGCTGTGAGCCACGGCACACACAAGTGTCCTGAGAGGTGAGGGATCCCACTTCTTGCCATCTGGCCTCTGCTTGGCTGGGTCTCTCATGCTATGGTTGCCACGGGTCTGGGTGGGAGTCAGCCCTGGATTTCTCTTTTTAAGCAAGAGAGATGATATGTGATTCTTAGAGGCTGGGATCAGGGGCACAGGTCCCACTGGCAACTCCTGTCTAAATGAAGGAGGCAGATAGAGAGGAAAACGTGCCATGGGTTAGGTACCCGGGGCTCTCTCTGCATAGTGCACACGGTCACATTTCCAAGCTTCTACATCATTCCAGGGATTTTCCCTGAGTAGGAGTTTGAGACCAGATTAATTTAAGGCTTGCAGTTCTCTATAGTTGACATTTAGGCCGAGGACCAGCTATTGTCTTCTGAAACCATCAAAGTGACACTTTGTTGTTGTCACCCTGATCCTGGCCAGCTTCTTTAGAAGAAAGCTGCCCTCCCTTTCTACACCCCCTCACCACTTCCTATTGGCACCTGGAGGCCTGTCTGTGCGTGATTATTTAAAGCTGACCACTAAGAGTTTCAAAATGCCTCCTCCCTCCCCGCTGCCACAGGGCAGCAGCCAGGGGGCTGCTTTGTGCCAGGCCTCCTGCCCAGGCTGCCAGCACCCGGGCCTTGAGCTCAAGTGGGGCGTCTGCTCACAGCACCTCTTCTTTCCCAACTGCACTGCATGAACCCAGACCTCTGGGTTGGGTCGCCGAGCTTCCTGCCCAGGCACTTCCAGGACCCTGCGTCCCGTGGTGTTTCTCTAGAAACACTCAGATGCATATCCCGAAGCCTCACGGGAATGCAAGCACAGGGACAATGCACACATATGAGAGTGCACAGCGACACACACGCATGCACATACCACACATGCATGTGCACACACATACATGTGGGCTGTACAAGTGCACACGCGCCACACACATATACAGATGCACACAGCCATAGGCACACACGACCACATGTGCACGGCCTGTGTGTACATGTGTGCACATATCGATGCACATAGCTACACGTGCATGTGTATGTATAGACCTCACATACACGTGCACAATGCACGTGACTATGCATAGCATGCAAGTGTGCACATGTCACATGCATACATGTGTGCCACATGTGTGCCGATGACCACACATGCACGCAGGCAGTCACACATTCACATGTAAACACAACACACATGTGCGCACAGCACACATGAGCACCATGCCCGGGGCCCACACTCCTGTTTCTGCCTAGCGAGCCATTTGGCTCTCTGTGCTGCAGTTCCTGAGTGTGAGGTGCTGAACAACTCTGTATGCATAAGCATTCCTTCTAGCAATGTACCAGATAATTGCTTCTATTACTAAAAAATAATTCTGAATGCCAGCTGCTGAGAGGAATAAACATGAAGGTGCTTCTAAGCTGCAGTTTCAGTCCATGTCGTGGTGTTAACGTCTGTGCAAATTATTTTCAGGTTTTTCCTGGATGAAATTGGCATAGAATATATGGGCCTTTCTCTGAAAATCTGACCTGAGTACTGTCCTCTCCTCTCCTCTCCTGTGCTTGGAGTTATAGCAAAATGGACGCTGCATCCTTCCCAGCTGTTTCACAGGCAGATGTAACAGTTGATACAAGAAGATTAAAAAAAAATAGTCGGATGTCTACATTACAGAGAAGAGGGGGTCGAGTGAGGAGAGGCAGCACCGCAGTGTCTGGGCGATCGCATTACTGTGTCGTCATCAGTTCTGGGTACAGGTCAGTAACTGTCTCTGCTTCCCCTCCTGAGCCTTCAACCACATCCAATTAGCACTGCCCTGCCGTGACGCAGCCTGCCTCTCTTAATGAGAGCCCCGCTCCAGCGGAGCACGTGCAGTGAGAGGCTTCAGAAACAGGTGCCTTCCGCGGAGCTCGCGTGGGGCGGGCAGAGCAGGCCCTTCCGTCCAGCTCCAAACAGGCAGGCTGCAGCCTCTTGGAACCAGGACTTGGCTGGCAGGGGATCAATTAGGCCATTCCGCTGTCCATGGGCTTCCGCGTGGACAGGAGGGAAAGAGTGAAACCAGGTCTCGCCTCCCAGAGTGAAGCCCCCTCCTGCCGCTGTGTTCACTGCTCGGTGCCAGAGGACTTATTAGTGGATTGCCAGTTTGAGACGCTTCCCTGGATGTTCAGGAAGGCTGAGTGCCCCGTGTTTCTCTTCATATATGCATACATATACATACACCAAATATACTAAAGTATTCTGCTCATTTGTCTGTTTTAGGAAATAATGTCTCATTTTTTATTAAAATGTGAGTGTCTCAAAGGCAGGTGCTGTCTTCCTCCACACTTCCATACCCGAGGCCTATGGCTCCATGGCTGCCATTTGTCCATTCTTTCCCTCATCCAGTGGTTTTTGCAGGAGCACCTACTCTGTGCTGGAGAACCTAGTCATACGGGGGTGTACAGAGAACCTAGCAGTACTTGGGATATGCAGTGGTGAGCAAAACACAGTCCATGACCTCACAGGGATTGCAGAGCAGGGCGGGAGAGTGGGTCAGCAGGGATCAAACCGCCTCAGGGCTGCCTGGGTGTTTCATTGCAAACCGTGATACCGGGGGCGTGGTCTGCACAAGTGCACAGCGTGGGGACTTGGCCTGTTCCAGGAGACTCAGGATTTTCCTCCAGGCAGCGAGATTTCAGGGATGCTCCTGAGGGAGCAGGATATTCTGCTGCTATGTGGGTCTGGGGGGAAGGATTGGGAAAACGTCCCAGGCAGAGTCTAATTCTGCCAAGGCGGAGTGGTCCTTGTGTCACTGTGTGAAGGTGGCCTGTTTCCCTGGAACGTTTCACAGAGCTTTGTCACCAGTGAGTGCAGGGGAAGGGGATGCTGAGGTCACTTGAGCTCGTGGCTGCCTCATTGGCCTTTCTTTCTGTAACTGATGGAACTAGTTGCTTTTCATCTCCTTCCTGGCAGAGGCCTGGGGTTCTGTTCCTGCTGGGTGGCACAGGGGAGGGGCATGGGGGCTACTTTTAAAAATGGTTTAATTGTTGTGGCTTCCACATTGAGCACTGCGTCCCTTTTCCTCATAAGGCAGAGACACTATCTACGGAACCAGGATTTGACTGGCAGCGCCTCCCTTTTCTGTAGAAAGAGGCCTGACCATGGTCCTGTGCTGGGGCCTTGCTGATGGGAAGTGGATGGGCAATCGTGGAGTTAGACACCCTCGGGAGGGGACGGTGGGTGGGGTCCTCTCCCTGGAGCCCTTTGTCTGCTGTATCTTCCCTCCTTCCCTCCTAGCCTGTCTCTCCTGGCTCCCTTTCCCCCGAATGTGGTACCCTAGTGCACCTCTCAGGATACAATTCCAAGCAAGCCACTCTCAGGATGAAACCATCTATGGCTCCCCAGGGCCTATAGCATAAAGCCTGCACTCAGCCTCACACAGAAAACCTTTCACATGTGGCTCCACACCCCTTTTTCCGACTCCTCTCCAGCAGCTCCTTAGCCCCATCATTCTGGGTTTCCACCCAGGGTGGCCCTAAGACATACGTCCACATCCCAGCCCTGGAACCTGGGAAAGTCACCGCATTTGGAAGAAGGGTCTTTGTAAATATGATTAAGTTAAGGATCTTTAGATGAGATCATCTTGGATTATCTGGCTGGGCCCTAAATCCAAGGGTCAATGTCCTAAAAGAGACACACACAGAGAACCGAAGGTGGTGGAAAGATGTAGGCAGAGACTGGAGGGATGCAGATGTGAGCGCAGGAGTACCTGCAGCCCTGGAAGCTGGAAGAGACAAAGAAATACTCCCCAGGAGGCTTTGGAGGGAGTGGGGCCCTGCTGACACTTGGTTTTAGACTTCTGGCCTCTAAAACTGGGAGACAACATTTCGGTTGTTTTAAGCCACCAGGCTTGTCCTCTTTCCTGACGGCAGCCACGAAGCACTAACACCCCCACCAGCCTCCACATTTCTGTACCTTCCCACGCCTCCCCTCCTCTGTGTCAGTGCATGAGCTGTTCCCCTGGCTGAGGACATGCACGCAGCTTTCTACAGCCACCGAAGTCCTTTTCACTCCTCAATATGGCAGGATTACAATGTCACTCCACGCCGCACCAGGGTACTGGTTGGGTGACTTTTTGTTTTCCCTCAGAGAGAAAGGCCTATCTCTGAGGCATCTCTTCTCTCCCTATATATGATGAAATGTCCAGGAAGTGGTAGGAATACTGCAAGTATTTGCTGAATAATAAACAATTAAACTAGCCACCATGGGTTCCACTATAGCAGAACAGGGAAAAAGGAAGGGGGACACGATTGATAGTGGATCATATTCGTGCACTGCTGTCCTTCCAAGAAGCTCTGAATTCCAGCCTACCATTTAATTCAACACACAGTGCATAGCTTTAACCACACTCCAGCTGCTAACCTGGTCACCAAGGACTCAGAGATGGAAATAAGAGTTTTTTTCTCTCTCAAGAAACTTGGAGCCCAGACCAGAGACTGATAAGCAAATGTAACTATCATTAGCACCAATCACTGAGTTTATTCGTGTGTCAGGCACTGTGTGACGTGCTTTACATAATTTAATTAGGGTTGCTGGGTTTAGAAAATGAAAACACAGGATGCATAGTTGTATTTGAATGTTAGATACATAAAAAATTTTGGGCCGGGTGCGGTGGCTCATGCCTGTAATCCCAACACTTTGGGAGGCTGAGGCAGGCGGATCACGAGGTCAGGAGATCGAGACCATCCTGGCTAACACGGTGAAACCCCGTCTCTACTAAAAAAATACAAAAAATTAGCTGGGCATGGTGGCGGGTGCCTGTGGTCCCAGCTACTCGGGAGGCTGAGGCAGGAGAATGGCCTGAACCTGGGAAGCGGAGCTTGCAGTGAGCCTAGATTGCGTCACTGCACTCCAGCCTGGGCAACAGAGTGAGAATTCATCTCAAAAAAAAAAAAAAAAAAATTTGGTGTAAGTATGCCCCATGCAGTATTTGGGATATACTTACACTGAAAGTCTATCCACTGTGTATCTGAAAGCATATTTTGAACTGGGCACCCGGTATTTTTCTGGCGGCCCTGATTTAGCCATCACAGCAGTTCTACAAAGTAGGTTGTAATAGGATCTCCAGGTTACAGATAAGAAAACAAAGCATGAAGAGGTCTGTGTCATTTCACTTTGGCATCAAATGAATAAGCATTTTGTCCAGGAGGTGGTTATAATGGACTTACATAAGCATGATCCTGATGTCCAAAGAGCAGCTGGGAGTTTCTCAGGATGCACGGGACAGAATGTGCTGGTTAGAAGCTCTGGGAGCCTCTGCTTTTTGGTAGAAGTGGGGAGGATTTTCTGCAGGGGAGCTGGGAGTGAAGATGGTGAACTTGGTGGGTAGAGTTATACAGTTTGAGGGATGGACCTACCAGTTGTAGATAGAGTGTGGAATCTGTGAGCTGAAAGGAGCCTGAGGAAGTATCAAATCCAGAGTTTTCCTAAATGTGCTCTGTGGACCGATCTTTAGAGAAGTCCATTGAAAGAGTGGGTCTCATGATCTCATGGTGTTGTGGGCTAATCTTGGTGACCCCTGATCACATCAGCATATGAACGCTCAACTAGCCTTGTAGAAAGGAGCACTTCGGCTGTGTTAGTGCAGTGCATTGAGAATGCTCTTCAGCACCAAAGCTTTTGATATTCTTTACATCATCTTATGGGAGGCCAGCAGCTTGTAGAACACATTTGGACAATTCTGTACCCAAACAAGAGCAAGTGAGAAGTGGCCACCTCAGATGGACAAAGGCCCTCACTTTCAGGCCCATGTATCTGGTATTATTGCACAAATCACACATTGTCTCACCCACATGTCCGTTCACCTTGCTAAATTAATCATCATGTGCTTAGAGCCTAGGTCAGTGCCTGAGGGAAGTATGTTTTCTTATTTTTATTTCCAACTATTATTTTAAGTTCAGGAGTACATGTGCAGGATGTGCAGGTTGGTTACATAGGTAAACATATGCCATGGTGACTAGCTGCACAGATCATCCCAGCACCCAGGTATTCAGCCCAGCATCCATTAGCTATTCTTCCTGATGCTCTCCCTCCTCCCCCTGCCCTCCTACAGGCCCCAGTGTGTGTTGTTTCCCACTATGTGTCCATGTGTTCTCATCATTTAGCTCCCACTTATAAGTGAGAATGTGTGGTATTTGGTTTTCTGTTGCTGTGTTAGTTTGTTAAGGATAATGGCATCCAGCTCCATCCATGTCCCTGCGAAGGACATAATCTTGTTCATTTTTATGGCTGCACAGTATTCCACAATGTATATGTACCATATTTTCTTATCCAATTTATCACTGATGGACATTGGGGTTGATTCCATGTCTTTGGAAAGTGTGTTTTCAATGAGTGTTTGAATGAAAGGATGTATGGTCCACCTGTTTATGACTCATTCTTGGAGCCACCAGGAACCTCTGAGTGCTGGGGCAGCCCATTTCTTTCTCCACCACCATCCAGTTAGAAAGAACTCATGAAACACCATTCTGACCATGCCTGCTGGCTGGGCAGTCCACCTTACTCATGAGCTTCCTCCACTCCCTTCGCCAGTCCCAGTTCAACTCTTGGAGCTGCCACCTCTCCCCACGTGACAGTGACAGCTCTCTGGGTGTTGGGGCCAGCTACCTCTCCTCACAGGGCTGGGTACTGGGGGCAGCTACCCTCCTCACAGGGACCTCTGCACTGAGGCTGTCATGCTCATACAAGGAAGGAACTGCAAGGACCCAGGCCAGATCCATCTCCTGATGGCTGGGCAGTTGGAACTCAGGTGTGACCCATCAGTGCAGCTGACTTCAAACTTGAAAGGCTTTGGAGAGGATGGGCTGGGGAGACAGGATCAGATCAGGTAGGGAGCAGGTGAGGGGATGGACAGCGAACAACCTTGAAAACAGGGTTAATTCCTGAGGCTGAGAATCATGGCTGCTGCATAGTCTCCGAAATAAGTAGGCAGCAGCCTGGACTCCAGGTCCTGATGAGGACGTGGGCCTGGGAGTTACTGTAGGGGCTCTGCTCGCCAACTGGCTCGGACAGAGGGAGCCACCATTCTCTGGGAGAACCTGGACATTTTACAGACAGGGTGATGGAGACTTTACCCAGCTGGGAAGCCAGGCAGCACCAGCTTCCTGCTCCCCATCACCCAACAGGCCAAGACCTATTCATCTCCTCACATGTAGATGGCTGGGCCTAAGGCCACAGCAATGCCCCCATCACTTGAAGCGCCCTGTTTAAGGTCTAGTGCTTCTCCCTGAACAATTTCTATAAGAGCAATGGCCTGACCCCTTCCTGTGGCCGGTCCCTACCTGGTGGAACTGCTCCAGGAGGTCCGGTCTGTGTCAGCCTCCTCCCCGGTAACAGCAGCCAGTGGAGGGACCTGTGACCCACCAGGGCAGGCACTGAGATGGCCCCAGTCAGGGGAGGTCCTGGCCCTGCTCTGCCTGCATCCTAGCCCTGTCTTCATGGCCAATTGGCGTTGGTGGGACCCCATGGAAGCCAGTGGCCAGCCAGGCTCTACCCCACAGGAGCCCTGGTGAGGGCTGACTCCCTGGGCTCAGGTCACACCTGATGCTTTTTTGCAAAGAAGAACCAAGGTTTTCAGTGTTCAGGCTAGAGCTGCACCAATAATCCATGTATTTTATGCACATGGAAATTTAGCATCATGGATTGAAAGAGGACTCCAATCTGAGGGTTGGAATGACCCACAGAAACCTTTTGCAAATGTGGCCCAGAGAGGTCGAGTGACCTGCACAGATCATGACAGCCCCAGCTGGAATGGCTCACAGCTCACGGCTCACGGCTCAGTTTAGTCCATGTCTGACAGAGCAAAGGGGCTGGAGCATGGGCCAGGAGGGACACCTCTGGGTTCAAATCCCAGCCCTGGATTCGCCAGGTGTTCAGATTCGGCAACTCACAGAAGCATTCTAGTGTGGAGTGTGCTCGTCTGTAAAGTGGGACGATGCTGGGATGATTCTGGTGCTGCTTTCTTGGGGTTGTTTTGAGGGTCACATGAGATAATTAAGATCAGAGGCTTTGAGCAGGGTGCAGTGCATGGCAAGTGCTCAGTCCTTTGCTCTTTTTGACACTCTCTGGCATCAGGTCTATGTCCTAAGAGAAATGGTTGTCGGATAATGGGCATTGTTATTTTTGGTCTACCTTGTAATCTTTTTTTAACCTGACACCCTTCGTCTTTGGCAGCACAGAACCGTGTTGGATAATGTCTCCACTGCCCCGCCCCATGCTCATTCATAACTCACAGCTGGACCCCCATCTGCCCCTACAGCACGGTGGGAAGAGCAAGGACTGGGGCCAGATGGTGGGTTTCATTGCAGCCCTTCACCAGCTGTGTGACCGCAGGCAAGTCACACACTCTCTGTGCCTCGATCCTCATTTAAAAATGAAGATTAGAATAATAACTTCCTTACAGATTGTTATGAAGGTGGATAAAGTCATGCAAATAATGGCCTCAGAATGTCCTTGGTACATGTTAAGCACTCTGACAGTGTTTTATAAAATCAGACATCATCAGTGTTTGCCAGGAACTGGATGGGAGGGAGAGAGAGCAAAGGGGAATTTTAGGGCCAGAAAACTCTCCTGCATGTGTTACTGTGGTGGTGGATTCATGACATTATGATTTGTCAAAATCCACAGAATATACAGCACAGGCAGCAAACCCTAATGTAAACTGTGGACTTGGTTAATAATAATGAATCAGCATTGGCTCATCAATTGTAACAAATATACCAGCCAATGCAAGGTCCTCATCTTCAGGGAACCTCTGGGGGTACATGGACGGGCAGGCTGAGAGGGCATATGGTAACCCTCTGTCCCCTCTGCTTCATTGTTCTGTTACCCTAAAACTGCTCCCCAAACAAAGCCTTTTAGTTAAAAATAATGAGTTACCCACATATCACCTTGTTCCATGATTTGACCTGGGTGTTCCCCATGTGTTCCCTTAAGGTTCATGTGGTGGTGACTCTTCATTTCGTTGTGGCTCACTCTTCATCCCCTTCTTCCTTTGGTTCCAGAGCCATGCACACCACGGCTGTCTGCTCTTTTGAGTCCCTGCCCCTGCTGGCCTTCAATTGATACTAGATGGGCAGAGCTTCTAGGCTGCACTAGAAAAATTAGAGAGGCACCCAGACTCTCTTCTACCCCCTCCCTGTTCTGTGTCCCCAAGCAGCAGCCAGCCCGCCCCGGCGGCACCTCTCTTGTGATGGGAGGACATCCTGAGTGCCTGCTCCCATGCCCTGCGGCTGCCAGCTCCGGCCTCTGGTGCCGAGGGGTCTGCCTCCTCCTCCAGATCGGCTCCATGAGTCATCAGGCATTTTGCACCGTAGGCCGTATCAGGAAAGCCTACCTCGCCGAGCAGCAGAATGTGGAGTGGGGCGAACAGGGCTCACTAAGGTGTTGACTTGTGCAATGACTTCCATTTAGGCAGGTATTAATATCATGCTGCACTTGTTTTTTCTTACTTATGTGATTTCTCGCCAGCAAAATTGCACAGTCTGTCAGCTGTCAATGATAACTTTCTCTAGGCTATTTTGTTTTACATGTTTCCAAGCTTTGCACGGCATGTACGTATTACAGTTTCTGAAAACTCAGGAAAGAGCACCTGTGCTCCAAATTGGGAAAAATAAGGGACAGGAGGAATTCCTGCACCTCCAGTGTTAGAGTGAGTTTTGGGTCATTGTGTTTGTTTTATCCTTAAACTTCATCTACAGTGTGTGTGTGTGTGTGTGTGTGTGTGTGTGTGTGTGTGTGTCCCTGGTCTGCATTCTTTGCAAAAGTTAGAACTTTCTCCATCAGCCACCTCAAAGGACGCTTCCCAGAAGACGTTAGAGCTGATCTAATGGCCCAAGCTTGATGCTGACCCAAGAAACCAAAATTCCCTTGTGTGAGAAAGGAGATGATGGTGCTCACCAGCCCACCTGGCTCATCCCCTTCAAGACTCTCAGGGTTTTTCTTGATGGGATTTAACAAACTGCATGTGTTCTGGTTAAATGAATACCAAATAGAGAATTGCATGATTTTGCCATAAATAAAGGAAAAAAAAAACCCTTTAGAATCTGCTCCCTCTGAGGCCTTAAAGGGCTGCTCACCCCTACAAGCTCAAGTTAAATACTCAGACATATTGTGAACGTTGGATCCAAAATGCAAGAATTCTGCAGCATTGATAACGCCAACATGACAAGTTGTCACTTTGCCGTATGCTCCTTCACAAGACTCAACCTTAATAGCTGGGTTATTCTGGTGACTCTGGAATAATCAGGGCAACTGAACAGGCATGAATGGCAGTCACTGTAATTACTCCAGAAAGAGGACCAAAGCAAACAGAAATTCTCTCTAATTTTATATATTCCCAATAGGTGCACATGCTACGTTATTATCACTATAGAAACTACTTATTAGTTAGCCAAAAATCAGCACTACATCACGTGCTTATGGTCAGCACCCATGCAACTCACAGGGAAGCCCCTCCGGCTCCAACCAAGTTAAATCAGGGAGAGCTGCATGTGGACTCCAGGGGCTGGGGCCAACAGATCCCCCTACTAGGCGTGCTCTACTTCATCTATTTTTCATTGATTTTAATGGACTGAAACTCTGCATCCAACTGCCACTTTCTGGACATTAGCAGACGTAAAGATCCGGCAATGACCAGGCAGGGCTGGGAGGGAAAGTTATATGCAGCCATTGTGGGAGGCATGGGCATCTGAGATTTTTATTATTTTATTTTATTTTTTTACTGTTAATCATCATTGTTAAAGAATCCCCAGGAAATGACTCAGATTACCATTTTTAAAAATATGGCATTTTCCAGTGGACTAACGGTCTAGCACTAGCTTCCCAAGTAATGCAAAAACCAGAGAATCCAGGTAAGGAAGCTTTCTGGGCTCAGTGTTTCTTTCCTTTGTCTTCCTATTTCTCGATAGTATCATTGATGCTTTGGCATTTAGCAGCACCAAGGTGCTGAATGTGTGCACTTCACAATGCGAATATTTCTGTGACAAGAAGCATCCCAGGACATTAGACACCAAAAGTATATCAGTATCCAGGAGGAGGGCTGCTGACTCGCTGCCGGGGTTCATTTCTGTCTGCTTTCTTTGATCATCAGCGCAGTTTTGACCATCGCTGTTTTCTCAGTTTTCCCATCTTAGAGCCAAGGAAGAAAAAGTTGAAGTCACAACTTTTAATCCCAAGGAACAAGAACCAGGAGACGAGGGCTTTCCGAGGAGGGAATTAGCAAAGTATCATTTTCCTTTGGGTCTAGAATCGAGAAAAGTAAACAGGACTTGCTGCTGAAACCTGAAATCCCATCAAAGAGAATTCCCGGCGGCCGAGAGCGTTCATGAAAAACGCGGAAACTCGGACAATGAGTAGGGCGCAGAGTCAGAAATTTATAGACTTTGGCCTCTGCCGCTACATATCCTGGAAGGGGGAAAAAAAAAAAAAAGTGTTAAGAAAACAAATGCTGCTTGTGGATGTGTGGATTCCGACACTGGCCGCCTGACAAATCGGCCCTTGGCCTGACCCTCACAATATGTTTCCACAGGTAATTCCATAACTCTCTGGCCAACTTTTAAAGGCTTCCTGTTTGACAGCCAAGAGAAAGGAAGTACCCCGGCCCCGGGGAGCCGGGCGCTGCGCACCCCGGACCATCAGCATGCTTGAACCCGTATAATTTATACTCGGTTTCATCACCTCATCGCACACACATGATGAAATTCATTTCTGCTGATAACTGGGATTTTAGCCGTGCGGTTGTTGAAGTCAGTGTGATGAGATGTTCTGTTTCTGTTGTTGCTGGAATGTGCCGGGGTGGACTGTGAAACTGATGAATGACCGCCGTGGCAGATTCATAATCCAGGGTTTGGTGCAGCTGTGCAGGGAACTAATAGCTAGCAGGGACCGCGGAGGTCCCCGAGCTAATACCTGTCTCCTCCATCGCAAATTGATGGCATTAAACAAAAAAGTTGACTCTTTTCACATCCTGCCGATCTAATTGTGGTGCCCCTGCAGCCATCCCGGTATCTCGTGGCACGGAGGGCACTAAATGTCGCCTGTGGGATGGGGAGAGGAGCATCTGTCATCCGGCCCGCTGCTGTCTGGCGGTGGGGGCGGCGTGGCTAGGCACCCCTGCCCGCCGGCTGGTTGCTGCAGGACGGCCGTGCCCCATGCTGGTTCTCCTCCAGCCTGCCTCTCTGGCTTGCCTTCCTCTCTTTGCTAAGCATATGGTTTCACTTTTCTCCTTCTTCACGGGGAACCGGGACAGTTGAGGCATAAACTGCTTTTACTTGTTCCTCCCTGAAAGGTTGGATGCAAGGAGGAAGGTTCAAAAATAACATCGGTGTGATAAGTCATTAGTCATTTTTCACTGTACATATGTTAACTTGACCTACCGTATGTTAATTCATGCAACATTGGCCTCACATATGGCTACAATAGGAATCCCAACTGGTACTTCCTCCGGCACGGTGCCTCATTACAGCAACTTCCCCAGCTCCATCATTAACACTTAGGTGAAGTTCCACTTCCAAATTACTTCGTTGGCCTGGGGTCGAATGAGGGCCGAACGGGAGTGGAAAATAGAGGTTAAAGATACCCATCAGGCCTTTTCTCTCCGGCTTCTGCAGGGAGACAAGTCTGGTCCAGGGAAGCCGGAGCAGGGGGCATGGGAACCACAGTGGCTCTGGCATCATAGGGTCTGCTTGCTGGTAAGGGTTGATTTTGCATTGAGCAGAGCTAGTCGGGGGCCCTCTCAGTCTGTGTAGCCCTGTCTCAACCGCACACATGAGGAGGGACCCCAAGTCACAGTGGAGGTGGCATCCAGAGGCACGCTGGACCCCCCAAGTCACAGCAGAGACGGCCGTGTGGGGCTGCTGCCTGCCTGTGTGGGTGCCTTTTTGTGGCAATGCAGCTAGCGCCCAGGGGTAAGGGGTGGGGTGGGTAGGGAGGGCCACCCGGGGCCTGAATCCAATTCTGCTGTCGGTGAAAGGAATTGGTGAAGGCTGAGATGCTGATCCCCAAGGTCATATGGCTCCTTTCCGAAAGGCTGGGCAGTAATTCCAGCACCTGGACCCTGGTTCTGAGCAGGGCAGGGGGTCCACATATCCGACTGCCCACTGGCCTCCTGGCTCTGAACTTGGGTGCAGCTCTAAACTGGTTCCAAGGTGGGCTTTGATAGAGGCAGCCAGCATTTCATTTGAAAGTTCAGCAGGGCTCCGGCGGGCCTCAGCGCTTGCCCCCGTTCACTCAAGTGCTGGAGAGGATTGATCTCCTTTTCAATAAATGCAGGCAGGAGCCTAGCCCCGGTCCCCACCTGCTTCTGGGAGAAGGAGAGAATGCGAAGGGGTTGACTGTCCATGCCCCCCTCCCCCGCCCCCTGAAAACAGTTTAATTCCACCGTGATTGAGAAGACTCGCTTCTCAGTAGCCATACCAGGCTAAGCTTTTCATGGGATTTGGTCCTTAAAACAAAAAGCACTGAGGAGAAGATATTTGAGACTTATGGTGAAGTTACAGGAGCAAAGAAGAAACCACGCGTGAAAGGGAAAATTGATGTTCATCAACCTTCTATAAGCACCGACCTTCATGACTTCAAGCCCAACCCATTAGCCTGTAAATTCTAATTGTTATTAATTTATAGCAATTAAAAATTGTGGCTTTCTGTCAGTTTTTAATTTGACAAGCATGCACACAGTTGACGCCCAGCTCCGTGTAACATTTTAAACAGCAATGTATGAGACGGTGTCCCTTCCTTTTAGCAATTCCAACACAGGCAGAGATAAAGCTCATATTTGAACAGTAGCTTATATCAAATACGTTCATTAGGTTACATGCTTCACTTGATTAATTATATTTAAAGAAATTGCGGGCACTTTGGATCTTCTTCTTATAACATTACTGTATGCCACAGATCCCTAATTTCAAGAAGAAAAGAGGCTGAGGGCATTTTTTCAAACTCTCCCGGACAGCCGGCTCCTCTCCCTAAGGAGTTGAATGTATTCAAATGTATCTCCATCAATGAGCACAGTAATTATGAATTCAGCACTAATTAGTATATACACTACTTTCCTTGCATATTTGATTTCCACAGTGAGATGGTAATAAGGGAAATGCCCATTTTTGTCCTATCTCATAAAAATTCCACAACGTTAGAGGGGGAAGGGCAGATGGTGAAAGGAGACTGGGGATGCATTAAATATGAAAAAACTTTACAGATAATTGGTCTGGTTACTGAGGGTATAAAACAACACTCTTACCTTGCAGTTAACATTCTGCTAGCTAAATATGCCGCTTTAAGGACACACTGTTCTTATTAAAAGTAAAATCTTTAGTGTTTTTTACCATATGATCAGCTTTTTTTTTTTTTTTTTTTTAAAGGAAACGTCGTTTCCTGAAAAATAAGAAGCTAACAGGAGTTTTAGGAGTGAGTGGTATACAGAAACAGTACAACAGACTCTGTCTGGACGGGGCTGTGGGTTTGTAAGTCAAGAAAATAACAACCATGGCCTTTGCAAGCCGTTATTTAGAAGAGGGCTAGGAGATAAATAAATTTGTTAGAGCTTTATGTGCCAATCATTGATTTGAATATAAACCAAATGATGTGTTACAGATGTAACAAGGTTTGGCTGCCAAGAGCTCACAGTTAATGCACTCAACTTTTTCACAGGGAAGACTTTGGAATTAAGCGTGCTTTATGTGCACTTGTTATTGTTTTTGCTGACCTCAAGCATGTTAAAATTAGAGCCACTGCGAACAGTTCACCAGAGTTGTAAAGCCCCCGAAAGCTTGCAAGCTGTTTGCTATTTACCCAGTAAGCTGCCTGTTTATCATGAGCCTGAATGCAGGACCCATTAGGCTTATAATAAAAGAACCTTTAAAAAAAAAATCCCCAAGTCACAGCACCGAGCCAGCAGGAGATTCAGACATTTCCAGGCATGAGATACGCTGGAGCTGCTGAGAACATAAACTGTGGGAGTAGAACAAGACCACACCTCTGTGTGTGCGGTGTGCGCGCGTGTGTGTGCATGTGTGTTCGTGTGCGTGCGCGTGTGTGCGCGTGTGTGAGAGAGAGAGAGTGGAAGAGAAGGAGGGGAGGAGGGAAGGGGTGGGCGAGAGAGGAAGGGGGCTTTTTGGCTCTTTCCGCTTGTGGGTTGTGAGTGAAACAAAAGAGCTAATTTTATTCTTGGACTGAAGAATCTCTAGCGAGGCAGCCGTATACTTTTCGCTCAGGTCACCGGCCCTTCTAGGTCTGCTGGGTGTGGACTGGGGTGGAAATGAGTTCCTTAATATAAACATTTTTTATAGTAGGTCAATCTTGAGAAAGACTCCGCGAGAACAGCACCGATACCTTTACCTCCCATTTTCCCCAGCAGCTGAATGGGGGGCCTCCTGGTGTCTTTGACTCAGTGGTAAGGCGGCTGCCTGAGGAAGGAGACCCGGCCGTGGTTTGGTTCTGAGCGCCATTGTTGAGTGGCTCTCCCATCCCCATGATCGGAAAAGGCCCAGCCATGCCCAGGAGAGAGAAACAGCCTGCTTTCGAAAACTGTGGAAGGTGTTTTGAAGGAAGAAAGGTCCTAAGGTGCTCCAGTGCTTGACTTCCTTCTCCCAAATGGGCTTTCAGAGTCCAAGATCCAGAAGCCAGGAAGGAGAGAGGGAAGGGTGGATGGAGGGAGGGTACCGTGGATGGAGTAGGGAAGGGTGGATGGAGGGAGGGAAGGATGGAGGAAAGGAAGGAGGGTGTGCCATGCGGGCCTGGGGATGCGGTACCCAGGCCTGAAGGCAGGCCCACTGAGCTACCTATGCACTGATTGGTCCTTCGATTCAGTGCCCTGCATGCTACCTGCCTCCTGATTGGCCTTGACTCAGAGGCCCCAATACCCACTGCCTGATTGGTTTGAGGCAGGTCCGGAGCTCGTTGTTTACCTGTCTTGAGGGAGCTGCAGGAGCATCAGTTCCACTCCGAGAGCCACGGTGGGCTCCTGTTTCAGGAAAGGGCCAGTGGTCAATCACTGCCTTTTGTCCTTTCTTTCCCTATCGCTGTTTCTATGGTTGGATTATTGCCACTATGTTTATTAGCATTTCAATTATAATATCCTAAGTTCTTATGGGGTTTATAAGTATGCATTTGATGGACAGAAATAAATAATTTTTTAAGTTTCCATCCGGCTCTGTGGTAGTAAAATCAAGGATTAATCAAAGGCACAAAGAGGTTGAGTGACTTGTGTGAGATTAGGCACTTACTGGTGAGATTATATGGAGGTTTTTTAAAAACCATATAGGTATGCCTCCCATATATAAATGTCCCATATTTAGGAGTATCTCTAAGACACTGTGATCTTTTTCTAAGCCAACTCCAAATTAGGAAGTGTTTTAAAAAATGTTGATGACCACACACCCTAGAGGAAAAATGACCAGATACAGAAAATCCCTACTGCTTCAAAAGTTTGGTAGCCTTTTTATGGTGTAATGACACTGGCCAAATGTGATGCTCTAGCCTTACATGGCTACATACATCACTGTATCTTTTGTTTTTAAATAAAAACACATTTTAACATGTCCTATTCCCCTTCACCATGGTTTGGTTATTTATATAACACACTTACTGTTTCAGTAGTCCACTGCAAATCTGAGGTTACATGGTTAGATGGAGGGGGGACATATATAGGAGAAAATACGGAAATAACGGCATGGTAAAAATGCAATCCTTCTGTGTGTTTGTGACATGCAGATGTCATGTTACATTCCAGCAGCAAGAAAACCTCACAGGTGCTATTATGAGAGAAGAGACGGTGGCTTTTTCATAGAACTGAGAAGCTCAATCCTATTATTTTATTTACAACTTTTTCTGAACAAGTTGGTACATTTTTAGTTCTTGAATGTAATAGGTGCTCAATGGATGCACATTACATGGAGTAGAGTGAACTTGCGTGTTTGTACCTGAGATGAAACTGGTTTCTTGGATATAAAGTCTTCTCATCTTCTACAGACTCCAGGTCAGGGGAAGGAGAAAAATCCAACCAAGAATATTATTCAGTAGCTCCAGACTTGGCTTCCTGGATGTGCTTTTACTCTGGAGTGACACAGTTGATTATCATTTCCTTTCTCTTTTCCCTGTCTTTTCTTCCTCTCTTTTTTCTTTCCCTTCTTTTCTTTTCTCCACATTATATGTGCCAGACACTGTGTCAGGTGCTGAAGATAAAAGGTGAAATAAAACTCAGGCTTTGTCTTACCAGTGGAGTGGGGGACCCTAAGGGCATACATGTAGACACACATGTAGGCTATAGTATGATACCTGCAATAACTAGAACATGCAAGAAGTTATGTTTAGATGAAAATGTTGTACAAGGAGAGAAGGATTAACTCTGGCTATGGTTGGATCATGGAAGGCTTCATAGAGGAGGAGAAGCTGGGTAGGGTTTTGAAGCATGAAGAGGAGTTTGACAGGTCAAAAAGATGGGAGCAACATTCGAAACAGTGGGCCTGGAGCAGTTTGTTTTGCTCAGGCCTCTATAAGCAGCATGGCAAGGCTAGCTAGTGTATCCATTGTTGGTGGGAGGAGGAAAGAGAGCACAGACAGGCAAGCCTTAAGAGTCAAGCAGAGATACACTGAGCAGGCCCTTCTATGTCAGGTTAAGGATCTTGGAAGTTTTCCTGGAGAGCAGCAATAGGGAGCCATGGCAGGGCTGTCAGCAGGAGAGTGCTGTGCTCAGATTTGCATTTTAGAGAGACTCCCCCTGGCAGCAGTTTGGAGGCTCTGCTGCAGTTGTCCTTGCTTTATGTCTCGTTGGGTCACCCTCCTGGGATCCTGAGTGGTGGAGCCCACACTGCATCCTGTCAGCAATGTGAGCGGGCAGCTGTGACAACATCTGCACCAAGCATGCGGATGGCATTTGGCGCCGAGGAAGAACGGAGAGCAGGGATTGAAATGCAACCAATAATGGGTTTTTTAAACATTTGTTTTATTCTCGCTCTAAATGCGTGCCCTCTCTTAACCCCTCAGATGAAATTCATTGTGTCCAAGTCCACTAACATTGGAGAATGTTTTTTTTTTTTTTTTTTTTTTTTTTTTTTTTGGCAAAGAATGTGTCAAGGAGAAGGAGAGGAAACTGTTCAAAGCTGCCCTTTCCTGGCTTGCTGGGCAGGTGGTTGTTCAGTGTCCTGATTGCTCAGAGGGGTATTTCTGGAGCTGTTGTCTATGGGAGGGAAAAGAGCTTGACTTTTAAACACGGAGCGCTGCAGGTGGGGAGATACTTCTTGCATTGTGTTTAGACCGTTTTCTTAATCTAAACATTATGCCAAGAACCCTTTCTAGGGAAGGGAAACTTAGGCACCAGCGTGATCTTACTTATAAATAGCCAAGATCTGCTCTGCAAGGAAAAAAATACCAACCCATGCACTCTTGCAGCCAGCAGGAGCTTTGAAGGATGCTGTCAACCCGTCTTACTTACACCCCTTCCCTAGTCATTGTAGAGAGAAACAATGCCATCTTCCCGAAAGGAAATAGGCAATAAAAAACTCCTGCAGGACTTCCTATTCAGACTTTTCCCATTCATACCCGAAAGGGGCAAGCCACTCTCCCACCACCCAAGCCCACCACCAGTTGGATATTTCAGCCACAGTCGGGGGTTTCAGATGCTTCAAGATGTGGCTTTTCCTGAGTAGGTGTGGAAACTGTTTTTTCAGTTCAACAAAGCTTTTTTTTCTTTTTCCTTTTTTCTTCTTTTCCCCCAAATTGCCTTTTTGTTTCACATATCTTACAAAGCCTCTGACAAAGTGTACGCAATCTAAGATAATAAAATGACAAATGTTTTTTATAAAGTGCCCCACAGGCTTACATTTTTTCTGATTGTAATTTTTAAATTCATAGGCGGATCTGTTATTTTCTTTTTCTCCTCCTCTTTTTTAAAACAAATATTATGCTTTATGGTGGCACAATCTTGCTGCTTTACAGTATCGATAAATGCAGGTACACCTGCACTATAAAATCCACTTTACATGAAGCAGGCCATTCCTGTTTTATGGCCCATTTTTCACCCATTGTTCTAGAGTCATGTCATAGGTGTGTTGTAATGTGCTCGGGAGGTGGACGCCTCCAAGATCAGTTTAACAAAATGGTCTAATTTTGCCAACTTTAGTGCCAAAATCTGGATTGAAAAATGCAGGAGTAATATCCCAGTAGA
Organism: Homo sapiens; assembly: GCF_000001405.40. Classification (NCBI taxonomy): domain Eukaryota; kingdom Metazoa; phylum Chordata; class Mammalia; order Primates; family Hominidae; genus Homo; species Homo sapiens. Next base: position 129,038,795 of record NC_000010.11, on the reverse strand, counting down.
CACACGATATGATGTCACTTCCCTGAAAATGGCCAAGATAAACATCTATTTCCAGATCACTTGCACTTACAACATGAATTCTGCCTCTTTTTCAATCCCCAAATTACGGTTCCTGTTTTCTAACAATTTTAATGTTAACCTGGTTGACATCTGACCTTTCCTGACTTTTTCTCAGACTCAGAGATTTTATTACATTACTGGTGGAGGAGGCAAAATTCCATTCCAAATATAATGACACTTTTGGAGCCTGAAAACCTGCAAACTTTTAAAAATGATGTGAGGCAGACTGAATAGTCCTCCTGACTGAAGCATATACACAAATGTGCAATTGAGAATCCCAAGACCTGGCCAGACAGAGCTCTGCAATGTGATGCTTGTTGATTTGATGCTCCTTTGCCGTGAAGGAAGCTTAATGCTTTGTTTCTTTCTCTTTAAATGGACAGGTAGAGTCAGTTTGCATCAGTGTGAATGCATGTAATTAGTACAAGGAATTCTTTTCTCAGTAAATCAACAAGTGTTTATGGAGTGTCTATTACATTCAGCAAAGCTCTCTGGGGATATAAAATATATAGACCTGCTGCTCATAGACAAAATAATTTTAGCATCTACTATGTGCCAAGCTCCTTGTGTACATTATTCTCTCCACATGAAACTTCTGCAGAGTTGACACCTTAGTACCCATTCTACAAATGGGGAAACTGAGGACTAGCTGCGATCACCTGTGCAGTTGTTGCAGCTGCCAGGGTTACCCACTCTCTTTTGTCGGGTGCTTACTGTGTGCTGCACAATGGGCTGAGCTCTGTCTACTGTCTTGTAGCACCCTGTGAGGTAGATTGTATTACTCACCCATTTTACAGAAGAGGTAGGTGACAGCGGGAGAGGCCAAGTGACTTGGCAGCAGGTGCTAGCATTAAGATTCACAGTAGACTGAGCACGGTGGCTCACGCCTATAATCCCAGCACTTTGGGAGGCCTAGGCAGGTGAATCACGAGGTCAAGAGTTGGAGGCCGAGGCAGGCGAATCGCGAGGTCAAGAGTTCGAGACCAGCCTTGCTAACATGGTGAAACCCCGTCTCTACTAAAAATAAAAAAAAAAAAAATTAGCTGGGCATAGTGGTGGGCACCTGTAATCCCAGCTACTCAGGAGGCTGAGGCAGGAGGATCGCTTGAACCTGGCAGGTGGAGGTTGCAGTGAGCCGAGATCGTGCCATTGCACTTCAGCCCAGGCAACAGAGTGAGACTCCGTCTCAAAAAAAAAAAGAAAAAAAAAAGATTCACGGTAGAGACTCTATTGGTTGGTCTGGGCCATCCTAGGCCATTGCCAGACTACTGAGTGTTCCCCTAGAGCACACGCTAGAAAGAGGAGACCCAGACATGAGATGCCCACATATGTGTTTACTTCTGGGAAGACAACGTGCAAGACAGAGCTGAGTTCTGTGGAAGCAACGCCAAGTGTTACAAGAGTTCAGGGAAACAGAAATGTTGCTGAGGGCTGGAAGTGCTGGGGCAGGTGGGTCTGAGAGAGGACCCTGAGCAGAAGTGGGGTTGCATCCCAGAAAAGGTGAGGTGTGATGCTGCCCCTTCTTCTTGCTCTGTGGTTTCTTTTCCTGGTTTCATTTACCTCATCACTACTCTGCCAGACCGGTTTGATCACCTGAGTATCTGTGTCACTGCTGGGTGATCCATGTGTGGTCAGATCCGTGTGCCCTGAGCGTCCTGACCTGCTCCTACTTCCCACCACTACTGCCATACACACGTTCCACATCCATGCCTATTCCATCCCTACCTCTCTCTTTCTATATATATATATATATATACACACACACACACACACACACTTGTGTATATACACACATACATAATGTAAGAAAATATTCCATGCATATAAATATTATCTACATGTAAAATAAATATAATAGAGATAGTTAACTTTAGGCTCACACGTCTCCCAAGCAAACCACAAGCTTATGAGTGCAGGACTCTTACGTGTTTCCTTCCGCAGAGCCCTGCACACTGTAGGGGCTGGGGCGTGACTTGGCGAGTACAGCAAGTCTGGCTAGAGTTTCTCAAGGGTGTGCCCATGGGGATTAGTGGAAAGAGCTCTGTGCTTGGGTTGGGTGGTTTGCCCACTCCACCTTTTATTCTCCTTGGGTAAGTGGCTTGGGACCTCATTTGCCCTTTCCAATGGGATAGCAACATGTTTCTTTTTGGAAGCTACTGTGAAAGATGATGATCTGGGAGGGACTTGGGACACAGGCTTATTTGTTACACAGATGCCACCGGCCTTGCATCTCTCTTGTGAGCTCAGAAGTTGCTTGACATCACTGCCTTTTTCATCAGGTGGTTCATAGGAAGAGGCCAAGAGAGAGAGAAGGATGCTGTATTTATGGGAAAAGGCTACCAGAATTTCCATCCGAGGTTGGTGGTCCATTCCTCTACCTATGTGGAAGGCAGGTTCTCCTTGACAATAGCCAGGTCTGCATGTGTCTTCCACTCAATCTACAACGTATCCACGGAGAGTGACCTTGTACTCAGTACTCAGTACTCCAGCCCCTTGGCTGGAGTTAGCTCTGCCCGCTCCACCCCTGTGCCTTTTCTGGCCCACTTGAAATTTGATGTCTTGGGTTGTAGCCTATTTTTAAGGTTGAGTCTCACTCTTAGACTATGAGCTCTTGAAAAATAATAACTGTGTCTTATTTGTCTTTGCTCTTCCACTTACATATAGGAACTACTAATGACATTTAGCAAATGTCTCTTTATCTTTTGATGGAGCAGAGAGAGGTCTGAGGATGAACTGCTTTCATCTTCTCGCTGTGTGATCTTGCACGGGTCCTTTCCTATCCCTCCTCTGCCACTCTTCTAGGACCGAAGGGGTTCGAGGGTGACCTTTCTGGCCACTTGCAATTGCTAAGAGTGTATTGATTTGAGAATTAAAGGAACGTGGCTCTTGAAATGTGTGTGCGGTAGAGGCCATCCAAAATAGCTAATGAAGAAACATCCTGGGGATTACGCCAAGTTCACAACGCATTTTAATGAGCCGTGAGTGTGTGTGAATGCGTGTGTCGACCACATGCACATTGATGGCTGTGGCAGGGAGGACGCTGTTTCTGAGAGTAGAGTCCTCACTTCTGAGAAACTTACAGAAGGTGGAACAGATCACGCCGTATTTCATAGCAGCCTAATTCTGACATGCATCTGCAAGCCTCATAAGTCGTGGTTTGGTCGGTGCTGCCCATCAAATCAACTTCCTGAACTTGTTTTCATCTGAACTCCAAGGCAGCCCAGGCGCGGGGGGAGCGCAATCGCTCGTGTCTGACTGGCTGCCTCTGAAGTCGTCCGTTACCAGTAGTCTGTTTAGAAGGTGGATTGTTAATTGTTTGATTTTTCTGCCAACAGGATTCCCTGCAAATTAGAATTGTAATCGCTGTGGGTATTTCCTGAATTAAAAGAAAATATATAATAAAATAAATAAATATTAGTTGTTTGGTTGTATAAGCTTTTGAGACCTGCGAGGCTCCTCATCAATTATTAAACTTGGCCGAAGATGACATTCCTAACTAGTGAGTGTGCCTGGAAAAAAAAAGACGCTGGCTAGAAAGCTTTGAGGCGCAAATTTCCACGTTCTTACTGCTTGGCTCTGAAAGTCTATGCCCGGAAGCTTTAATTTCTTTAATACTATATAATATAATTATATAGTACTTAAAAAACATGTAGTGTAGTTATTAAATATAGTTAGAATTTTAAATGTATCATTTGATATATTTAATACACACATGTATATATGTATTTTTAAGTGGGGTTTGGGCATTATTTAGTGTTCACACCTACGGAGCTCATTTGTCCAGCGCTATATTTAGGCATCAATAGGAGCGCATTAGGTAGCAAATAGCAACATGCTGGATTGGACACACTTCATAATTTGATGGCAGGAGAAAAATGGCAAAATATCGCTCTGGTCAAAGTTATTAAAGGCCAGGTTCACTACACGGTTCTGGTTAGGAGATAAAATATGAGAGGGCAGCTTACATATTGCCGTGATTAAATATTTACTGTTCAAAGAAGATTCACAGAACTTTTTAAAATTAATGGCTTCGAGTCTTTGTTTGGATAGTATCACAAGTATTGAACCATTTATTGAACTGTTTGCTGAGCTATTTTACTATCGTTAGTGACATCCTACATTGCCAGCCTTTCTCTCTCTCTCTCTCTCTCTTTCTTTCTCTCTCTCTTTTAAAAGAGAAATAGAGTGGAATCGCTCCCTTTCTGCTCTCACCAGCTGGTAGATATAAATTATATATTAAACTGTATTTGCAATGGATCACTGCAAGTGACAAGTAGTTTTCCGAAGGCTTTGTCATTGCAATGGAGTGTGCGCCTTTCGTACAGTGGTTAATATGAGTCCTTATTCATATTGTCCAAGTCTTCAAAAACATAATTCAGAAAAATGGGCAGCACTTAATAGAGCTAATCTCTTGTTCTGATTCAGCCTTCAAGATCAGCAGCCTGTAAATAAGTAAAAAAAAGGGCCTAAACGGATTTAGCGCTGTTAATCTTTCCATAGTGGGGATATCTAGCTCTTTAGTCTGCAGTCTTTGTTGACAGAAGTGGCTTCTATTGTGCCAGCTCCAGTGGCTCAGAAGCCGGTTCCTTTTGAAGGGACTGCTATCGGCCCTCTGCACGCGCGCCACCCTCGCCCTGCACCGGCAAGATAGGCTGGCCACAGCGGTGGAGGGAGAGATTGGTTTGTGTGTCACCCACAGCATATGCTGAATTCAGCTCCTGTAAGTGGTGCGGGGTGAATAGTAAGCGATGACAATGGCTTGTGCTACATGCTCTATGCCTCCTCTTGCTCTTATTTGACTTTGCCTGCTTCACTGATTTTATTATGACAGCCTGAATACTGAGGAGGGAATTAAACTGTTAAGCAGGCATCAGAGGCTGTCTAATGTTTAATGCAAGAGTCGGAGCATGTAAGAACTGATAATGAATACAAACAGGGCGACATCTTATTTGCTGTGTTTTTATTAGGATGACTTGAGAGCTTGACATCCATTGCTATCACTTTTCTCTTCTGTTTTTTCAGTTTTCGGGGGTTAAAATTTCTAGCACTGGTGACAAACGTGCCTAAATGTGATGTGAATTAAAGGCGGCTCTAGGAGATTGTAATACTTGGAAATCATCACCTATAATAATTATGTATAGATAGGAGGTAGTCATGGCTGTTAAAAGGTCACCCAGTGAGATGTAATTGCCTTTTTCATACTCCACTACATTTACTAGGACAGAAGCGCGACCCTGCTGGCAAGCGCAGTAAATATGCCATCTTGAGAATGTAATGATACATGCCAGCACTCTCTGGCTCTTGCTGACTGCCCAATTCCTGCGATGGGCTGGAAAGAAAATGGGCTGAAAATGTAAAAATAAAGTAATGACCACATGGTAAGAATGCGAAAATTAAAAATAAAATCTTCAATTAAATATCGTACCCCCCCCCCCCACCATGTCATAAAGACAGAAAGGTGCCTTATGCCATAATGACTTAAGAGGTGATTCCTAAAGGTCTTTTCTGTAGTTCTTCTTAAATAAAGAAACGGCAGCTGGAGTGGAGCGACGGCAGCCCGGCCGCAGCAGAGCCAGCCGCTCTCCGGGTTCGCAGCCGAAATTTCCAATGCCCTCGGTGACTCTTTAGAGAGCGGGAGTAAATGCCAAGTTGCCCACTTTGAAGGGACATGAATGCAGCTGGGAGACATCAGATTCCGTTCCACAGAAAGAAGCAGAAAATGTGGCGAGACTGTTTTGTCTTCCTGATTACACTGAGAGTGTATTGGGGCAGTCAGGAAAACAGACATATCCCTGGATATCCATATGCAGGCTAAGTCGCTCTTTTTTTTCTTATACGTGGCTTTGTTCCCAAGTACAGCAGAGGTGAGGGGTGGGGCGGGGGTGGGACCGGCAGGGCAGCACGGGAGAGAAGTGGCTTCCAAGAGCTTCCCTGGAAAACCTGCCATGCACCCAGCAAGGGAAAGGCTGGGGCTGTGGAGCAGCACATTGAGAAGACAAGAAAAGTCTGTTATTAAACATTCCCAGTAAATCACCGTTTGCACTGCAAACGCGTCCAATGCATGGTGGAAGGAGAAGCAGAGTCAGGAATTCTGTAGCGTGGAATGAGGGTAGCATTGACTTCGCAATCACGCCCTGCACTTCTATAGAACTGGATCAAGCAAAGTCTTCGTGGCGTGTGGACCCCAAGCTGAGTGAGATCATAGGAGCCCTCCTCTGTGTAGACACCAGAATATTTTCAAACTTACTATATCATTGTAGTTATCATGGAAATGGGTTTTAAATTACCGCCTTTTAACGGTGAACCCAGCTAACAGGAAACTTAGAAATCCAGCTGCCTAAGTCAACTGCTAAATTTTTAAAAAGTGAAATACAATATGTAATACGGTTCCCCCCGCACCCCAGCATCTTAAACATCCCTCTCCTTTAAAAATCTCCGGAGTGCTAGGCTATACTAGTTATTACCAATTGAATTTTCAATAGCCAACTTTCCAAGCCCTAACTTTGACAAATTTTATTTCACATTTGTCAAAGGAAATAAAGCTGACAGCATTACAGGGACTGTGTACTAAAAGTAGTATCTCAATTCCAGCAGTCTGTCCAACCTTTTCTTCCCTAGGGGAGCATTAAATCTGGACCCAATTCACAGCTTTGTTTGAACACTATATTTTGCCTTTTCTTTGCACCTTTGATATTTATTTCAGTGTTAAATCTATTCTTCCCTTCATCTATTACCCTGTTTTATTTCTGTTTTTGAGAACCTATATTTTTGCTAATAAATATTCACTGCACCATTTCATCCTGTACTTAATATGCCCAGTGCATGTTTTCTGTGCTAACTTCGCAACAGATTGAGTGGACATTCCACCGTTGCAGCATAGTCATAAAATTCAGGAACTTATAAAACCTACCTTTCCTCTTCCACCATCGCTTTGCTACAGTATATTTTCCGCCCTCTCCTCCCCGCTACTGGCTGTGGCCGCCCTGAGCAGAGCCACAGCTCCCCCCCGTGGCCTCCTGGGGGGATGGCTTCCCGGCCACACCGGAGACTCCCACCTCAGCCTCCTTCCTGAGTTTCCCATTCTGTCCTGGCTACTGCATTTCCGTCTGACCACATTTCAAACCCGGTTTGCAGGCCCCACTTCAAGTGCTGGGAGGTAGGTACAAAAGAAAGCAGCTGGGAAAAAATAATGTCTTCCAAACATAAGCCGACATATGTGTTGGCACTCATGTAGACAATTGGTGATATAGGGCTTGCACTCCCTTTTTTTCTGTCACCCTGCATCTCACACGCACACACAATACCTGTGTTTCTTGAGGGTAGAGATACGGGAGCCGGCACGGAGCTCAGTGCCGTGCAAACCCAGATTCGTAGGTGTGCTCTAGGGTCACCTTTAGGTTGCTTCAGGAAAATCCCCATGCAAGGTTCTTGCCAGATTTGGGGAAATGCTTAGTTTAATGGAAACACTGTTCACTTGGAGTAAGGTAGAATTATAGCCAACTTAAAACAAAAAAAAGCTTAACATATGACAGCGACTCAGCTGGAACCCTGGAACACAGACTGCACGCATCTCTGATCTTCCGCATCACATTAAGTAACAAAGACCAGAGGACTTCAGATATGTACTAGATAGACTGTGTTTGATCACAGTAAAATGCTTCGCCCCATTCCGGACTATGGATTGCCTCATTGATTTTTCTTCTCCCCTCCTTCCTGAAAGAAGGGACTCTTTTAAGTATGTCTGATTCTTTTAATTAGATCATTACTGCTACTGTAATGTTTACTCCAGTATAATCTCTTATGAATAGCATGGGGCTTTTTAACAGTAGATGTTACGCTGCCCCTGGTATCATTTGGGAAAATACACGCAAATAGTTAAGTCTGAATAATAAATATGGCTGCTTTCATACACGCTCGCGTGCGCACACACATGCACATACACAAATTCTTTGAAATCACTTTTGAAAAATACCAGCGTTTCTTGCGACTTAGGAAATGAGCTGCAGTCAGAGCGGGCACATCCGCCGTATTATGCATGTAAATGCATGCCGTCCATGGAGAAACTGGGTGTCGAGTGTCTGTCTGCGTTCGCAAACACAAGAAAGTTTCCACTGCAGTCATCTGAAAGATTTGAAAAGAACGACTTGAATCTGACCCCGATCTAGCTAGCAGGATCACCTAGAATTCTGTTTCTCTTGCCAAGGGTCTTACTTTCTTTTCCTTCCTTTTTTCTTTTCTTCCTTTTCCTGCTACCATGAGTCTATCTATCCATTCTCCCTTCTTGTGTTTTTCATTATGCGTTCTTAACCTCAGTTTGATGATCTGGACCATCTACGGGTTTGGCCGTGGTCAACTGGCTGCCCAGCGACGTAGCTGGGGCGCTTTGTGGATGTGCAGAGAGCACATCGGGAACTGTTCCCGCAGGCTGGGTCTCCCTGCATGTAAGTGCAACTTAAGGCTGTGGACCTGTGCGTGGGAGCAGCTGCACATATAAAAAAAAATCGTGGTCACTGATTTCAAAAGAATAACCATTAAAGAAAGTAAATATATTAAATGATAATTTCCAAAGACAATAATTAGTATAATAGATCTCTTCAAATATCAATGTTTATGATGTGAGTAATGGTGAAAAGCACCGTTTATTTGTTTCTAATGAAAGACAGAATAATTTTATTCAGGAAACTTAAGCACTTAGGTTCAGGCAACTGGGCAGGTCTGAAAGAGACCGTTCTTAGTGTGTGTAATGTAACTTCTATGGCACTGCCTCTTAAAGTATGTTAAATAATAAATAACTTATTAAAACATGTTCAATGTAATAATGCCCTTTTTCATGAATTGTTGTAAAAGAGAGATTAGAAAAGTAGAGGAAGCAGTCTTCAGGGGAAAATAACGGGAATTTCTAGCAGTAGAGTTGTGTAATGGTTCTATATTTTTAAAATGTGCCTGTACTCCATTCATAGTCATTTAAGTGCTTAAATAAGCACAATAAATGTAAATAATTTACTGCTTTGCAAACAGAAAATTGGGCAGAAAAGTAATTTTGAATAGCAAGTTGGCTTGCAATCTTCGATGATTTGGGACCCTGTAAAATGCAACTGACACGGCTGTTCATTAAACCGCTGCTATTGAGCCTTCTTTACATTCATTAGCGATTAATTCAGACAGATATTTAACTTAATAAGGTAAGCAAATAAACAAAAAATCACTTTCGGCGCCTTAAGGTTTTTAGACCTCTAATTGCTTTTGTGCCCTAATTATCAAGATTAACACCTTATACTGTTCTCACTCCGTTTCACTGTGCAAAAAGAAAAAAAAAAAAAAGAATGCCACCAGAGCATTTTGACATCTTTTAAGTAGAAAGTGGCAAAGGGTTAAGGATTTTCCCTTCTAAGACAAAATGACCACCCACCACAACCAGAGACTCTGGCGAAGTTGTGCGTGGATTTTTAAAAACATTAGCTGAACAGAGAGCCACACACGTCTGTGCTGAGAGAATAGAGCTTGCATGGAATTCTAAGCCAAGAGACGCTTCTGTCTTGCAGATAAATCAGACTTCCAGAAGGAGTGGTGGACTGCGTTTCGACTCTGCTCATCACGTCTCCGGCTATATTTTTGTTGCAGCATTAATCAAAGATTTGCTGTGTGGCTGTTATATTTAAAAGTTTACATTAACTTAAGGTCATGTGTAGTTGTCAGCACTTTGTAATTAGCGACAAACTACTTACAGGTCCTTGAATATTTACTGTAATAATATTATTCATAATAGAGTCATTCAGTATTCATGTGGATATAATATGTAATTCCATTGTAATTTAGCATTAATTAATGTCCACTTATTGCAGCATATTATAGTATATGAAACAATTTCTGATAAGAAACACCAGTGTAATTTAAGGATGAATCTGACATAATTTGAATAATGATATACATTGCTTCATGTCTGGATGCTTCTGTCCCCACCCCCATCTCCCTGCATGCGTGTGAGCCCGGAGGACCCTTGGAAATACCACATACACACGCATGCACTCCCCCACACACCCCTTGTGTGTGGAGCTGCGTAGGTATTTGTAAAGACACTCTGGTGTGTCTGGAATCCCTTTCTAGATCTTACTTAGGTCCGAATGTTGAAGTTTGCTACCATCAGAGCTTTCTGTTGCCACCGCAACACCTGCGCAAATTGCTGATTCAGTAGCTCTCCTAAAAAAGACCATCCTAAGACAGCTGCCCTTTCATATAGAGGCAACTATTCTTAAGTGACCATTACAACAGGACTTAAAAACTAAAAGCAAATGTCCGTGTATCTATTTATCCATCCGTCTCTCCTTCCTTTCTTTATCAATTAATGGATCAATTGATAGAGATATTTTTATATATCTTTTTGCCTACTGACCTATTGAGAAACAAAGTTAAAACTGACCATTCTGAACAGGAGCATCTAGGAAGCTAAGTGATGAGAGGTGCTAGGTTAGAATCGGCTGGCCGCTTTGAGACACTGGCTGTCTGCAGTGCTCCTGAAATAACTCTCCAGCCTTCAGGTTGCTAATTGCTGTTTGCTGGTCTTATAAGAAGTCCTGAAGCTCCAGCACCATTCTCACTTGAACTTGATAGCATATTTCACTCATTCTTGTAGCATTAGGGGATTTAAAACCTCCTTTTCCTTTAATTCTTTTCTTTCTTTAATGGGTGACTGGATAAATTCAGTGGTGGATTTTTGTGACATTAAAACAGCAGATAAGTCTATGATGCACTCTCGCTGTGTGGTTTAAAAATCCCTCACCATATGTTTCCTCACTGGAATGCCTCGTCTTGCAAAATTACAGAAACCGAAGCTTAAAAACACAATTAGGTAGTTTAAAATGAAGTATTAAAGAAATACCACATATATTCAGATGGCTGCAATGTTTTCTTCCCCTCTCCTTTTTTTGGTTTTGTTTTGTTCTTGGAGTATTCAAAAAGCCTCTACTGTGTTTGATTTTTACACTAATCATGCCCCATATTTTTTGGATTATGTTATATAGGCTGTGGTTAAATTATAAATGAAGGAGTGAACTACAGACTTCTTGTCATAACAGCAGATTTTATGTTGTTACAGAAAATGCAAAAAAAAAAAAAAAAAAAAAAAGGTTTTGCGATGAAGGGTCCCCTCGCTTATTTTGTGCTGCTTAACGTATATAGGCAGACAAGCAAAGCAATTTGTAGAAATGTTTTTCACAGTATTTTGAAAATTACAGCACCCTCTCCATCCTCTGAGGGGAAAATGAAGGAAAACTAAATACACAATGCATAAATATAGCTGTATCCTAAGAGCTTATGAAACACGCGCGTGCGCACACACACACACACACACACACACACGAGAGCCTAATTCAAGTTCAATTTCTTACCAAGTTATAAGCCCAATCAACTACTTCATGTGGTGGTGACCTAAAAACCATCTTTCATAATTCTAAGTTCTGTCTTCTTCAGTTGTTCAGAAAGAAGGAAAAGGCAACAAAAAGCCGGCATGACCAGAGAATTTACAAAGGAATCAAATAGCAGCTTGTAATTTCTATACATTTTTTTTTGTTTTTCCATTACACTTATTTCAAATTCACTGTACATGAAAACCTAGTAAAGTATTTTATAGACATCTTGCATCGCAGTGCTCAAAGCACTTGACTGAACGGCCACTTTATGTCCTGATCCTAGAGGGCTGGAGTTTTAAGATATAATTTATACTCAGCAAATTGATGAAATATTTAGTTTACAGGCTGTGGCGTTTTAGGTCCATTGTAACCGCATCACTTAAAAGACCTTGCTATGGAGCAGGCACGAAGAATAATTTTCTGCATGAAATCTACTGCCATGCTTAACCATTTTGTTAATTTGTCCCCGAACTTTTGCCAACTGGAACGGGGGTAAGAGGTCAGGGAAGCCTGAGGAACCAGAAAGGATTCTCTCTTTGTATGAAGTGATTCACTGGGCGCTTTTCTAATGGAAGTCGCGATGTCGCAGAATCTACTGGCGTCGTTCACATGCTTTCCATAAAGAGCAGATCCTATGCAAAAAATCACTAGCTTAGCTTCTGCCCTTCATTTGGAGATAAGTGGATTCTTGAATGTCTGAAAGAATATTTGATGTGGAACTTAAAACAATGCTGGAAAAATATCTTTGCCTTAATTGCCTTTCATTCTGCAGTGATGTGAGCCACTTTGCCAAGGAAGCGGGTACTGTGGGAACACAACCAGTGGCCCCCTTTGTGCCGAGTGCCGGTGGGCTCGGCTGTTTTGCTCCCCTTTAACCAGCCTTAAGGACTCTGGTTTGTTTTCTTCTTCTTTTTTTTTAATTTTTAATTTTTTATTTTTTTGGCTTTATTGGATGAACTGCCTTCCTGAGATAACAAATCTTCTTTTGCAGCACTTGGCGGAGTTTGGTTAGGGGCTACCTCTGAGCAACGTGAACTTGGCCTTGCTGGTGTCTTACACTAATACCTTCGCTCCTGTTAGGAATCAGGGTACTTGGGAAACAGCCTGGAGCCATACAGCTGATTATTTCACCAAATTTGCATCTTTTCAACAGTAAGGGGGATGACTTCCACAAATGCTCCCAGGCTCCACATAGATGTTAAGTGGTTGTTTCTAGTTCCTTCCCTCTCCCTCTCTGAAGACTCACTTCCCATCCCACCCACTCCCAGCCCTGTGCTGAGCCTGCTGGTGCCGTAGGCTTGCTCAGGCCTGGCAGCCTGTCCTCAACAGCCTGTCCCCGAGGCCAGCAGCAGGCGCATTGGGCTGGATGTCCGAGCGGGGTGCTTCTGGGAAGCCCAGGCACTGAGGCTGAGCTGCTTCCCCTGGCCCTAAACCTCCGTGGCAGGAAGGTGAGCCATCCAAGTATTGAGCACTACGTCGCTGCACACACTGGCCTGCGGGTATTCCCACCATGGGATGTCTGCCTCCTGCAGCAAGTAGATCCGGCAGAGAAGTAGGGCTTGAAGAGGGAGGGGGCGGGGGTTGGAGGCTGGCGCAGGCCTGGGGCTGGCAGTCTCTGGAGGGCCCTAGTGGGGGAGGGAGCCCAGCCCTCAGAGAGGGGTCCCACCCAGGAGATTTCCCCAAGGGTCAGGCGTCTGCTCCTGACTTGTAGCTGGAACAAAGAGGGTGGGCTGTTAAAGAATAAATATTTTTTTACTGTGGTGTTGATTAAAGATAGGATAAAGTTTTGTGTTCTGAAAATGTACCTGATGTTTGCACTCATGTTCTGATGGCCTTTTGCCAGCCCCTGGCTGGTCAGTCTGGCCATGTGGCTCAGCCATGACTGCATGGCCATCCAGTGGGTCCTGGCGACCCCTGGGTGGGCTTTGCAGGAGAGAGTGTCCTGGCTGGCCAGCTCTACTTTCTAGGACCTGGCAGACTAGAAAAATGAAGTGTCCACAAGTAGCCCCTGGCCTCTCCAAGGTCCCCGTGCCTCTTCCTCACCCGAGGAAGCCTTCCCTGGCAGATCCGAGCAGAGCCAAGGACAGCCCTGCCTCCGCTCCTCCAGGTCCTTCCAGCTTCTCTAGAAGCTTGCACGGCCAGGGGCCCGCTGTGGCATCTGGTGGCTTTGCAAGGTGAGATGATGGTTGGAACTACCTGGGCTTCTCCAGCAGACGGTTTCTGGCTCTAGGATGACCATCACTGGAGCCTTGTAAGTAACCCCTGGACCTGGCCTTTGTTCTGCCAGCCGGGGGACTCTTTCTGAGAGCATCGTTCATAGGAGGCTCACATTTAGGTGTGCAGATGTGAACTTGCACGTCCCCTTCGCGCTGTGGAAAGCTACAGGAAGTTCTTCACAAGCCTTGCCTGGAAAAGTGCAGTGTTTATTGACCTAAACCATTGCACTTGAGTTTTTGTTTTCCCTTTAAAATAATACCTCAGTGGGTAAATCCCTCAGCTCTGTAATGGTTTAAAAGCCATGGTATTCTTAGTTTTTCTGGATAGCTGATTTATAACAAAATCCATTTTCTCAAAATATAACTTTTTCTGTTTTTAGTACATGCAAGTATCTATACTTTAATTTTTAAATCTGCTAAATAAAATTGGAATTATTTCCCTTTTCCTTGTCCATTGAAGTCCAAACCAAACATAGCAGCCAACCTACTCAAAAGAATTTACAAACAGAAAAACTGAATCAAACTTTTCCAAATTTCATGTTTGTTTTGTCATGATAGAACTAACAGGCTTAACTGTATCTTTCATTATAGAAAAACCCTGAAATGAAGGAAGGAGTCTAATCCTTTTTTTTCTGGAAGGCACTTCTTGACTTCTGTACTTTATCTCATCATCATGACAAGGAGAAGAATGAGATGAAAGATTATAATGAGACCCATTTCCTTGTTGAAACAACAGAGGGATAAAGTGAGGAGGAACCGGGAAGACGGAAGAGTCTCACGGAGCTGGTGAGGCCAGAATGAGGAGCGTGGGAGGAGTGTCTCCCAGGTCCAAAGGCAAGGATTCTGCACCCCAAAAAAACACAGCGTGATCACCACAGCAGCCATGGCTCTGTGGGATTCTTACATTTTCCTGATCTTGCCATATAGTTTGTTAGTCATTACAAAGTTATTTCTTTCCTTAGCTGTGAATGGGAAGTGATTGCGGATGATCTTCAACTTTCATCAGGAACGGTAAGAAAACAAAAAACAAAAGCAAAGCCCCTGGCTGCCCGGCAGGCCCTCCCTGGGGCCTCTGCTGCCTGCTTCCCACCTGCCTTTGGTGGAGTCCACAACCATCGCCTTCGATCACCTTGAACGAAATATTATGCACAAAATTTAATAGCTTCAGGACAGGTCCTTTCATATACGCCTTGAAATTCTTCTTTCATTTTCTGCATCAGTATATTTCCTTAAAAGCCATGTCGGCAGAAACAAACTGAAATATGAAAACACACACACACACACACACACACACACACACACACACACCTATTTTGCTGTTAACAACAAGGTAAGATTATCAGTTTCTTTTCTATTTAGAAAATGGATTTTATTTAACATATAAATATTTAGAATGCCCTTGGTTTAGTTCATTTAAGGAACAGCTATATATACTTATTTTATTTGTCTTTTATTTTAATCTTTGTTTTGTTTCCTTCTTTATGCGTCTGTGAAGTGTATGTGACTATATTACACAGTATTACTGTGTAGCATAATATTACTCTATTATTTACAATGTAGGCGCGTATCACTGCAATTCTGCTGCTTTGTCAGTGTGCTCAGCTGTACTAGGACAAAAATCTCATTGTACCAAAAAGCTTACACTGTTCCAAGAAGATCTGCTGGAAATTTTATTTTTTCAGATGTGCCCCCCCCAATTCTCATCCCAGTTGTAGTTTTTGGCTTACACCTCCCCACCGCCATTTAACTTCTCTGGGAACCCCATTACTTTTGTCCACACTCACACTGTGACCTGTGCTACTCAGAAATTTTTGAGATGAAGTCATTGCTGGTTTGAGTTACTGGAGAGACATTAATTCGTCCAGCTGGGCTGGCTCAAGGCGGTCCCAGTGTTAGGCCCTGACAGCCACCCTCAGTGAGAAATCCGAGCAGGGACAGGCAGGAAGGCGCATGCAGAAAGATACATACTAAAGGAGTGAATGTTGCAGAAACAGTGGATGCAAATGCAGCCAGGAGGAATGAGATAAACTCATCAGCCCTGCAAGATCTTTGTGAAAAACATCTTTCTTTTAGCCTAGGGTTTTAATGAGAAATCCTGGGAGATGATCATTTACCATAATACCAAATGGACAACATACATGTGTTAGTATATATGTATGTTTTAAGGGCTTGTCACTTTAGGACGAGTAAGGCATTCTCTTTGATAAAAGAGTGGCCTGGGTATATATTGTTTCATTGTTGGACTATGGGAATCCACACACCCTCAAATTTGTGGAGCACTTTATACTTTTCAAAGCAGTTTCTGTGCATGAATTCCCAAGAGGCTGCAGGCCTGTACCCTAGAGGGGGGAGGGGGCGGGGAGGAGGAGGAGGTGTGACCCCTCCCCGCCCCCAGGTTATAACAAGCCTGTGACCCACACACTTTACAACATAACATCCAGATGTCCAAAAACATTTTTTGTTAACTCTATGAAATTTGATAGAATGTGAAATGTGATAGTACATGAACTCACTGACATAAATTGTAAAACCGAGCCCCAAGTTCTATATGTAAAAATGCAGCCGTTTTTCCTGAAGGCTGAAACCCCCAACAAAGACCTGAGGGGTCTGGCGTGGGGGTCTGCCACCACCACCTCCTGGCTCTCCTCTCCTTTTCTCAAAGCATTCCCCTACCCAGGAGGCGCCTTTCTCTCCAAACTTCATCTTACTCACTATGAAAATTGAGGTTCCTGTGACTTTTTCACGGGCACGGAATTCATAAACGATAGAATGCTCTCGCAAACTCATGTCTTCTGTTGTTTAAAGCAAGTGCTTTTTCTGCTACATGACAGGAGGAAGAGTCCCTGTGGCCCACACCTGGCCAGACTCACCTGAACTCACCCTCCACTGCTCAGGTGGGAAGGCAGGGAGAGGTCGGAGGTGGAAGACTATTTGTTGCACTCTCTCTGTACCCACAGGCTGGGAGCTGCTGGCAGGCAGGTCTAAGCTTGGTAACCTCTGTTTGTCTCATACTGGAGGCTGAGTTCATTTTTGCTGAAAAGCTACAGCTGTTCATACTCTCTAAAGTTTACAAATCCAGAGGAATGCAGAAGTTTGGGTGATAGTACAAATGAGACTCTCTCCTGGGAGACCGTAGGGACGCGTATGCTCCTGAGAGGCGGCGGGGTTTGGGGACAAGGAAGCCCAAGCTTCACGGTCTCTCGCGCTGGTATTTGATGACAGGGCCAAAGCACAGGGCCCAGGTGCAGCCAGCGGGAGCTTGCTCCTTTTCCTCACCAGACTGGGCAAAGTTGCAGAGGCCAGCCAGGCTTGCACCAAAGTGACGGCTGTGAACACGGAGGCCTGGCTCCACCTTGTATCTCGGTTTTCTCACCAGGGGCGGGGAGAGTTAAATGAAGGCAGCCCTTTCCAGTCCAACAGCCCCTGATGTTCGTCCTGTTCATGAAAGAAAACGGAGAGTGTTTGCTGGCAGCTTAGCAACATCACTGTCGACAGGGCTCTTCCTGCCCGGCTACATTAAAAATGGCTTCCAAAATAACATTACAAGACTAGTACATGGCCATGACAGAACTTTTTAAAAATGTAAAAAATTATCAGAAACATTATAATCGGCCATAAACTCACCTCCTTTTGTTAATATTTTGGTAAATGAGCCTTTTTTTTTAACCTGGACGTTGAATTATTGATACTATTCTGTACATAGGCTTTTGTGTGCCTTTTCACCTAATGTCCAGTCACAGCTCTTCCCTATTTTGTGTAAAAACATCCTTTGTAAATGGCAAGTACTATGGCAAATGCACTGAACATAATTTATTAAGCTGATTGGATATTTTGGTGGTTTTGCTCTTAGATACACCCCTGGAGGGAGCCTCTCTGTGTGAGCAGCGTACTTCATATTTATGACTGTTTCTTTGGGGTAGATTTCAAAAAAGTAGAATTTCTGTTGAGGAAGTTTGGAAGCATTGCTTTCCAAAAGAATCTGCCTGATTCATTACCCCACCCACCGCCCCCACCCAAGCCTGGGAAAAGGCGAGCCTCACGTTCAGTGTGGAGAATTTCTTTTACTTTTCTTCTTACCTATCAAAAATAGCAGATACTTGAAAATTACATTTGTTGTTGAACTTATGACCTTTTTGTTAGTTGTGGCATCAGACTGTTTTTTTTTAAACGTATGTGAATCATTTGTTTTTCTTTCAGGATTTGGTATACATGCTTGTATTTCAGAATGTATCACTTGCTAAGTTATTCTAATGGTCAGCTGTTATTATCAAATAGAGTTGCAAAAGTTCCCACGTGAGAGCCCCACAGAAGTTAAGAATTTGGCAAACGTTTTCTCTTTTCTTCCTGCTTTTTGTTTCCACTAAATTGCTTCCATCTCTTCTGCTTATGAAAAAGGCATTAAGAATGCACCATCATCCTTACGATTACAAGCAGAATAAAGAGAAACAATATTCAGTCTCACCAAATATTCCCATTTTTCCATACTAGGCTAGTGTAATTATTGCCATTTATATGTTAACATCATTAACCACTTCACTGCTAAACCCCTTTGAGATAATATTCTAAACTTCATTATTTTAGCTACCATGTTCTTTGTCACTTAAAAATGGTGTAACACAGAAACACACCTTAAATTCTGAGCTGTGAAGATGGTCACTTGAAGAATTAAGACACTTCTGAGAATGCTTAAAAATAAAGGTGAAAGTGTTATTTGTTATGTTGCCAGTTAAAAGTGTTCGTCTTCTATAATGGGATTTGTGGAACTTGTTGCTTTTCTATAAAATGTTGTAATGGTGACAGACTCTGAACATCTGATCTTGGCCATAAGTATGTTTGGTGCCCATGTCATCATCCTAGAATATAAAACAGAATATATTTTTGCAGCAGAACTAAGAAGTTTGAAAAAAAGTTTCTTCCCACTGCTGCCCAGACCTTCCTATTCTCAGCAGTGAGTAAATATTGGTTTCAAACTGGATTTTTCAGCTCATGAACGAGACCTACCTAAGTTACCATTACTGTTCACTGTCAGATTCACTATTTTTCTATGATGAAGATATTTAACTAAGGAATGAAGATGTAACCATGTCTAAATTGAGAACATAAATAACCTTTCATCTATAGCAGTCACAGCGTTTCAGAAGACATTTCAGATGAACTTGACTCTGCTTCAGTCCGCGGTGGAAAGCTGTTTAAAGATTCGGAACTCAAGGTTTTGTGGTCAAGAATCATTTTCATTGTCACTCTTTGTTGATATCTTGTGTCCTTTCCAGACCAAGAGATTAAGAATAATGGGAAGAGCCAGGAGAGCCGGTGATAAATGCCAATTAACTTCATATATATACAGATTCCAAACGTGAAATTCTCAGAGATAGTGGCTCACATAGTTCATACGTCTTATTGGATCCCAGAATATCCAAATTGGCATCTATAAAGGAAAAATTTCTGTTTTTTATATTATCCCATCCTAAGCAACATTCAATTATTGTCATTTTAATTTGGAGTTTTGGACATAAGTCTGTGAGGTGTTTCATATAGACGAAGTTTGCAGCTGAATAATAAATAAATGAGTTGCCAATAACTTTGAAACGATGCAACGACACCTCTTTTCTATTGTCAATCATCTTTAGTGCAAACTTCTGTGGTTCAAATCTCATAATGAGTGCATTCTGACTGTGTGGAGAGCTTGAAGTTCTTGTAGTGAAACCTTAAATGAGAAGATGCCCATTTCAGGTGTTATGTTGAAGGGTTCTGAGCTTAGCAAACTTGTAGTTGTCATATGGCACTCACAAGCACACACACATGCACACTTATACCTCACACACATATACCGCAACCAAAGGAAGGAAGAAAAGCAATTGCAAAGCAACCTGTGAAATGCATGATGACCAAAACAATAATGCTTTAAAAATTTCTTATTTTATACATATTTATATGTAAGTTTCAAAGAAAATTTTCTCCACATTGGCTTTGTGGTCCTTAATGAAATTGTGGCCTTGATTAATTACGGTGTCAATTTGAAGCCTTTACAATTACATTTTAATATATAGGTTACAACTGAAGGCTCACCCCTTTCCCACTCACCACCCCCAAGTTCTTTTCTTATGGATTTAAGAAAAGCATTATTTTCCAATATTCCTCCAGCTATCTTTCTTTCTTGTTATGAGTCTCTAGTTCTTTTTTGATTATGGAACTGCAAATTATTTACTCTGATTTTAAATTAAAGAAGCAGACAAGTAATCTGGTGTAAAAAGCACAGTTCCAACTTCAGGAAAAAAAATGAGTATGTGTTTAATTTCTCTTTAGGCACAGTGCTGCACAGCCCCTGTGTAATGGAAGGGTTGAGATAGAGTGGCCCCTCCACCTTGCCGCTGTGTAATGCAATTTAGCTTCATTAAATTACTGGAGGGCCAGTTACTTAAGCAGAATATTGATTTTCAGTCTGGCCCGTGTTTAACATAATTCTGCGTAGGCAACAGCTAATTCTGCATTTGAATCTAACACCCTAATAGAATTACAAGATGCCGCTTGACCACAGGCGACCACTCAGCTGTCTCGGGCTACATCTCTTAGCAGCCTCTCTTATACCCAGGGGCTGACTTTACCTTAACCCCTCGCTGAGATGTGGGTCTCTTTGCTTCCAGGATACCCCAATGCAGCTGCTATATTTTTGCCAAGAAAATGGTTTGGGAGACTAGAAAGTATCTTCGGCGGCATCATTTTTAGAGCAGCTTCCACCTCTTGACCTTAATAGATACTTATAGATAAGACCTAGATGTGACTAGCTTTTTTCCTGCTTACAAAATATAAAAATGAGGTATGTCTTCAAGTTCAATCTTGCTTCAAACGGGCTTTAGATGTCCATATTTCGGATGACAAATTTTAGGTGAAAGTCAAACATTGCTTAGCCACATAAGATATTTATTGGTCATGATGAACAGATACATTTCTTAGTGTAAAAATTTAAGTACATATTTTATTTTTGGTGGATCACAGTTTCAAAACTGAATTTTTTTAAAATAAAGAAGCAAAAATACACAGGATTTTCAGTTGTCCTTTCAGCCTAGGAGACGCTTACTAGTTAGAAGGACTTCCATCAAATGCAGGCTGCGTTACCTATACCGGAGGTAAGTGATCGCACAGGACAAGAATAAAAGAGAGAGACCAAGGGGCCAGGATCATCCGACAGGCAGCCTCAGCAGAAGCTGGCTGTCCCTGCTCTCATTTCAAGAAAGGGACAATCCCTGGGTCAGAGGATGCACCAGGACCCCCAACATCACCCTTTAAGTACACGCCTTGGCCATAAAGAGGACTGGCACACCCACGTCTGACTTTGGTAGGCTTCTCTCCAATCAAATCTCTACCTACCATATAGGACTTGTGGCAGTACTGGCAAGAGAGCTAAACAGAGTCTTCAGGTGACTGTGGGGAGTGAGGGCCAGGTCACCTGAGTCCCCAGAGGCTACAGGGGACCTGGGCTTTGGCCATGCCTGAACAGCAGGGATGAGAGGCAGAGGCCCCAGGAGAGATGCCTATTGCTGCAGAACAGTTATGTCCAAACAACATCATCTGCATCTGATCAGAGGTCACCATAACTTCTGTCTCCCAGTTTTGTTAAGCTCAACCCGACCTGGAGTTTTTCCACGAGTATCTGTGGCTATATACATCTTCCCTGTCTTCGCATGAAAATATACAAAATGACAAATCATGGGGCTGAAAATTTCAGGTGTCCACCTGGTTCTTTACCGCATATGGAGAGACTTATGTGCTCAGTGGAGTAATGCAAGTCAGATGGCCCCAGATAGCGGACCTTGGGTGGTTTTTTTACAGCCCTATGATTCTAGGTGAGCCCTGAAGCCCATGACCCCACCTTACTTCCCATAGGCTGGCCAATCAGATTATCCCTCCTCTTGGGCTGGCCAGTCAGATCTTCCTGGCTGGCCAATCAGACAACCTCACTCATGGATGCCGGTACTGGTTTGCCTGGCTGGGTTCTACACTCCCCTGGGTCGGGGAGACCTAGTCTGAGGTTGGCCGGAAGGCCGCAGCAGGACAGAAGGCCACAGCAGGACAGGTCTCTTCCATTTCTTTGGGACCTAACCTGGGACCATATAGCTTGCAGCAACTGCAACCCACCTGAGGGTGAACCTAACCTGAGAAAAACTGTTTCTAAGATATGCACAAAGAGAGAGAGCCAATCTTTCTCAGATTTCTCCGGTATGGGCCGTAATAAATCTACCTCTTTGCTTGAATTAAAGTTGTGTTTTCATACTTAAAATTAACTAATCCCTGGCGGAAATGCCTCCCATCTGCCTCTCAGGATGAATTAAGTTTTTCACATGAAATTTTATTCTTTCTCCCTGGATCCATATCAGGTCAGCCTTGCACTTCAGGCTAAAGCATCAGACGGAAGCTTGAAAGAGAAAGCAATGATAAAACAAACACACACACAAATGCACACACAAACACACACACAAGCACACTACCAAACACAAGCAGACATACATGCAAACACACATGTAAACACGCAAACACACACACAAGCACACTACCACACAAGCAGACACACATGCAAACACTCAAACACACACACATATACACACAAGCACATTACAAAACACAAGCAAACACCAGCAGACACACAAACACACAAACATACATGGAAGCACACTACAAAACACATAAGCAGACACACTCACAAACACATGCAAATGTGCAAATGCACACACATACACAAGCACACTACAAACCACACAAGCAAACACAGACAGACACACAGGCAAACACACAGGCAAGCACACTACAAAACACATAAGCAGACACACACAGCACACTACAAAACACATAGCAGATACACAAGCAGACACACATACACTCAAACATACATGTAAACACACAACAAAACCGGCAAACACACACAAACATATACATGCAAGGACACTACAAAACACACACAAACACACAGACAAACTGAAACTAAATACTGAGGGCAACAATTAACAAATGCCTTCAAGTTTATGTCTATGGAAAGCATCCCTTTGTAATTAAGGATGTTTGTGTAGAGCTTGTTGACTGAATTTATTTTCTAACTTTATTCCTAAAACAACTTTTGCTATGTGTTCAATTCCTATTCTTATTATACAGATGATAGGATTGCAGTGCAAAGAGAGTGACACAGCTCATCAGAGCAGAGCCAAGATTTGAACTGGAGTTCCCTGTTCGTGAAATAAATGCTCTTTTCTTTCTTTCTTTCTTTCTTTCTTTCTTTCTTTCTTTCTTTCTTTCTTTCTTTCTTTCTTTCTTTCTTTCTTTTATTATTATACTTTAAGTTAAGGGTACATGTGCACAACGTGCAGGTTTGATAGGTAGGTATATATGTGCCATGTTGGTTTGCTGCACCCATCAGCTCATCATTTACATTAAGTATTTCTCCTAATGCTATCCCTCCCCCAGCCCCCACCCCCCCGACAGGTGTGACGTTCCCCACCCTGTGTCCAAGTGATCTCATTGCTCAGTTCCCACCTATGAGTGAGAACATGCAGTGTTTGGTTTTCTGTCCTTGTGATAGTTTGCTGAGAATGATGGTTTCCAGCTTCATCCATGTCCCTGCAAAGGACATTAACTCACCCTTTTTTATGGCTGCATAGTATTCCACAGTGTATATGTGCCACATTTTCTTAATCCAATCTATCACTGATGGACATTTGGGTTGGTTCCAAGTCTTTGCTATTGTGAAGAGTGCTGTAATAAACATATGTGTGCATGTGTCTTTATAGCAGCATGATTTATAATCCTTTGGGTATATACCCAGTAATGGGATGGCTGGGTCAAATGGTAATTCTAGTGCTAGATCCTTGAGGAATTGCCACACTGTCTTCCACAATGGTTGAACTAGTCTACACTCCCAGCAACAGTGTAAAAGCATTCCTATTTCTCCACATCCTCTCCAGCATCTATTCCTTCCTGACTTTTTAATGATTGCCAATCTAACTGGTGTGAGATGGTATCTCATTGTGGTTTTGATTTGCATTTCTCTGATGACCAGTGATGATGAGCATTTTTTCATGTGTCTGTTGGCTGCATAGGTGTCTTCTTTTGAGAAGTATCTGTTCATATCCTTTACACACTTTTTGATGAGCTTGTTTGTTTTTTTCTTGTATATTTGTTTGAGTTCTTTGTAGATTCTGGATATTAGCCCTTTGTCAGATGGGTAGATTGCAAAAATTTTTTCCCATTCTGTAGGTTGCCTGTTCACTCTGATGGTAGTTTCTTTTGCTGTGCAGAAGCTCCTTAGTTTAATTAGATCCCATTTGTCTACTTTGGCTTTTGTTGCCATTGCTTTTGGTGTTTGAGTCATGAAGTCTTTGTTGCTTCAAGCTTTGTCTTTCCTTACGGAGTACCATGTATTCCTGTTTTGGATGTTTTAACTGTTATCCAGATGAGCGGTAAGTTTTATCTTCTTGAAGTCATTTTTCAATCAGGATCCCAAATCCATGGACATTATATTTAATGTAACGTATCTTCTTACCAGCATTGACTCTGCTCCATTATTCATTAGAAAGCATGTTTCAGTAAGTGAAGTTGAGGAGTGAGTGGTTGGTGAGGTGGTGGAGACAGGACAGAAGACTTGAGTTTCCTTGTTTACAGGAGAAAAGAGAGAAGGCAGGAGTAGAAAGAGGGGGTGGACTGAGGAAGGAGTTTTTTAGGACCAGGAAGATGTGACCACAATGATGAGAGAGAAGTGCTAACAGTCTAGAAAGACAATTCTAAAAGACTAGGGGAAATTACAAAAATCTAGGCTGCTGCTACACTTGGGGAGACTTGCATAGAATATTTACAAGTAACTGTGAACTTGAACAATTGTAGGCAGCATACTGAGATGCAATTAACAGAAGAAAGATAAGATGAAAGGGCTTGGATTCTGTAGGCCCACCCTCAAAGATGACCAAATAGAGAAATGGCAATTAAAATAATACAGTTAGGTTACATGTATATTCATGTATGTGTGTGTGTGTGTGTGTGTATACAAACATGTATACAAGTAAGTGAATATTTACTATATCATAATATATTCTAATTTTACAAATAATACTGATTATGATAAATACTTAATCCTCACTTTAACTGTCTCTGTTGATCAACCAGCTGATATCTGTTCTGGGGTGACTGGCTTGGGGAGCAGGACAGTCTACTAAACTACTGTAGGTTGTAGAAGGCAATAGGGGGAGGGCTACTTGAGGGAATGGCTTTTTCCTCCAAGGGGCTGGGGCAGAGGACACAGATTGGAGGGTCCATGGCACCCTCAATGGCTGGACTCAGAAAGGAGGCCATGGTAGTTAGTTGCTTTATGGTTATCTGGGGACTTTGGCTGACTCCTAAGCCAGAAGATTCAGGCCTTTTGCATGGCCCAGCCTGGTCACCCACTATCCTTCAAGGAGCTCAGTCTCTGAACTCCTGGGACCTGCATCCAGCCAGCTGACTTCTCACTGCCACCATCATGGCCCAGGCCAAGTGGAAGGTGGGCCGCCATCAGCAGGGTTGAATCTCCCTGCAGTTCAGGTCTGCAAACCTCTTGCTTCACTGTGAGTCAGGTAAATCAGGTAAACACCTTTTGAATGTATATTTAGGCACAACCCATTTTTACCGCACTGAAGGTAGCTTTAGAAAGAGATTTGCCGCTTCATGGCTATCTTTTTAAATTGTAAGTATTTAGGCATCATGCTGGATGTTCGTAGTCCATTCTCAATTTATTTATTTGTTAAATTGATGGAAAAACCTGTATATTGACTGCATGACTCTGTCTTTCTGTGTGTTTGGAATGAACAAAAGGCCTTAGACCAGCTGTAGTTGAAAATACTGTTTTAAAAAAAAATAATCCCCTGTGGGAGATTAACTTCAAGAAAGCTTTCTCTGATATTTGGAAAATATCCTAGAGAGTTCACACTAGGAACTAGTATAAATGTTTATCTTAAATGTCACAACATTAAATATCATTGAATGATAGATGTGTAAGATTCATAGTATGTCAATATGACACTAAACATCAAAATAACATTTTTCATTTTTCTCTTTTGCTTTCTATCAAACCCATTTTAAATAGAGGAAGCCACAAAGGCCAATGTGCCTCATTTTATTCTCTTCCAGAATACTGTTTCCAAACTACCTATGGGGGCAGTGCCACTGCCAGCACAGGCCGACCCTGTTGACTACCCCCATGGTCTCTGTCTGCTGCACTGGTGTGGAGGGAGCATCTTGAACTTGTCTCCTTTGGAAGAGTCCTGCACCCTCTTCACTGGGGTCCTTCTGTTGATTCAGGGCTTTAGGGGTGTGTCTAAAGGAACCGATGTAGCTGGGGTCATGTTCCCAGATGGCCACACTTGGCTGAATGTAGACGTCATCACTTTGATTGAGGGCAACTTAGGAATGAAGTAAAGAGTAAGTAGCCACCCAGACAGGGACCTGGCAGTCTGAACACCAGCTCATGACATAAAAAGTAAAGCCTAGCCCATCACTGTGTTCACTGGGTTCCCCTTATGTGGGGCAGGGGGTGTATGTCTGGGGCCAGACAGGCCTTTCTCCCTGGGGACAGCAGGCTCTGGCCTCATGAGTTAACACTGAGGGTCATCTTAGCTGGGAGAGGATTCTTCTGTGACCCGTGCTTTGGTTCTGTACACAAGTGGCTAATCAGTCACTAAAGTCGGCCTTCCCTTCTTCCTGGTCTCACATTTCATTTCATTTCCATTTTCCTACTTCCCTTGCAGTGGAGGTGGCCAAGGCCTTTCTGGTAGAGGCTGACATGAGTGATGTGTGGCATTTCCAGGCCAAAGCCGTGCCCTCCTTCCATTGCAGAGGCTGAGGAATGATAGGGTGCACCATGCAGGAGCCCCCATCCTTCCATCCCCATGTGGAGGATCCAGCCATACCTGGCTTGGTCAGAGTGGTCATGACCATGTTGTGGGTCTGTGGGAATCCCTGGGGACAATGGTTAAAAATAAGGGGTCCCTTGGGAAGTTTGATTCACTTGGTCTGGATTGGGTGTGGCCTAGTTATTCTTTATCTCCTGGTAGTTGACTCAGTTCAGGAGCACTGCTATAAGTCATTCTTCTCTTTTAAAGGAAAATAGGAAACAAAGACCATACGGACTTTGGTGGGAGCAGAAATTATGGAGCCAGTTATTAGAAGTTCAGGTTTGGATATGCCATTAACATCAGACATAAAAGAGGATACAAACATGCTCATGTGTAGGAAGAACATTCCATGCTCATGTGTAGGAAGAATCAATATCGTGAAAATGGCCATACTGCCCAAGGTAATTTATAGATTCAATGCCATCCCCATCAAGCTACCAATGACTTTCTTCACAGAATTGGAAAGAACTACTTTAAAGTTCATATGGAACCAAAAAAAAGCCCGCATTGCCAAGTCAATCCTAAGCCAAAAGAACAAAGCTGGAGGCATCACGCTACCTGACTTCAAACTATACTACAAGGCCACAGTAACCAAAACAGCATGGTACTGGTACCAAAATAGAGGTATAGACCAATGGAACAGAACAGAGCCCTCAGAAACAATGCCACATATCTACAACTATGATCTTTGACAAACCTGACAAAAACAAGCAATGGGGAAAGGATTCCCTATTTAATAAATGGTGCTGGGAAAACTGGCTAGCCATATGTAGAAAGCTGAAACTGGATCCCTTCCTTACACCTTATACAAAAATTAATTCAAGATGGATTAAAGACTTAAATGTTAGACCTAAAACCATAAAAACCCTAGAAGAAAACCTAGGCAATACCATTCAGGACATAGGCATGGGCAAGGACTTCATGTCTAAAACACCAAAAGCAATGGCAACAAAAGCCAAAATTGACAAATGGGATCTAATTAAACTAAAGAGCTTCTGCACAGCAAAAGAAACTACTGTCAGAGTGAACAGGCAACCTATAGATTGGGAAAAAATTTTTGCAACCTACTCATCTGACAAAGGGCTAATATCCAGAATCTACAAAGAACTCAAACAAATTTACAAGAAAAAAACAAACAACTCCATCAAAAAGTGGGTGAAGGATATGAACACGCACTTCTCAAAAGAAGACATTTATGCAGCCAAAAAACACATGACAAAATGCTCATCATCACTGGCCATAAGAGAAATGCAAATCGAAACCACAATGAGATACCATCTCACACCAGTTAGAATGGCGATCATTAAAAAGTCAGGAAACAACAGGTGCTGGAGAGGATGTGGAGAAATAGGAACACTTTTACACTGTTGGTGGGACTGTAAACTAGTTCAACCATTGTGGAAGTCAGTGTAGCGATTCCTCAGGGATCTAGAACTAGAAATACCATTTTACCCAGCCATCCCATTACTGGGTATATTCCCAAAGGATTATAAATCATGCTGCTATAAAGACACATGCACACGTAAGTTTATAGCGGCATTATTCACAATAGCAAAGACTTGGAACCAACCTAAATGTCCAACAACAATAGACTGGATTAAGAAAATGTGGCACATGTACACCATGGAATACTATGCAGCCATAAAAATGATGAGTTCACGTCCTTTGTAGGGACATGGATGAAACTGGAAACCATCATTCTCAGCAAACTATCGCAAGGACAAAAAACCAAACACCGCATGTTCTCACTCATAGGTGGGAATTGAACAATGAGAACACATGGACACAGGAAGGGGAACATCACACACCGGGAATTGTTGTGGGGTGGGGGGAGGGGGGATGGATAGCATTAGGAGATATACCTAATGCTAAATGACGAGTTAATGGGTGCAGCACACCAACATGGCACATGTATACATATGTAAGAAACCTGCACATTGTGCACATGTACCCTAAAACTTAAAGTATAATAATAATAAAATTAAAAAAAAAGATTTCAGGTTAAAAAAATAAAAAAAATAAAAGAAGAATATATAAAAAAAATCAGACCTTTTAGACTGTAGTTTACTTCCTTTTATAAATTACAACATTTCTTTTATAAAAGATAATTTCTAAACTCTTTTTGGAAAAGGATATTACTAATGTGACAGGGACTAAAAAAATCAGTCTGGATAGTTTCATAATGAAAAGAACTTCTCCTGCTGCTTTCCTTCCCTCTTGTCCCTAGTTCTGCAGTCCATGGGGACTCACTCTTAATTTTTTATAAATTTTTGTTTTACTTCATAGGTATGAGCTGCATACATCTATTTTTATTTCTGGATTTTCCAATTTTAAATACTGCTTTTTAAAATAATAGCTATGGAAGAAGAAGATTTAGCTAAATTTTCTTCCACATCTACTCTTTCTTCCAAGTTGGTTAATTCACAATTTTAAGTTCCTCAACTGGTGATTTTTGAAAAATCAAATAACATGATTAACTTTTTTTTCCCATTGAAAGTCCTACTTACTGAGAACCCACTTACCCTTCCCTCAACCCTTTCATCCATTCATCCACCTCTTTTTTCTCCTACTTCTCAATCTTGTCAGCTGTCCTTTTCTATTATCAAGGTTCTAGCTTTTATATTCTTATACGCATTCAGTTAGTCTTCAGTGAATGTCGTCTAAAAGTTTGTTTCAAGGTTTCAAAACCAATGAATACCATTTACATTGCTATGATTTTGGAAATAATGTTCACTGCAAAAATAAGTGCTCTGCTGTAATTGTGTTTTCTTTTCTGAATTGGCCCTGAGCAGCTGTGTAAAATGTTCCTGACACTAAGTTAAAATTGATTCTCCTCTATTACCCTGCATAAATTCTCAACTTTTATCCAAGCTCTCGATTACATCATCTTGCCTATAGATTTTGTTTTTTCATGGAGACCTCCTAAAGCCCTCTTTCTAACCTGCACTGTTTGATCTTTAGACCTATTGTGCAGCTGTCATTTTTGAATTTTGCTTTATTCTCTCCTGGATTTAATCTAATGATTTCTAGTCTCAGGGTCTCTCCTTTCTATAGTTTGTTTCCTTATTACATAACTGAACAAATCCTTAAAAATTGACTTGGGAGCTAGGATTTCTATATCTTGCATGCCTCAAAACGTTCTTATTCTGTCTTCCTGTTGACTGATAGTTTGACTGGGTATAGAATTGAAGGTTTAAAATAGAACAAGACTTTGAAGGTGGTTGGATGAAGTGGCTCATGCCTGTAATCCCAGCACTTTGGGAGGCCAAGGAGGGTGAATCACTTGAGGCTAGGAGTTTGAGACCCAACCTGGCCAACATGGAGAAGCCTTGTCTCTTCTAAAAATACAAAAATTAGCTGGGCATGGTGGCACATGCCTGTAATCCCAGCTACTCAGAAGGCTGAGACTTGAGAACCCCTTGAGCCTGGGAGGCAGAGGTTGCAGTGAGATCACACCACTGCACTCCAGCTTTGGCAAAAGAGGGAGACTCTGTTTAAAGCAAACAAACAAACAAATAAAAAACCTTTGAAGGTATTGTTCCATTGGCTTCTAACAAGCAACATAGCTTTGAAAATCCTGTGCCTGCTCAAAGAAATCAGAGATGACACAAACAAATTGAAAAATATCTCATGCTCATGGATAGAAGAATCAATATTAGTAAAATGGCCATACTGTCCAAAGCAATTTACAGATTCAATGCTATTCCCATCAAACTACCAATGACATTCTTCACAGAATTAGAAAAAGCTATTTTAAAATTCATATGGAACCAAAAAATAGCCCAAATAGCCAAGGCAATCATAAGCAAAAAGAACAAAGCTGGAGGCATCACATTACCTGACTTTATACTATACTACAAGGCTACAGTAATCAAAACAGCCAACATGGTACTGGTACAAAAACAGACATATGTCACCATGGAATAGAATAGAGAGCCCAGAAATAATGCCACACACCTACAACCATCTGATCTTCGACAAAGCTGACAAAAACCAGCAATGGAGAAAGGACTTCCTATTCCATAACTGGTGCTGGGGTAGCTGGCGAACCATAAGCAGATTGAAACTGGACCCCTTCTTCATAACATGTACAAAAATAAACTCAAGATGAATTAAAGACATAAATGTAAAACCTAAAACTATGAAAACCCTAGAAGTTAACCTAGGAAATACCATTCCTACACATAGAAACTAGCAAAGATTTTATGTCAAAGATGCCAAAGGCAATTGCAACAAAAACAGAAAGTGACAAATGAGACCTCATTAAACTAAAGAGTTTCTGCACAGCAAAATGAACGTCAACAAAGTAAACAGACAACCTACAGAATGGGAGAAAATATTTGCAAACTATGCATCTGACAAAGATCTAATATCCAGAATCGTTAAAGAACTTAAGCAAATTTATAAGCAAAAAACAAATAATCTCATTAAACAGTGGGCAAAGGATATGAACAGACACTTCAAAAGAAGAAATTCATGTGGGTAACAAGCATATGAAAACATGCTCAACATCACTGATCTTTAGAGAAATGCAAATCAAAGCACAATGAGATACCATCTCACACCAGTCAGAATTACCATTATTAAAAAGTCAAAAAATAACAGATTCTGGTGAGGTTGCTGAGAAAAGAGAATGCTTATACACTGCTGGTGGGAGTGTAAATTAGTTCAGCCATTGTGGAAAGCAGTGTTGTGATTCCTCAAATAACTTAAAACAGAATTAACATTCGACCCAGCCATTCCATTATTGGGTATATACCCAAAGGAATATAAATAGTTCTACCATAAAGACACATTGCAGGACTATTCACAACAGCAAAGACATGGAATCAACCTAAATGTCCATTTCTGGTAGATTGGATAAAGAACATGTGGTACATATACACTATGAAATACTATGCAGCCATAAGAAGGAATGAGATAGTATCCTTTGCAGCAACATGGATGGAGCTGGAGCAAACTAACGCAGGAACAGAAAACCAAATACTGCATGTTCTCACTTATAAGGGGAAGCTAATGATGAGAACACATGGACACGTAGAGGAGAACAGCAGACATTGGGGCCTCCTTGAGGATGGAGGGTGGGAGAAGGGAAAGGATCACAAAAAATACATATTGGATAGTATACTTATTACCTGGGTGATGAAATATTCTGTACACCAAACCCCCATGACACGCAGTTTACCTATATAACAAACCTGCACACATACCCCTGAACATAAAATAAAAATAAAAAAATTTTTGATGTCAATCTGATTTTTCTCCTTTGCACGCAACCTAAATTTTTTCCCTTTTATAGCCATTGATATCTTTTCTTCATTATCATTGTTCTGATTTCATGATGATGATTTTTGTATTTGATGACAGTGGTTGTGGTTGACACATTTTCAATCTTAAGGTGCATCTTTAGTTTCGGAGAATTCCTTCCATTATTTCTTTCCTTTCCTCTGTTTTCTGTGTTCTTCTTTCCTGAAACTCTTGTTAGAAGGAAGCCTAATTTTATATTATTCTTGTATTTTTGCCTTATTTCCTTTCTCTGTCATTTTTTTCCTGGAAAAAATATTTACCTTTACATTCCAATAAATTTATTTTTTATTTATTAAATATGTTTTAAATTTTCTAGAAATGTCTTTTTTATGGTCTCTTTCCCATCCTACCCTGTCCTTGCTTTGTAGATGCAAGCTGTCTCTCTGAGAATATTGATTAATACCTATACCTGACTTTATTTTACAGGAAATATTTATGCTTTTTCTGGAATCATGGTTTCTGTTTATCTGGCCCTTCATCTTTGTATTGTACTGCAGGATTTCCTATGGTGATTGTGTTTGTTATGCTGAATGACAGAATGATCTTTCTGGCAGTTCTGGGTTGTCTAATCATATTTCAGGACAGGATGCAGCAAGGCTGACCAGGAGCTCATTGATTGGTGTCTGGCAGGCTTGTTGGGTGGCAGGTCAGATACTGACTGGAAGAATCTATGCCAGAATTTTAAGGTTTTGAGGGGGATCTCTAATATCTGCATAATTGCCTAGTTCTCCCTAGGTTCATTTTCATTCTTGAGAGAAACATCCTCAGGTGTCAGTAGATAAATGCCTGCTGCTAGCTCTCCTCTTCCAGGTGAGTAATTGAAAACTAATCCTCTTGTTTTCAGGCCCAAGGGTCATTCATGCCTTTTGTTGCCTGCGTTGTCTCAGGGCCCCCTTTGGGTACCCTGGTCCCCTCGGGGCTGATTCTCTCTGCAGGTGCCCTCTCAGCTTTGGTTTGGCTCAGCTTTCCCAGTGACCGTGTCTTGTTTCACTTTTTGTCTTCCAGAAACTTTGTTGAAATATTTTCTTGCTGATGGCCCCCTACATGTCTTCTCATTGTTGAGCTTTATAAAATTATTAACACTCTCTCAGGAGGAAGAGAAGATGTACATGCCACAATTTGGAATGGGAAGCTCGCAGTTCTTCTTCTTCTTCTTCTTCTTCTTTTTTTGAGACAAAGTCTTACTCTGTCGCCCAGGCTGGAGTGCAGTGGTGTGATCTCGGCTGACTGCAACCTCCACCTCCCAGGTTCAAGCGATTCTTCTGCCTCAGCCTCCCAAGTAGCTGGGACTACAAGTGCGTGCCACCACGCCTGGCTAATTTTTTGTATTTTTAGTAGAGATGGGGTTTAACCGTGTTAGCCAGGATGGTCTTGATCTCCTGACCTCGTGATCCACCCACCTTGGCTTCCCAAAGTGCTGGGATTACAGGTGTGAGCCACCGCGCCTGGCCTCAGTTCTTTTTACATGGTCTCTTTATTTATGACGTATTTTCAGTGTTGTTGGTTTTCAATTATGAGTGGAAACAAGTCAAAAATATATCATCAGGACACTGTGTGTTTATTTTGGAAGA
Source organism: Homo sapiens (assembly GCF_000001405.40). Lineage (NCBI taxonomy): Eukaryota > Metazoa > Chordata > Mammalia > Primates > Hominidae > Homo > Homo sapiens. The sequence continues at coordinate 129,005,331 of NC_000010.11, read as the reverse complement.
ATTTTCTGGCTAGCTAAGTGGGAGGAATACTACACTAATCCCAAAAATAAAAATCGCTACTGTCCATTTTGAGCTAGGGCTTGGGCTTGGGAGACCTGAGCTCAGTTCTGGAATGCAGAGTCCTCTCAAGAGGGCAGAGCGTCGACCCTGCCTCTGTGGCTCACAGTCATCATGACCTGAGGATTAGGGTTCTCCTGGGAGACAGCTGGGCTCAGAGGGGAGCGTTACCTTTACTTGAGATGATCGGGAGAAATACAGCCTCTGCTGGGTTCGTGTCCAGGCTCTCAGGCCCAGCCTATCTCCTGCCTGACACCTGACATGTGGGTGTGAAGAAAGGGAAGTCCTCATCCCTCTGGGAGCAGTTTCAAAGCAGCCAGGTGACAGGTCTCACTGCTTTGTCCTGTGTGCTCGGTGTGTGTGGCCCCTGACTGAAGCCTTGTGCTCTGCCTCTATTTCCCGGCGTTCCACTTTCCTAGGTCATTTGTCTGGTGTCTGTAATCTTGGGCAGCCACAGACGATAAATTGACCCAGTTTAGCAGACCAGAAAGAAGGGCGTGAATCTTTCCCCTTCTTCAGAATGCTTCTGTGTTCACTGGGGATCAGTAAGTTTCGTTTCCTCCAGTTTGTATTCTGCATGGGGGAGGGTGTCCATACCAGACAGGGAGGACGAGGGCCTCTGCTTCTGTCCTCAGGAGGCGGGCAGCTCACGACTGCATGTTTGATGATGTCAGCCCTTCAGCTCTCTGCTTCATGCCTTCCCTTTACACATCTCCTCTGAGGTCTAACCGTGTTGTTTGAAATGCCACAGAGGTTCAGTCGATTAGCAGAAATGCAATATGCAGAGCAGACGTGTCATTGGCAGTCAATGAATGACTTCAGGTGCCTCCCTCAGCAGGCTGTCAGGTCTCCTGTGTCGAGTGATTGATAGCTGGGTGCATTCTTGAGACGCTGAACATAACCTGTCTCCTACCATGTTGGTAGCACTTGGGCCGGGGCCCTTTATCATTCAGGGAATATGGCTTTGATTTTCTAGAATCGTCTCGGGATAATAACCTCATTTGTAGAATAGTGCAAAACTCAGAAATACTACACAACATAAACTGTGAGGGTTTGATAAGAAGATTCACAGTACCTACTTGATAGATAGAAATTTAGGAACTAGCTACAATTCTTTTTAAAGTTGCACATCTTTGTCGTCTTTTAATTAAATAATTAAATATGTACATAATTTTATGCCTTAAATTATTCAATAATTGTGAAGTTGCTGGTCCAAGAAGAAAAAATATAGAGACATTATGTGAGTGAAATTAATTATATTAATTATGCCTACAATAGTCAATGTGAGCCGTGAGGAATGATTAAGTCCAGAGTCACGTGAGGAGATTTGCACTCTGTGGAGCCAACTAGGAAATACTTGGCATTTGTTTACAACACTGACAACATGGTTACCTTGCAAAATATCGTAGAATGAATAAGCCCACAGATCCTACTATTTAAAAAAAATAATAAATATATTCAAATAAATGTAAATGTTGATATCTAGAAATAAGCTGAAATCAGATCAGCTGACAGGTGAATAGCACCTCGAAGGGCTATGGGATTTGAAAATTATGCTTTTAATATCAATTGTCTATACGTAATATAGCTACCAGCCAAGTCGGCCGCCTGATGCTGTGGGCCATTCACAAAGGTGACCTACGACTGGAGAAAATGACCCCAAAGGCGGTGCCCTCATGAGGGTGATGAGGATCCTAGAGTGAGCTTGTAGGCTGGGACATTCTGGAATGAAGGAGAGGAGTGTCTGGGAGCCACCTGTGCACTTGCCTTGTTGAAGAGAGTTGGTGGGGACAGCATGGGTGGGGCTCAGGTGTCTGCCACGCCATTGTTTTCCTTGAGCACAAACTTCAGATAGAATGAGGGAAGGCTGGTGACGAGATGGGGCTTGAGGTCTAAGCAGACATGGCAGGAAGGCGGTGTGGGCACACAGCCTCATTGCAAATCATCAAATTCTCCTCAAGACCTCACAAGACTAGCCTTGGAGCCTGAAAGGGATTTATCCACCCCAGAGTGCAGTCCCCCTTTTAGTGTCCTGCCTGCTCTCCACTGTCCCAACCAAGGGGCTGGGCTTGAACGCCACCCTCCATTCCCAGGACAATCACTCTTGACCAAGAAGGCCCACTGACTGTTTAGTCAGCACTATCACTATTGGCTTTAGCCCCCTCGGCATTGTCCCCAAGCGTCCCTGAGAGAGTAGGCCAGTGTGACATGCCAGGGCAAGTCAGCTGGGAGGAGCCCCAGTAAAGGACAAAAAGAGCCCAAAAAAGAGGCAAAGACACTCCTGGCCATGGGACACTCTGCAGCAAAGCCCCCGCCTCTGCTGTTAGGGGAGTCTTCTTTTTAGAAAGGAAATTAAGTAAGGGTTTGTTAACAAACTACTACTGTTTGACCCAAAGTCAGGATGGAGGCTGAGAACCTTAAAACTAAAGAATCTGCAGCATCACGTTAAAATTATACTTAGAAATGGAGACTTTTTTTTTTAATTAGAGACGGAGTCTCGATTCTAGCTCACTGCAGACTCAAACTCCTGGACTCAATTCATCCTTCTGCCTCAGCCTCCAAAAGTACTGGGATTACAGGTATGAGTCACTGAACTCCGCCAGATATGAGTGTCTTCAAAATGCAGTGTGGAAATAGGCCTGTTTTCTGTCAATAACAGCGTGCTGTCATTTGATGGCCAATGCCTATCTTCTATGTCGAGTTCCTTTTGCTGATCTAAAATTCTGTTAGATGCTCCAGCTTGCTGCTGTGATCATCACCCAAACCCACCATACAGGGACCTGAGTTCAACACCTCTAGTCTCCTTAAAGGAACGCCTGCCCATGTTAGCATCTAGATACATGTTTTTTTTCTTTTCTTCTTTTTTGCATTTTATCCTCTTTTGGTTGTGATCCATTGTCTACTTCTCTCTTTCTGTGTAGTGACCGTGCCTCACCCCCTGCTGCAGTGGACTTCATTGCTTTGCCTTAGAATTGGCTGATATCTGATATTTAGAAATACAACAGAATGAGAGGAACTCTTCTGTACAAATACACGAGACATCATAGTAGGCTTGAAAGAACAGATTTGAGCTATCTCAGTAGTGATGACCTACATTGCTTGTCCAACTTCAACTTCCTATTTCCAAGACCTCAGGCAGTGACAGTTCATTGGGTCACCGCTCTGGTTACTTCTGAACACTTCAGGCTAATTCTGGTTGAGATGCTGCTCCATGATGGGGTACAACATTGACCACAAAAGGTTAACAAATACAATTGTGGCTGAAGATGACAAATGTCAGGGGCACGCACAGTAGGCTGAACTGCAACGAGAGCACTTGGCAATCCGTCAAGTGATGTGTGGCAAGGACACAGTCAGGTGGCTCAGTGTCTGTCCTGCCAGGCCAACAGAGGGCCTTTCTGGTTCCTGTGCAGGGCATGTCTTTCTGTGATGACACTCAAAACACATCGTGTCTCTAAGAATTAGACACACTTTAAAATTGAAGTCTTGTTATTTGTGCTAAAAAGAAAGATTATTACCTGAATAGAAACTTAGAAGCCACTAAACGCTATCAAGACTTTTCCATATATATAAACCTTAATTTATGATGGTGTAATGTAGCTGATGATTGTAAATTATAATGAATTAGAATAAGCATTTGATTGCATGAATACTGAAGGCATTCTATGTGCCTGGTAATGCGCCAGGCACTTGGGCTACAGGGTGAATGGAGAGAGCCCGTCATCCTCTAGAGTTTGAGTCTATTAGGGAGATCTGTGCGAACACCTGGACAGGCTCCGGGGGGCAGAAATGGGGGGCAGTGCTGCAGGTCAGGCTCTTCTCGGAGAGTTACTTCCAAGTCTCTGGGCTAGAAGAACACTTGGAACAGTACACTTTTGAAGAACAAAGGCTTCATCTCTTAGGTATTTATGTTTCAATAATAAAAAACTATTAAACCAAAAATCTACATAATTCTGCACTTTTTTGAGACAGGGTCTCACTCTGTGGAGTGCAGTGACATGATCATGGGTCACTGCTGCTCAGTGACCCGGGCTCAGGTGACCCTTCTACCTCAGCCTCCCAAGTAGCTGGGATGACAGGTGCATGCCACCATGCCTGGATATTTTTTTGTAATTTTTGTAGAGACAGGGTCTCACTGTGTTGTCCAGGCTGGCCTCAAACTCCTTTGCTCAAGTGATTCTCCTGCCTTGGCCTCCCAAAGTGCTGAGATTACAGGCACGAGCCACTGCACCCGGTCCAATTCTACATTTTTATATTGTCTGCCTAGCAGCCCTTCATTCTGTTAGTTATAATATCAATTCTTGTTTTTTGGATTGGGGGCTTGCCATACCTCTTTCCTTCATCCCTCAACCTGACACCACTGTGTGGCCTTTTGCTTTGGGGACAGGAACTACCACATCCTTCCAAAACCCCTGGAATTGGTCTGTGGATCTGCAGATGCTGGTGCTGGGTTTTTGTTGTTGTTGTTATTGTTGTTTGTTGGCATGCTTTTTGTCTGCTTATCTCCTCTGACTTTCTGTAAGCTCCTTCAGAGTAAGGTCTGTCTACTCACTCCATGTCCCTCGCGCCTGGAATGTGTCTGGCATGTTGGGGATGATCAGTCGATATTTGTTCGAATGAATGGCTGGTTTGCTGGTTTGACTTACTGATTGAATGAATGAATAGATATGTGGCCCAAACTGAGAACTTCCCTGAGGCTGTTCTGATAGCCTTGGTGTGAGAGACCTCTCTTCTATTGGTAGAGTTGGCAGGAGGATAGCACTGAGCTTCTGATGGCCACACATCCAGCCAAAACCAAGGTGGAGCGGGTAAGTCAGAGCACAGAGAGAGAGCAGCTGTCCCTGTGCAGGGCAATGACAAGGGCCCTGCAGGCAGGGTGGAGGTGGGTGGGGGCTTTGGGGGTTCTCCATGAGAATTCAACCCATGAAGTCAGGAACGAAAAGGATCTATCTATGGTGACATATACTCAGGTTTTTTTTTTTTTTTAATCTGCAAACTCTTTAGGTGTATGTGAGTGTAGGTTACCACTCTGTGACCTTAGAACATCCTCAGGTTTCATCTGTATGTAACTTTTCATCTATGAAAGGGGGACAGTTTGAAGAAGATGGGTGCTTTGGCTATCTGCGGCCTTTGCCGTCTTCCCCTGTAACTCCCCAACCTTTTCTTTTTGAGGTCCCCGTCTTCTCACATCAATGCTATCTCCAGTCACTGAACAGGGGTCTGGCACTTACGCTGCCTTCTCTCCCCGTGTGTTAGTCCGTTCTCACACTGATATAAAGGCATATCTGAGACTGGGGAATTTACAAAGGGAAGAGGTTTAATTGACTCATAGTTCTGCATGGCTTGGGAGGCCTCAGGAAACTTACAATCATGGTGGAAGGGGAAGCAGGCACATCTTATATGGCAGCAGGTGAGAGAGAGAGAAAGTGCAAGAGAGCAGGGAACACAGCCTTATAAAATCGTCAGATCTTGTAAGAACTCGCTGTCACGAGAACAGCATGGGGGAAACTACCCCCATGATCCACTCACCTCCCACCAGGCCTCTCCCTCAGCACCCGGGGATTACAATTCAAGATGAGATTTGGGTGGGGACATAAAGCCTGCCCATATTACCCCGTTTGTCCTGCCTTGATCCATGCCATCCTTGTCCCTGCTGGGTCTTGGATGGTCTCTTGGCCTTTATTATTCCTTCCCAGGGCCCAGAGTCACAGATACTTGTGGCTCAGGGACCCGTCCATGGCCTCTGTCTAGCCCTCCTGATGCAGGAACCTCATTAAGTCTCTCCCAGTCCCCATATAACCTTCTTTGTATCCCACTTTCTTCTCCAGTGACCACTGTTTTATTTCTCTTTACCAGCCAACTTCCTCACTTTCATTCTTCCTCTTCTCTTCCCTCCTTGCCCTGTTGCAGTCAGACTTCCACCCCTACAGCACCACCAGGACCTAAAGGAATGCCAGTGGTCTGCTAATAGTCAGCAAGTGTGCATTGGCATGTGTATGCAAGTGTGTGTGCGCATGTGTTTAGGGATATGTCTGTGTGCTTGTGCCTGTCACTGCTACTGACTCTGTCATGCACACCCTTCCATGCAGAGCTGCATTCTGCTGTCTCTGTGGGGTCCCCGCTGCCCACCTAGGCCCCTGACCTTCCCTCCTCCAGCCCTTCACTTACCCGCGGGTTCCTTACTCAGACACACTTCTGCTCTTGTTAGTTCTCCATTGGTCCTGTATACTTGGCTCTTCACATGTAATGTTTAATGCCTGAAACCAGGCTTCTGAGAAGCAGCTTAAAAACAAATGCTCACTTTGTGTTTACCCTGTCCTCAGGCCGTGTTGATGTCTTGAATTTTCACAAAGCTTTAGCACTTGCAGCTGAGGCATCCAGGAAAATGTTTCCTTCTTTCCATCAAAATCGGAGAAATAACTGGCCTGGCTGATCCCCTTCCCAGGAGGCCCGCAGAAGGGCCTCGATCTTAATTGCATTTAATCTACCGGAGTCCCTCGTTTTTTTTCTTTCTACAATAACTAATATGTAAACTATGATTGCACTTGGAAATTACTTTCACTTAAATTCTATTATTGAGGCCCAGCACGTGAGAGAGCTATAACCCATTTCATTAAAAGACCAATCACGCCAGGTGTTGGCCTGGCCGGTTCTTTTCTGTGAGTCACACTGGCAAATGTGACATATTATCAGCTGGTTTTGAGGCACATGATAAGAACAATGGTGAGTATATAATTAAATGGAAATTCAATTCTGGCCCAATGGAGAAGTAGAACTTTTAAACTATAATAATAAAAATCTACCTACCTATAAAATTTACCCCCGATTAATATTGTACAATGGCACCAACGTCTGTGCAAGTACACACTGGTATGGGATAATGACTTTGTTTTTTCTGGAGGGATTTTGACACGTGTCTGCTCAAGTTCATTAACGTTCCTATCTCTATGGACTCATTTGACAGCACAACAAGGACAAAGGTCAGTGCTGGATGCTAACTCATGTGGGTTAGCCCTGCTCAGCGCTTGTGTTGGTGCACTAACAAGCCTGGAGAAGAGGCCAGCTATTCTCTGTCTTTTAAGAAGAAGCCAGGTTTCCCATAGTGACTTCCTTGACCTATACCTGACACCATGGAATTGCAACAACAGAAAGAAGAGCAGCTCAGAGATGATGGTGTGCTGGGTTCCAGGAGAACAGCAGGGCTAGAGAAGAGGCCTGGCCGGACCTACCCACACATGGAAAATGCCAGCCCCTCACCACCCAGAGCCCCGCTCTGTAGCTCTGTAGGCAGGGCCAGCTCAGCATCTCTCGTGGGCCACAGCCCTTCTGCCTGGCTGACCAGCCTTCTGCTGAGCGGGGCACGCCTGGGAAAGGCATCTGCTTCTGTGGCCCTTCCCTTCCTACATCACTTCCAGCTCCACTTCCAACTCCACTGCCTGCCCCTGGACACACTCACATATTCAGCATCCCCTCCTTACTTGCTCCCAGGCTTTGGGGAGGCAGACGGTAACCCTCCCATAGGTGCCCTGTATGCGGTTCCTTGGACAAGGGCTCCTGGGCAATGCTGGGCTGTTTGGTTGCTGTGGTTTCATGGCTCAAGGGCTGGTCCTAAGGTTGGGGATATCCTTTGCCCTCTCTGAGTCCCTAAGAAAGGGGGCGCCCTTTGCCTTCCCCAAGTCCTTAAGGAAAGGAGTGCCTTTTGCCCTCCCTGAATCCCTAAGGATGGGGATACCCTTTGTCCTCCCCAAGTCCCTAAGGATGGAGGTGCCCTTTGCCCTCCCTGAGTCCCTAAGGATGGGGGTACCCTTTGCCTCCCTGAGTCCCTAAAGATAGGGGTGCCCCTTGCCCTTCCTGAGTCCTAAGAACGGGGGTGCTCTTTGCCCTCCCCGAGTCCCTAAGGATGGGGATACCCTTTGTCCTCCCCAAGTCCCTAAGGATGATGGTCCTTTTCTGAGTCCCTATGGATGATGGTGCTTTTTGCCTTCCCTAAGTCCTAAGGATGGGGGTACCTTTGCCCTCCCCGAGTCCCTGAAGATGGTGGTGCCCTTTGCTCTCCCCAAGTCCTAAGGATGGAGGTGCTCTTTGCCTTCCCTGAGTCCCTAAGGATGAGGGTGCGCTTTGCCCTCCCCGAGTCCTAAGGACAGGGGTAACTTTGCCCTCCCCAAGGCCCTAAAGATGGGGGTGATTTTGCCCTCCCTGAGTCCCTAAGGAAGGGGGTACGTACCCTTTGCAAGCCCTGATCCTGGCTTCTGTAACAGGAGCTCCAACTTCCAGGCAGCCAAGGTGTGGCCACCCCCTCCTTGGCTTTTGAAGATTCAAGGTTGGGAGAGTAGTGACCCCACGGGGGACCCTGAGCTGCTGCCAGATTCCAGCATGGAACCTGAGAGGAGCAGAGAGATGACCTTCCTCTCTGCAGGCTTATCCCCCCTAGGCTGGGACTTGCTAGCAGCCTCTACATCACTCACCGTACAGGCCAAGGTTGGGAAGCTTCTGGTCTTGCCCTGACCCAGTCTAGCATGGAGGGGTGAGATGTTGAGATTCAAGTCAGACATGGAGCTCTGGCCCAGGAGCTATCCTGGGAGACGAGTCTGGAGGGAGAGACCTATTTGATCAGCCACCCATGGCACCCCAGCCTCCTCTACTCACTTGCAGCAGACACAGGAGGATGGGGATGGGGCATGCGGCTGAGACAGTGCCCAGGTGGGGGTGCCCGGAAACAGTGCCTCCCTCGTGAAGCCCCTCCAATTGCTCCCAGCTTGGGCCGTCCAATGGCTGCTTCAACACTAGGGACACTAATTCCACACCCCAATGCGATCCCCGAGCTGTGTGCCTGATGTCTTTGCGAGCACAGGTGGTATCTAATGGGCTTTCCTAGAGGGCCTGTGCTGACTTGGTGGCCCTGCACTGTTGAAGAACGTGGGGTCATGGGCTTTGTAGGCACCCATTCTTGGACTTGAATTTAGCTCTCCCAGGAAGTAGTTCTGTAAACAGCTTCATCTCTCTGAGCCAGTTTCCTTCTCTGCAGAGTGCCATGTCAGCCCCGGCCTCTCAGGGATGTTGTCGGAACTGCCCCATGCACCACCATGAAAGCACCAACATCGCCAGGCATGCCAGAGCTTCCAGTTCAATGCTGTGCCCCTGTCTTGAACTGGAAGAGGCTGGGGTCCCTGGGCTGGGTCCGTGGGATGGCTGGCTGAGAGCAGCTTGGACCAGTAAATAGTGTGTCCAGAGAGGAAACTCTCTGCTGCTCCCCACACTGTCTGCCTGGGCCCTGGGCCTCCAGCCTGTTTCCTGCAGGAGGCCCATTATAAATGTGCTTTGCTCTGGGGAGGGGCCATCCTCCTGGGGACAATAGAGAAACTGACCCTGCTATACATGGCTCGCCTTTCCCAAAGGCCCTGGAGCCCACAGAGGAACCCAGAAGTGGTGGACAGGGGCTCCTCTGGCCTCCAGGATGGCCTGCAGCAGGCCAGGGCATCCTGACTTTTCAGTCATTCCCAGGCTCCAGGACAACTCTCAGCATCCCACAGTCCTTCAGCTGTCTATGGGTCTCCGTCTTTCTTATCAGCCTTCCCATTTTCCAGATGGGAACACTGAGGCCCAGGAGGGTAGCAGCAATATCTCAGATCCGGCAGGAGGCTGAGGCAAGCTTGGCTCCTGTCACCAGGCCATGTGGCTACCTTCCACTCGGCACACCTGGCTGAGGACTTGCCTGCGGCAGAAGAGATTCTGTCCTCTGAGGTAAACCAGGGGGTAGGGTGCAGGCGATGGTTAGATTGGAAAAATGTGGCGGGGAGGCGGTGGGGACTTGTCATTCCTTAGCTGTGCGATCTCAGGAAGTCACTTCCCACATCAAGGCCTCGGAAGCATGGCTTTTGTTTCCTATTTTACAGGTAAAATGAAGAAATCAGAACTATTGCTTTATAATAGGCTTTATGGCTCTAAAATTAAAAGACCTATTAATGTTTCCCTGAGTAGAGTTTCGTTACGGTCCCTCTGGGATTGTGAAGGTGTGGGTGTTCACCCCAGGTCCTGAAATCCAACTTTGTTGGGCCGGCCTTCTGGGCCCATTGGATCACCCACTCCTGTCTCTTGGGGGATCAAGGCTGTTCTCTGTAGCCCAAGGAGAGACCTGGTATCACTGGGGAGGCCAGCCCAGTGCAGCATCTGTGTCCCCCCAGCCACCTCTCTTGGAGGGCCCTGCAGCCACAGCTAGCTTGCTCTTCTTTCTCTTTTCGTTTCTTTCTCTTTCTTCCTTCCTCTCTTTCTTTCTTTCTTTCATCTCTCTCTTTCTTTCGCTCCTTCCTTCCTCTCTCTCCCTTTCTCTTTCTTTCTTTCTTTCTCTCTTTCTTTCTCTTTCTTTCTTTCTTTCTCTCCTTCCTTCCTCTCCCTTTTTCTTTCTTCTTTTCTTTCTTTCTTTCTCTTTCTTTCTTTCTCTCTCTCTCTTTCTTTTTCCTTCCTTCCTCCCTCCCTCTTTCTCCCTCACTCCCTCCCTCTTTCTCCCTCTCCCTCTCCCTCTCTCTCCCTTCCTCCCTTTATTCCTTCCTTCCATTTTGCTTTCCCTTCCTTTTTTTTCCTTTCCTTCCCTCCCCCTCTCCTTCCTCTCTCCCTCCCTCCTTCCTTTTTTCCTCCTTTCCCTCCTTCTTTCCTTCCTCCTGCTTCCTTCCTTCCTTTCTCCTCCACCTCCCCCTGCTTCTGAAGGAGCTTGTAGAAATGCTTAAATTCATCCCCTTCAATTGAAAATGCCCTGCTGGGCCCCAGGACTGGAGCTTCAAGTGCAGAAGTGTGGCTCCTGGTGAGGGAGTGGAGAGAAGGGGTTGGTCTTCTGGAGTCTTTTTCTGGGTGGATCTGGGCAGGTTCAATACAAGTGAACTCCCTCTTTGTATCCCCTGAAGGATAAGGAAGAGAGACCAGGGTTGGCACAGGTGGTCGAGGATGCCTCCCAGGGGCCAGCTCCTCCACGCAGATCCTAGAGCTTCCTGGTGGGGAGGCTGCAGCCTCTCCACCCAGCCACACTGCACAGATGTCCAGCTCCCCTGCTTATTGCATCCCAGGCACAACACCAGCACACTTGAACTCGGTTTGGAAATAAAATGCTTCAGCCCGTCAATACTCTTCAAGAGCTCTTCAAAGATGTGATCAAAGGGTCTGCGGCCTGCTCCCTGACGGGGCCCTTACACATCTGGGGAGGACCCCTCTGCTCACGTGCTTTGACCCCTCTGTCTCCCTTGCCCCCAGAGCTGCCACCCAACAATTACTTATTACAATCGAGTGTTTTCAACTGTGCATGTGGGGGAGGGCATCAAAACAAAGGAGCTAAAAATAGGATCTCTTAGAGAAACCACTGTTAAGCCAGATTCTCCTAATCTGAGTTTAAAGAAAATAGTCAAGGTTTGCATTTTTTCCAAACATAATGGTACACATAGATGACCAAGATGCATCCCTGGACAGGTTAACCCCGCCACCCTGGGCAGAGTGGCAAATGCATCAGCTCGGGCCTGGGGGTGGGCACCACCATGGAGGAGCTTCACTGGACCCAGAGGGGCTGGAGCAGGCTGCCCCGCCCCCACACATGTGCGCAAAGACAGGAACAGGCCAGCCCTGTAGCCACAGGGCTCCTCCCTCCCACGCCTGAATGCAAATGGAAGGTTTACCTTCCAGGCATCTCTTCCTTCCACGGCCTCCAGGCTTCTCTGAGATGGTCTAGGTGAGATCCCCTCCCAACCTGGCCCTGGCTGCCGTTCTCTCATTTTATTGTCCCTCTGCCCTGCAGACGGTCACTCACACTTCTGTGCCTTTGCACACTTGGAGCACCTTTCCAGCAATGCCCAATCACCATGCCCTCCTGCACCGCCTCCCCAGCTAAGCCTGCTTGCCTGGCATGTCCTCTGCTCTGCCTTGGTGTTTTCTTCTCCCAGAAGCATTTCTAAGCCCTTCTGTCTCACAGTTAGAGGACTGCATTCACTGGCCCCATAAGATACCCTTCGGATATATTCTTCTACCCTTGACTTTGACCGTGAGCTCTTTGGTAGGGACTGTGACTTGTTCATTTCTGAATCTGTCGGTGTAGAGACAGGCACAGATTAAGGCTCCATCTGTGTTTGCTCACAGCATTTATGGGGCACCGACTTATTCTTTGTGGGGGGGGGGGGTTCCATGTTCCAGGTTCTTTGTCTCTGCAGTCTCTTGATTCCCCTGCAGCCAAGAGCTGACTGGGGGCTGCCAACTGGACTGTGCTTCCTAACAAGTGTTGAAGTGGGATCAGCAGCTCCAGGTCAGGCTCGCCTTGGTCTGGAATCCACTGGTGGGATCAGCAGCTCCCTAGCTGAGAGCACAGGGTGGCCCTGTCCTAGTCAGGCATCTCAGGAGAGGAGCATGACTGCAGTTGGAGGGGCCACGTTCCCGATTAACAGCGAGTAGTTCCCATGGCCAGGGTTTTTATCTGCAGAAACAAAATCTTGTGTGTGATTTTCTTCTTTGAGAAAGTGGATAAGAGCTGGTTGTCCTGTTTTTTCCCTTGGACAAACCATGCAAAAAACCCTAAACTCACAATGGAGCAACTTCCATTTCAGATCAGTTTCTCCTCCTCTAACATGGTCTATTTATTTTTATTGGTTTGTTTCTCATTAAATCCTTCAATTACTCTGCAGTGTAAAATGGTGAAATTATTGGCATGTGCCACCTTCATCATGTATCTGAGTTTGCTTATTACACTTGCAGAAAATGCCTGAATGGTATTTGGTTCTGTTGTGAATTGAGACAGAGTTAATAAATATTATTTGGTGTTTTTTTCCCTGAGAAGCACTGCTTTTCTTGATTGTTTTTTACAGTTGGATTGGGAATATTGATTTATTCACCACTGTTACAATAATTGTATACAAGGAACAAAAAATGCAGAGGTAACATTTCATCAGCTCCAGCAGATTAATTAGTTGTAGTAGATTAGGCACAGTGTTACAAGGAAGATTTGCATTTAGAGAAAGAAAAAGTTTCTTCTTTTTTTTATCTTAAAAAAACCAAGAGAATTTAATAGAGATGTTTTACCATAAGCTGCTTCACTCATTAGTCAATCAGTCTTTCCAGATGAAGTCTCAAGGATAAGCATAAAAGAAACTATTGGATGAAATTATTGGGGGAAATGTCTAAGGAACATGGAGAGAGTAGAGTCATTCCCTCTTAAAGGAGAAGTTTAAGAAAATTAAGAGAATTTGAATATGCAGATGTTCAAACTAAAGTTTCTTCCATGGAATTCGTGAGGGCTTGTGCACTCAAGAACTATTGGGTCTCCTTTCGTATTTTTATAATCAAATCCTATGCATTGTGGTTTTGTTTGCATTTATTCTGTTACCAGAATGTAAAGCAGCTGGAAGAGCAGAAGAGTCACTTTCTTTTTCAGCTGGACCACATGACGGGAAAATATTTAAGTCCCCTAAACACAAGTATTGTATAGTTTTTCTCGGGTAAGACCAGGAATGACTGAGCAACGTGCAGACGGCTAGGTGTCATTCATGTTTGCTGATCCAGGCTAATCCAACTAAACAAGAAATCAGACTTGGGATATTGAAAGAAACGCCACACCTCTTTCCTCCCCTGTCTCTAAACAGAAGGCACTGCTCTTTTCTCCGACCCCTTCGGGACCCCCAAGGGGCTGCACTGCCCAGTGTCAATGTTTGGCGGGATTTTTGTTGTTGTTACTAAGGGTTTGGGCTATTGCAGGATGCTTGAGAAGTTAAAAGCTGTTTTGGTTCTCATATACATGGAAAAGTGTTGCAAAGGTGACAATTGCAAAATTAGATGAGGGAAAAGCTCAGGGAATAAAAGCTAAAGTGAGGAAAAAGAGGCAGGAGGAGAAAATGGAAGAGGAGATAGGCCCAGACTGTGCAGCTGCAGAGAGGAGAATATTCTTCTAGGGTCACCGGGAACCCGCAGACAGGGATCGAAGGCTTTCTTTGTGACTAGGCTGCTAGGTTCCAAGCGTGGAACCGGAGGGATCTACAGGCAAATTAGACCCAGTCCCAGCTCTCACGCTACAGACTCTGAGGGCACGGGCGTCTGCTGTGCTGCCCGCTGGAGGAGCGCTGGGCTGCCCAGGTTTGCTCGGCGGCATGTGGGAATCCAGGGTGGCTGACACTCAGCTACGATCTCCGGTCTCCACTCGTGGGGTGCACACTCCTGTCACTCTTTGTATGAGCTCATCTGGGAGTTCAAGCCCGGTAGGAAGCAGCGGGTGAAGTTGGAATCATGAAGGAAACCACTTATCAAATTGCATTGGTTATTTTAACCTGGCCCTCCAGCCTCGGTATTTCCCCAAGATCAAGAAAACAATGTCTCAGTGTCTGACTTGTTTATTCTTCCTGTATGTATGTTAGTTTATTGTTTTTTTTTTTTTTAATTTAGCCCCATGTTGAATATGTCGTGAGGATATTTTATTTTTTATTTTTTTACACTTATTTTATTTTTTACATATACCTTGATTTTTTCAACTTTATTGAGGTACACTTGACAAATACAATTGTATACATTTAAAGTGCACAACACGATGGTTTGATATATGCATACGGGGTCAAAATCATGACACCAATCAAGTTAATTTGCACGGCCATCACCTCACCTAGTTGCTGTGTTGTTTTTTTTCTTATATCTTTTTTGGTGAGAATGTTTAGGATCTACTCTCTCAGCAAATTTTAAATGAACAATAGAGTATTATTATCTAGAGTTCCTTCCCATGTTGCTTATAAGATTTCCAGAACTTATTCATTTTATAAATAAACACTTTACCCTTTGACCAACACGTCCCGATTTCTTTTCTTTTCTTTTTTTTGTTTTTTAGAGACAGTCTCACTCTGTTGCACAGGCTGGAGTGCAGTGGCTTGATTTCAGCTCACTGCAACCTCTCTCTCCCAGGTTCAAGCAATTCTTGTGCCTCAGCCTCCCAAGTAGCTGGGACTACAGGCATGAGCCTCCAGGTCTGGCTAATTTTTTTTTTTTTTTTCAGTAGGAAC
This sequence comes from Homo sapiens, assembly GCF_000001405.40. Lineage (NCBI taxonomy): Eukaryota > Metazoa > Chordata > Mammalia > Primates > Hominidae > Homo > Homo sapiens. Next base: position 128,990,272 of record NC_000010.11, on the reverse strand, counting down.
AGGGTTTCACCGTGTTAGCCAGGATGGTCTCGATCTCCTGACCTCATGATCCACCCGCCTCGCCCTCCCAAAGTGTTGGGATTACAGGTGTGAGCCACTGCGCCGGGCCATTTTCCAATTTACCACCATGCACAACCCTGGTCACTACCCTTCTAGTCTACACCCTGTTTCTGAGTTTACTTTTCTGCTTTTTGTTTTTAGATTGCGCATATAAGTGGTAGCATAGGTTTTTTTTAAAGTAAGTTTGTGAAGAGCATATGGTTATATCTAGGCGAATTAATAGGGTGACTTTCTTCCTCATTGCCAAATTTCTGAAGAAATAGGTCCACAAATACATGAGATGTCCCCACTCTGCCTTTTCCCTGTCCACTGCAGACATTGCTAATTTCTAATTTGCTCTTCATTCTTGAGTTTTTCAGTCTTACTTTGTAGACAGTCATTATCATTGTAATCACAATCAGCAAGACAGGTGAAATCAGTTGGCATCCTGTTTTATTTTTAATTTTTATTTTTTATTGCAGATCCTCAAGGTATACAACATCATGTCTTGATATATCATAGTGAAATGAGTGCTTCAATCAAACAGATTAACATAGCCATGTTCTCACACAGTTACCTTTGGTGTGCGTGTGTGGTAAGAGAATCTAAAATCTAAAAACAAAATTTAGAGTTGGAAAGGTTATAAGCACATGTTGTAAAGTTCTGTTCTGTGTTTGTGACCTTGGTAATGTTACCCTGAGAGTCTGGAGCTTCCTAGGGCTCTGCTAGGCCACTGTACACCTGCTGGTGTCTTCAGGAAGGTCACCTGAGCTGCTGGAAATCTTGTTCTGCTGTCCTAGAATAATGTCAAATGTGATTAAGGTCAGTCAGGATGGAAAGTGGCCATCCCAGCACATTTCAGGTGCTAACTGGGAAAAGGACACATGGCCATCTACTGAGTAGCTCATTTTTTGTTTTGTTGTTTTTGGTTTTTTGAGACGGAGTTTCTCTCTTGTCACTCAGACTGGAGTGCAGTGGCGCAACTTTGGCTCACTGCAACTTCCACCCCCTGGGTTCAAGCGATCCTCCTGCCTCAGCTTTCCCAAGTAGCTGAGATTACAGGCATGTGCCACCATGCCCAGGTAACTTTTGTAATTTTAGTAGCGACAGGGTTTTGCCATGTTGTCTAGGCTGGTCTTGAACTCCAAACCTCAGGTGATCCTCCCACCTCAGCCTCCCAAAATGCTGGCATTACAGGCGTGAGCCACTGCGCCCAGCCTGACTAGCCCATTTTGAAGACACCTGATGAGGAGAGAGAACCTTGATTCCTAAATGTGACCACTTGACACAGTACAGCTTCCACTTTGAACTAATTGGTCACTCCAAAGTTTTCTTCTAATTCTCAATTGTATAACTTACTCCAACTTTTTATTTTGAAAAATTTCAAACCCACAGGGAGCATTAAAGAATAGAACAGTGTACAGCCTTTTCTCTGTCTTCTATTTTGCCATGTGGCTCTGTATGTGTGCTTTCTGAACCATTTAAAGTAAGTGGCAAATATGTCACTTCACCACTAAAGACTTGACCTTACATCTCCTGACAGGAAGGACACTTACCTTCATAAGCATAATACCGTTATCTAACTCAAGAAATTTAACATTGGTATAATAGTATCTAAGATCCCGTTGATATTCAGCTTTCCCCAATTGTCCCACTAATGTGATTTATAGCACCAACTATCCCCATATTTCATGAAGGATAACAGTGCATATCCTTGTTTTACAAATTTTAAAATTTTTAAAGAAATAAACATCTTGTTACATTTAATTATAAACTATAACTAGCTAATGTTTAATAGGTATTTCCAGGTTGGTTATCACTTAATGCTTAGATATGATGTGTTTGTCCTTCACTTTTCCCCTTGGAGACTACTTTGGGGCAGCTTTATGTCATAAGTGGGTTAAATCTCTTCTGCAAGCCTATTCACATGGTGCTATGGTTTAAGTGTGTTTCCCAAAGTTTGTGTGTTGGGAACTCAATTGCCAATGCAACAGTATTGAGAGGTAATTAGGACATGAGGGCTCTGCTCTCATGAATGCATTAGTGTTACTGAGGGAGGGGGTTAGTTATCAGGAGAGTGGGCTTGTTATAAAAGCAAGTTTGTCCACCTCTTGCTTCTTGCTCTCTCACATGCACCCTCTTGCTGCCCCACCTTCTGCTGTGGGAAGATGCAGCATGAGGACCCATACCAGATGCCAGCACCATGCTCTTGAACTTCCCTGCCTCCAGAACTGTGAGCCAAATCAATTCCTGTTAATCGTAAATTACCCAGTCTGTGGTATTCTGTTATAGCAACATAAAACGGACTAAAACACATAGCCCCTATGGAGAAAAAGGGTCCAGTTGTCATACAAACTTGGGAAGATAGTTTGTTATACTTCCCTCTTGGAGATAGATACATTATCATATCAAAGTATTGAAAAGTGAGGCAGGAAAGAAACCTCTTGTACTCTGTTCAGCTTGTCTTCCCACACTCATTCCATAATGGAACCCTTCACTTGGCAGTCACTCTAGTTCCAAGAGAACACAGTTGCTGAATGAATTAGTACCTTGTGCAGTGCAAAACTGAGGGTTATCTCAGAGCACTTTTCCATAACTTTGCTAGAATGATGCAACAGGAGGGCTAACATCTACAACTTTCCCTAGTTAACCCAAAGATCCCCATGGCTGGGACACTGTGGGCTCTCTTCTGGAATGGCTTTATTTTGGAACTGTATATGTGCTCTGGAGTGTGGGGCATGCCTGGCCTGGGCTTGCAACCGAGTCATGGGGTGGGGGCTAGGTCATGGGAACACTGCAGCTGGAAGAGTTAGCCAAGGCAATCCGACCTTGGGTTTTGTGCTAATAAATGTTATGAATTAATTCTTCTGCATGTGCCCAGAAGTTTTCACAATGGCCATGCAGAACAGAATACAAGATCAAACAAATTCCGCTGTGGAAAAAACAGACTCTATTTCACCAGGCAGATCTTTCCAGTGCATTTCATTTATTGATGCCAATTGACATCCTTCCTCTTCTGTCATATACTTGCATACATAAACTATTTGGAAATTCTCTATCATATATATAGATTCAATGTGTTAAAATACACAAAGGAATGCATCCTGCATAAAAACAAGCTGGTGGTCTATTCACTGTGCTCTCATTCAGAAGAGGAGCTTGAAGCAGAAGGAATGGAGCTTCCTTTCTAGAAAGGCCAGCTCTGCTAGACGGGCTGTGGTCAGGGTGGCCATTGATTGCACCATGGTCCAGAGCTAAAGATGCAGGCTTTGATGCCAGGCAGCCTCACCACTTGCTCACCATTGTGACCTTGAACAAGAAACTTGGCTTCTTAGAGGCTAAATTTATTCAAAACAAAGAACAATGGCCCGGCATGGCAGCTCACACCTGTAATTCCAGCACTTTGGGAGGCTGAAGTTGGTGGATTATGAGGTCAGGAGATGGAGACCATTCTGGCCAACATGGTGAAACCCCATCTCTACTAAAATACAAAAAATTAGCTGGGTGTGGTGGCGTGCACCTGTAGTCCCAGCTACTCGGGAGGCTGAGGTAAGGGAATTGCTTGAACTTGGGAGGGAGAGGTTGCAGTGAGTCAAGACTGTGCCACTGCACTCCAACGTGGTGACAGAGTGAGAATCCGTTTCAAAAAAAAAAAAAAAGAAAGAAAAGAATAACACTATCTCAGCATGTTGCTAAAATTTAGGCATATATGCAATGATCTTAGCATTGCAGCTGGCTGCCAAGGCCTTAATTCATAGCTGCCACACACCCAGGCTGGTGGTCAGAGTAATCTGGCCAGGATGTTGCAGGCCTGGGTTATGGTGGAGGGTCCCTTGCTGATCACTGATCATGCTTCTCTCTGGGTTCAGTGCCCTTCTGAGTTGCTAAGGGCCCTCTTGGCATTGTTATTCTACACAATTCTATGAAAAATGGCTTGAGGACAATGTCGACTCTTGTGTGCGTTGGTTTTCATGTGAGAACACCGGCAATGATTCTGTGCACGTGGACACTTCAACTGCCACTGATCAGCCCAGCTCAGGTCATGGCTGATGGCTGGCAGGGCAGGGCCTGCCTAGTGTTGTGGCTGCACTCCCAACACATTCAGTTTCCCTCAGGAAGTTTTGAACCATCTCAGAGCTTAACAATTTTTGGATTTAGAGCTTTCTTCTGGACAATGGAATGAAGAATGCCCAAACATCTTTCCTATGCTTTGGGTAAAATGAACAGATGCTGATTAAAGCATTCTTTGCTGACATGAAGAGTCACTTGCATACACCCTGTACCTCTCTGCAGAGCCAAATAAAATAATTCCAGATCTCCCTCATGCAGAAGAGAATGTTCACTGTCTTCCTTTAGGAAAAGACCTCTGGAAAGCATTGCCTCTCTCCCCACTTCAGCCACAGGGTGCATCCTCATGTGAGGCTGCCTGCAGGATGCTACCACAAAGTCCTGCCCAACACAGCAGCTTCCCAATCATCTTTGACAACTCGATCAGTAAATCAGTGGTCATCAATAGTCATCCAGTCCTCTATGGATTGGGTGTCTTGATCTAGACCTTGCGGGGGTGGTGTTGGTTTCTTAATGTAAACATTGTAGGGCTCTCTGCTGGGTGCTGTGGTGAGGAATGGGTGAGATCTTAACTACATCTCTATTGTTTGTCGACCATTATCTGTGACAACAAGCCAGGAAGGGTAGGGTCTTTGTAGCTACATAGCCCAGAGCTTCAATCCTGACTGCAGCCATTTGGTAGCTTTGATTTTTTGCTAAAATTTTTCTTCTGCAATTCTCAGTGTTCTCATGTGTTAAATGGGAAGAAACCAATTCTTGCAAAACTACGATTGGTTTAAGTGAAATTATGTGAAGTTCTTGGCTATTACTTGCTGCTCAGCACATGTTTATTGCCTTCCTGTAGCTCAAATGCTCATGGATTAGAGGAAGCCAATGTGAGAGGACATTCTTCCCATGAATGAGTCATGGACCCCACAGCCCTAGGGCTGGCTGACACCTCTGGCAGAGGGCACAGAGCCTCAACCCTGGCTAGAAAGCCCAGCCCTGGTGCCTGCCCTCTCATCAGGATTGGCCCATGCACAGTGACTCTGAGAAACCACTGTCTCCCTGTGGGCTGAGCACATTGTCTTCACTTCTTATTTGCAGAGGGGACACTGCCAATCTCTGTCCCTGGGATTCCTAGATGGCCCCCCACTTCCCAGGATGATTTGGGAGCCCTTCTGCTCAGTGGGGGAAGGAGCAGAAGGAGGAGTCCTCTCATTACTCCTCAGTTTCACAGAAGGGTCTGGAGTGCACTGTTAGTCTGTTTTGTGTTGCTACAAAGGAATACCTGAGTCTGGGCAATTTATGGAGAAAAGAGGTTTATTTAGACTCCTGGTTCTGCAGGCTATACAGGAAGCATGGCACCAGCATCTGCCTCTGGAGAAGCCTCAGGAAGTTTCCACTCATGGGAGAAGGCAAAGTGGGAGCAGGTGTCACGTGGCAAGAGAGGAGCAAGAGAGATGCCAAGCTCTTTTCAACAACTGGCTCTCACATGAACTAATAGAGCAAGAACTAACTCATTCCCAAGGAGGGGGCACCAAACCCTTCATGAGGGATCCACCCCCATGACCCAAACACCTCCCCTTAGGCCCCACCTCCAACACTGGGGATCACTTTCAACATGAGATTTGGAGAGGACAAATATTTAAACCATATCAAGTGCTTGAGTCCACGACTCAGCCAGGGGCTCTGTGGGCACAGGCAGGAAGAAGGGATAGGCATGAATCTGGGGAGCCCCTTACCCACAGCCCCAGTGCAGCCAGGCTGGAGCCTGCATGGGGCCTGTCCAGCTGGGGCTGTGCAGTTTTGAGAAGCTGCTGTAAGGGGCCCACCCCAGAAAGGGATTTAAATTCAAATTTCCTGCCAGGTTTTGAAGCACTGGTTAATTTCCTTTCCTTGCTATTTGGTACTAAATTCAGAGTCTTTGTGAGCATGAAGTGTGCATGGATGTTGTCGAGGATTCAGCGATCGATGATCTAATGGGGAACTTCACAGCATATTTCTGATGAAGTAAAACCCATTTTGACAGAGCCAGATGGGGACTGGAGGGAGGAAGCTTAGAGAATACATTCTGGAAAGTAGCTGTGGTAGAATCACATTCTGCCTCTAATTGATCTTCTGCTTTGTCAAGGAAGGAAATTAACATCCAGTATGTGGTTTTCCTAAGAAAACCCATGATTTCCCACTCAGATGCTGTGTGTGCAGATCAGCAGACTCTGGCCTTGCACTCAGTGAAGGACCCACTGACATTTCATGGAAGTGGATTTCCAAATGAACACCTGTACCTGTAGGGCTGCCCTGGAGGTGTTAGGAATGCAGCCTCCCAAGTCTCTGGCCTCCCTTTTGCTCAGCGAGGCCAGTTTGTTCTGGAGAGTGGGGCTCTTCTCACTGCCAGCCCAGGAGCCCCCAGCAAGGTGGACAAAGGGGAAGACCTCTGGACAGCAAGGAGACTGAAGCTCGATTTGGACCTGTAGAATCCGCAGCACCACCCTAGTCCTGGGGCCCTCCACTATGCATAAACACAAGTGAATTGTTTAAAAATATATATGTGTGCTGAAATTAAGCTGTATATTTTCTGATAGAAGCTTCTAGAGCAGTCCTCGTGTGTTTGTACATGTGTGTGCACACGCATGTACACATATTCGCTGCAGCTTTTCTGAGCATATGGTCCATGCACCTGTTTGCTGACCTGTGCTGTGAAGATGGGGCCTGGGGGCTCTGGGGAAGGGGACGCTGACACAGAACTTGCTGTAACTCTGGATAAGGAGATTAAAAGCTCTCCAGCCCATCCCCAGGCAGGGGCTAAATACACTTCTGATAAGTAATGTCACCCAAGGCCCTGATGACGGCAGTAGGTGGCCAAGCATCCTTGCTGCTGTGGGAGAAGATCGACCTGGGCTGCTGACGCTTGGAACCCCTGTCCTGAACGGTGTGTGCTTGTTCTTTGCAGTGGTCCTGAGAGGGTTGTCAACAGCCTCAATTTTCAGATACAGAGGCTGGAGGGGCACAGAGCTGGGTGGGAGCATGGCCCGGAGTCACACAGCCCACCCCACCTCTCTAAGCCTTCCTTTTCCCACCTGTGAAATGGAGATAAAGCAAGACCCCCTCCACATCACGGGGTTATCGGGGTGAAATTGGACCTGGGGCAGAGCCCACAGTATATGCACATGAGTTGCTCTTGCTTTTGTCTTTGGGAAGGTTGCTAGACAATTTGACAGAAGAGCCAGTGTCAGTTCATGTGACTCGATTCAAGGTCATCATGTTCTGACATAGCCACACGTAGCACTGAGGGCTGGAGGGAGAAGTGGCAGGTGAGGGAGAAGATGCTGAGGGCTTCCTAGGTGCCCAGAAAGAGCCAGACTCAATGAGCACACCCTGCTCAGTCTGCCTGGCTCAACCTGGGCATCCAGAGCCACCCTCTGGGAAGGCAGCCGAGGATCCCAGGTGCCTGCTGTTTCTGTTGTGTGGTTGGTGGCCTCCATGGGGCTGCCGGGCATGACACCCAGCATCAAGGGGTCGGGGCTGAGGCAGAGACCAGGGCACTAGGAGGTGTCATCAATCCCAGCCTTTCTCGGGAAGCTCCTCTTTACTTATTCTTCCTTGCAATTGCAGTTTAGCAAAAGGCGAGGCTCTCTTGTCCAACAGATGGGAAACCACAGGTGCTGGAGGAGCGAGAGGCCCTGCAGGGCACAGCCAGCCTGGCAGCCTCTGTCTGGAAGCCTCTGTAGTTTGGAAGAGTCAAGGGCTTTAGTGAGACTTGCAGGCAGTGCCCCCCACCTCCAGGTCACAGGAGCAGCCCGGACGCAGAGCGAGGCACCCCCTGGCCCGCGAAAGGCCTGCAGTTGACTGCTGTGACACCGGGCCTGCACCATGGCTGTGTCCATCTGTCCGTCTCCTGTGCTGCGGGACTCAGGTGCCTTTGGAATCTGATTTGCTAATAGCTTCAAGCTTCCCTTTCTTGCTGATAGGTGGAAAAATGGGGCCTTAAAAGATATTTACATCTACAGGAAGAATCTGAGGGAAACAAAACGGGTCGGGGAGAGGATAAACAGGAACCGGCAAATCCTACATTTCATGTAACAGTCGTGAAAAGGGAGTTAAGAACGTAGGAATTTTGGACAGCTGTGCCGGGGAGAAGTGTACGTTCAGCAGAACTCAGCAATGCTGCTGCGGAATAGTTTTAAATGTCTTTTCCCTCATAACTAGATTATTCAGTACAATGTCATTTGCCGCCACTGACATTTTCTTTAAAGTCATAAAGGCCTGCATGGTAATAAAAGGGCTCAGAATAAAATTAGGAATATCATGTATAAATTATCTTTCACCTTAGCTTCATTTGGACTGTGACTTTTTAGACCTGATCAATTTTCATGAAACTATCCACATAAAACTGTGAAAAAATATTTGATCCCTGGCTCTCGTAAAGGCAGCGGGAACAGGCAGCGACTTTACCTCCACTTAATGGTGCTGTTGGTGCCAGTCTCTGTGGGCAACACGGGGAAGCAGGGGATCATTTGGAAATGTAATGTAATTTCCCAGAGCATTGTTAGGGAAAACATCTCTGCTGATGTGCATATTTTATAGAAGTGCTGTGGAGTCAAGGACAGTCAGCAACTCACTAAATTTTCTGCTTAGTTGGAAAGGCATTCACTCACACAACGTGAGCATTTTCCCCGCTTTGCAAGAGGAAATTGATTGGGTGCAGTTGTCACATTTTTTCTTCTTAGATGATTTGCATCGGGCTTCCCTGTAAATGTGGAAGGCAGCACTCCCATCCCATCAGCGTGGGCCTGGGGAGGAGCTGGGAAGCAGGGCCAGAAGCTCCTCACAGCCACCTTGGGGAGTGGGGCAGGGCCTGGGCCGGCCCTGTGTGAACAGGTAGAGAATGCAGCGGCCATGCATGAGGGACTGGGAACCTCCAGTGGGCTCCTGAAGCCATCTCAGTTCCTATAGCAAAGTTGGCTAAAGTGCCTCTTCAACTCTGGTTGAAAATACCAGCTTAGAAAAACCTCCAGGCAGGGAGGAAGTGCTCCTGAGCCCACAGAGAGGAGCTTGTTTGATGATTAATTCCTTGATTTCTGGAAGGTGACTTGGCCCTTCCAGGACTCTTTCTTAGTGCTCCAGAAGTGGGTAAGTCCTCTGTCTCATTCCAGAGCTTCCTCCTGCACATGGGGGACTTTACAGTGCTGGGGACCCCGGTAGTAAAATCCCTGCAGCTCCCCAACCTTCTACCCCTGAAGGCTGCAGCCTGCACACGGCAGTGGTACCTGACCCTGGTAGATCTCACTCATCCCCTCCCCAGATAAGATGGTGACTGGAGCCAGTGGAGTCTGAGGTCAGCAGGTACGAAGAGGACGGAATATCAGCCTTTACTTCCCTTGTAATCCGGACATTACGTTTATAGACCTTTCCTCTAGACGGTTCCCAAAGGGCATTTGCAAATTTAACAAACTGTGGCCGAGAAGTCCAGCAACCTCTCAGATGAACAATTGTAACTGCTGAACCATGTAACCTCCCAAGCCCCTGCATAAGACGCTGAAGTCCGAGTTCAATGTGGGGTCTCCCATCAGCCAGCGGCATCTGGCACTCACTGGTGTTCTTCCCAAAAGACCAGCCTGAGCCTGCTGCAGGTGCAGGCTTGCTGCTGTCACCAGTCAGCCCCTTTGCCTACTATGGAGCCACTGTCCTGCTATCTGTAGTGTGAAAGCAGAGTGGAGTCCACCCGCTCCAGACAGCTCAGCCACGTGTCCACCCTCCCTGGGCATGGGTGCTGTCCTCTGTGCCCATGTCTCTCCTGTGGTACCCATCCAGCCCAATTCCAGTGTGCCACCTCACTGCAGAGTGTGGGCGGGTACCATGTTCCTCTGTGGCTACGAACATCGCTTAACATGATGGGCGACCCCCTCCCCTAACTGGAACTAGCCTGTAGGGTGACATGTGTTCACCTGCCCTAACAAGACAGGCAGCATTGGAAGAACTTTCCAGCCTTGAATGCTGTGCGAGCCATGCTCAGAGTGCAGGAGGAAGGGGGTGGCTGGAAGACCACTGGTGACTGTCCTCAGCACCCTGTCTCCCCAAGTCTGCTTGGATCATTTGTGGCTGGGTGTTTTCTCTGGGACTCCCCCACTGAATCAACAGAACTCCGGTGGGGGCTCTTCATCAAAAGATACCGGAGTGCAGAAACCAGCAGCTTACCCCACCCTTAGGTGGCCAGAGGACACCCACAGGCCTCACTCCAATACACAGGGTGGAGATGGGCCCCGGGCATCCCCTGCCCCTTCCCTGCTGTTCTTTGGGGCTGAGATGCCATCGCCTCTACCTGACTTGTCTCAGCTTATACAAGGCCCTGCAGAACACTCAGGCCCTGCCCCCTGCGCAGCTGACACCCCATCACTGGAAGGTCCCTACAGAAGAGCTGGCATACACTGAGCAGAAAAACCAACACGTATCACAGAAGGGGTCAGTCCCTGGGCCAAAAGCCTAGAGGAAAGTGAGATGCAGCCTCCAGGCCTGGACCATGCCAGGGCTGGGAGTCTTTTCTCCAGGCATGTCCCAAGCCGGATGGCTCATCCCCAAGGAGCTCCCAGACACAGGCCTCTGAAGGCGCCCCAGGGTTGGCTGCACAGCTCTCCTCTAGCACAGACCTGCAGCCTGGCAGAAGGTTGGCTGGGGGCTGGGGACTGGGAGCTGGCAGCTGGCTGGGCCCTGAACGCTTAAAACCCTATTTTGTCCTGGTAACAGTGAAGGAAACTGAGGGGCCAGAGGGGGTGTGGTTTCCAAGGACCTGGAGCTTCCAGGGCGGGAAGGGCAGCAAGGAGTTTGGAGTTCAATGTGTTTCTCAAGGCAGGAGCCCACATGGAGTGTGGGGAGGGGCCACCACCCCATAGCCAGAAATGCCCATGGCGCATGCACCCTTCCAATGGAGTCTTCTGGAATCCCGCCAGCAAGGCAGGCCTGCTCTCTGTGGGGGATTCCTCTCATCCAGCTGTGCTGTACAGCTCCTGCGAGATGGGGGCCCGGCAGATGCAGTTATGGGAATTCAACCAGGCCTCCATGTGTCCCACCTTCGTCTCTGATCACACGACTAAGATCCAAGGCCTCCATCTCCTTACCCACAAAATGGAAAGACAGTTTTTCCTGGGACCTTGCATGAATCAACAGCACAGGCAATGGGTGGGGGGGGGTCATCATAGCAACAATTTCCTGGGCCTGCTCGCTGGGTCACTCAGGCAGGTCACTGACTAATTCATTGCAACTTCCCATTTGACAAACGAATCTAACCATTGCTGCCCAGTGGGGACAGGGACCACACTGGGGCACCCCTGTCCTGGTGGGACAGGTAGCAGGGACGGCTGGGCGTTGGCCACCATGCTGGACGGTGCCTAACAGAAGTTGCAGATGGCTTCAGCTGGATGCAGGCTCTCAGAATGCCAGAGGGTGCAAGCGACCTGGGTGGTGGTTTACTTTCTGGATTTAATTGTCCTTGAAATTGTTACATTCTGGGGAGGCATTTCTCTAGATTTGGGCTGTCCTTGAAAGGGGACCCCACAACTCCACATCTCTGTAATTAATAAAAGATGCGGCCCCCCGCAGAAATCCCTGTGCCTCCACGCGCTGTAGACCCATCCATTAAGTCTTATAAGAGAGAGGAAGCTGTCAGCCTAGACGCTGCCTCCTCCTGGCTCTGAGTTCTTTCTTCTCTCCCCAGTGATTGGTCAAGCCTCCAGGAGCCCCGGTGAGCTGGCCGGGGCGCACTGTCCCCCGTGGGCCCACAGTAGCCTGTGGATGTCCTTTGCTCCAAAGCCAGGTCAAGTCCACTGCCTTTGCCACCCACTGCAGCCCACCGCCCTGTGGCCATTCCTGCCCATCCCAGGCTGCAGGACTTCTCAGAAGCCTACTGCAGATACACAGGAGGATTCCCCTGCTCAGTGTAGGCCAACTCTTCTGTGGGGACCCCACAATAAGCTCAGGGTTGTCAGCTCTGCCAGGGTGGCCTGAGTGTTCTTCAGGGCCTTGTGTAGGCTGAGACAATGAATGCCAGATTGTCATCTTTGTCATTGGTGTACAGGGCTCTGGACACAGTGAATCTAACTGTGCTTCTGACACTCACACACTGAAACCTCTGTGCTCCTGACACTCACACACTGAAACCTCTGTGCTCCTGCTTTGCCTGGGCTCCATCTTCTCCAAGCAGGAAGCCTGAGGCTGGGTGCCCTGGACTCTGGGGCCCTCTAGTTAGGAGGCCAGACCAGTAGGCCAGGGCCTGAGGGCTTGAGTGGATGATGAGGAGCATGCCTGGGGATGCAAGCTCACCTCCTGCTCCAGCGGGGCCTGGGGACTCTGTGCTCTCCGGCAATGGTGGCTTCTCTTGCTGCTAATTCCACTGGAAGCTCCCAGCCAGCTGCCCCATCTCCATGCCTGCCTTGTCTGTTCATTCCTTTGTTTGCTCAGACACAGCCTGTCCCTATGTATCAGTGAAGACGGACCAGGCCCTTTCAGGGGTCTGGATGGTAGGACAGCTTCAAGGGGACTCTGCCTGCGTGCAGATGGGTCCGCATCCAAGACATGGTGGGGTCGGTGTGTGGTGGGCTGGTCAAGGAGGAGGTACGTGGAAGCAGGGACCTGAAGCTGCATAGGGTTGGCCTGGCAGGTTGGGGGTGGGTGAGGATGGCATGGTCAGGATACAGGGAGAGTGATCTGGCAGAGTCTCTAGACATCTAAGGAAAGAAAATACAGCAGGCCTAGGGAGCTGCAAGGGAGTCAGAGGTGGGACCTGGCACAGCGGGGAGTGGAGACTGAGGAGGTGGAAACAGCAGACCCTGGTCCAGGGAGGGCTTTCTGGTGAGGTAAAGAGGTTGGCTTTTGTCCATGGAACGTGGGCTCCCTCCAGCATCTTCCCTGGATTTTCTTCCTTTCCTTCTTGAGTCCTGCAGCTACAGACTCCTCCACTAGGCCCTGCCCTCCCGTCCTGACCAGCAGAAGGCTCTCTCCTTCTCCCCACAGGCCTATGGCCTTAAGAACCACGGTGGGAGACCTCGAGTCGCCCACTCTTGGCAGTCAGCTTCCCACAGCCCTCGGCCCCTCCACACTGTGCCTTCTGCCTGGGGCTGGGAGCGATTGACTCTGCTGGTTCTGCTCGGGTGCAGTGTCTGTCCTGGACTTTGCCTCCACCTATTTCCCATCATCATCCAGAGAGGGCCACCCATTCAGCATCCTCTAAGTGCATGTGAAGTCTGATAAGCTGTGTATGGAATGTGCTGGAAACAGATAGTGACAAATCCTGCTGCAGATCAAAAATATTCGACTTGGTGCTTTTGAAAAATGCAGACGTCCTGGACACATCCTGGACTCCAGGCTGAGATTTAAGGCTGTTTTGTGAGAGAATCATGCCAACTTAGTTTAGAAAAAATTTCCATTGTTGTCACCCAACTACCTTTTTTTCTTTCTCTTTCTTTCTTTCTTTCTTTCTTTCTTTCTTTCTTTCTTTCTTTCTTTCTTTCTTTCTTTCTTTCTTTCTTTCTTTCTCTTTCCTTCCTTCCTTCCTTCCTTCCTTCCTTCCTTCCTTCCTTCCTTCCTTCCTTTCTTTCTTTCTTTCTTTCTTTCTTTCTTTCTTTCTTTCTTTCTTTCTTTCTTTCTTTCTTTCTTTCTTCTTTCTTCTTTCTTTCTTTTTTTTTTTATGAGACAGAATCTGGCTCTGTCACCAGGCTGGAGTGCAGTGGCATGATCTTGGCTCACTGCAACCTCTGCCTCCCAGGTTCAAGCGATTCTCCTCCTACCTCAGCCTCCCAAGTAGCTGGGACTACAGGCACATGACACTATGCCCAGCTAATTTTTGTATTTTTAGTAGAGATGGGGGTTTCACCATGTTGGCCAGGATAGTCTCGATCTCTTGACTTCGTGATCCGCCTGCCTCAGCCTCCCAAAGTGCTGTGATTACAGGCGTGAGCCACTGTGCCTGGCCCCAACTATTTCTTTGAAACAGGATAATTCCTTTAGGGTAAGAGGAACCACGTATGAGCAAATACGGTAATGTTGATTTCTCCCTAGTGCTTAGACTCTAAATGCCAGCCATTGGCCAGTGATTTTTCTGGGAGACATAGTGACATCATCAATGATGATGGTGTTATAGCAAAGAAATAAAAGCCATGTTAATTTCAAGGTCCATTAAAACTCCAGTTTAAAAAAAAATCAATATTTCCTGAACATAAATGGGAAAAAATTGGTAGACGACGAAATTCTATTTCAAGCTTTTAAGTCTATGACCAACAAGGGATGAAAATATTGGGGGAAAAAACCTTGGAGTATTTGATCATCTCCCGCAGAAATGCTATGTACAAGTGTAGGTTATTTAAGATAATTGTTTGTAGAAGCAAATTGATGTCACGGGGATTGGATTTTGACGGAAAGTCAACTTTTGCCAGTGGAAATGTCTAATATTATAGAAACTGTAAGCAAATTAGGAGACGCTATCTCTGCCGGCTTAACCTGTTCTTTAGAGAGGAGAAAATGGTCTTCTGACCAAGTACCATGTTTGAGCTTTGCTGTTCTTCCCGCAGCAGTCAAATAACACCATCTTCAGTGGATAGGAAAATCAATGAGGGACCAGAAAAAAGAGGTTGGTGTCCTAGAGGATTTAATCTTTATAGATGAAAACTGTTGTAAAACTCTTCTGAACTGTTTGAAAAGTATGTTATTGCATCCCTTGGTTGGTTATTGGAGGTTTTCCTTGTGTGACACCAGTATGAGGCTGTGGACAGGATTGTGCATTATTTTGGTGGGGGGACAGAGCACTTAGGTCTGGATTGGTTCACACACATGCACGGGAGACATGCCATGTACAACTCTGGGCAGGTCAGCCATCTCCAGAAAGCCACTGGACCCACTGATAAGCTGAGTCTTTCCGTTACGGAGGCAGCCCAGCCTGAACCCCCAGAGACCAGGTAAGAACTCAGTCCAGACTCAGCCATGTGTTAGTGTTGGCAAACAAAGGAAATATTAACTTCTCTGTACTGTCCACAACTAAGAGTTAAGAGTTGGGACTCAAAAATCCCTCCTTAAAAAAAAAAATAAAATAAAAAATAAATTTAAAAAAAACTCTTTTGCATCATCCAGATTTTCTTCCCTTGTGAAATGGAAGCAGACATAGCTTACTCAAATAAATCTAAAAGCCCACATAGGTATTTAGCAATTTAGATAATTAATGTGCAATCTTAAAGTGATTCTTAAAGTATGTCCCAGCAGTGGTCACATTGTGCCAGTGGAATGAAGAGAGAGCAGTGCCAAGCAAGGTTGATCATCCTTGTTGGTCACCTGGGGCTTGGGCTGCTTAGGCATGGGCTTGTTGAACCCTTGTAGCGTTCAGACATCAAAAGCCCTTTCTGGTGTCTGAGTTTGCAGCTGACTCTAGGAGTCTCCATCCTCTGATAGGGGACCTGCTGTGAGAAACTGGTCTGCTTTCAACAAACGATCCTACCACTTCTGAGACTAGACCTTTCCTTTGTCTAAAGAGATGCAGCTTCAAGCAATTTGCCCCCAGAAGACTGAACCACCAATTTCAGGTCAATCTGGGGGGCAGGCATTGCCATGTCTGTTGAGTACCTTTTCCTTCCTTTGTTTTGGCACACATCTTGTTATCACATGCTGTGGGAAGTCCTTCCAGGACCTAACAGATTCAGGCTGAGTTGCCCAGGTAGCTACTCAGGCTTAGGGAGGCCTGGCTTCACTGGCTGCTCTTGTCTTTCTTGAGAAAAGCACCTCTGCTGAGATGGGAATTCCTTCTGCAGCTATTGGTGAGCCCTGACTTTCTTGTCTCTTAAAAAGATGCCAGGTCCAGACCCTCAGTCATGACTGACATGTGATCTGGTAGAAATGGGCTCATTCTCCGTCTTTGAATCTCCTGCCTTTTCTGCCTGTATCAGTTTGGCTTTCCTTTTCCACTGATCATTCCCATCTCCAAGTCCCAAGGCAGATGCTTGATTCCTCTGCGTCTGTTTCAGTTGTTATTGCCTCTTTAAATAACATTTGCATAGGTCAGAACTCGAAACCCTTAGCGAGTCACCCACACATCTTTTCAATCAGAAGACTTTGATTTGGTTTTCTTTGGAATTTTGTGTTTGTCACCAACAGTTTCAACAGCCGAATGTCCAAGGCGAGGCTGGGCTGTGTCAGCCCTGGTGCTGGGGATGGTTGCCGACAACAGGCAAGAGACAGACAAGCCTAATTGATCCAATCCCTCTCCAGCTCCTCCACCACCAAGGAAAGAGAAATCTCTCCATTTTCTTATGTTTTGTGAAAGGCTTGCCTTGGAAATTCTGGGAGAGGGAAATTTTAGCAATGCTTATGTTTTGAAGAGCAGATGTTTTTGAACAATTCCCTCCAAATGGTAATCCTGAACTTTGATAATTAGGTGCAGATGATAAAATTTGACATAAGAAACCTGTATATTTTGCTATCCTTGGATTTCAGTGAGGCCTAATCCTTGCATTTCTCTACCAGGTTGTCTCTGAAGTCACTGGAACAACAGAGGCAACAGAGAAGAGAATAAAGATAAAAAGAAAAGGTCAATTTCAAAGCTGTTCTATGTCTGTGTCTATGGAACACAAACCAAAGTTTGGAGAGAAAATAAGGAGTGTGTGTGGGTGTGGACGGGATTTTCTTAATCTGGGAAACCGGTTCAAGCCCATGAAACATTTCAACAAATGTTAATGTGAAGCCGACGTGCTCATCAATATTTATGAGCAGTTCTCTGACCAAATCCTCCCAACTGGGTGTGGGTCCCTCTCCTCTCTCCCTTCCCTCACCGGTGCAGTCAAATAATACAGCAAAGGAAAACAGTGGAGCCAAGTAATACAGGATGACTTAAACGTGTTTTTTTTCCTCTGTAAACATGCTATCTTCATTTTAGCTATTTATTTTTCACTTGAAAGATTTGCATTCCCCCCAAAACCTGGAAACACTTAGCAAGTATTTACAATAAGTGTTACAGCCCATCCATGTTCTCTATCCCCCAAGCGAATGAAGTTCAGAAGAAGGAAATTCGGAAGAGACAGAGACTGCTGTGTTCCACGCACCTTCTCTAATGTCACAACCACCCTGAGAGGTGGGTAGGATGATGACAGTCGTCCTTTTCTAAACACGGAAGTGCAGGTTTTGAGAGCAGCAGTAATTCTTGTAGTAACTGGCAGAGCCAGATCTGGACTTGGGTTGGAAGCTATCAGAGCCCTATTTAACCCCAGACCTGCCAGTTCACAGTAGGATTGTGCTGATCTTGGGTGGCTCAGCCTGCCTGACTGCAGAGAACACACTTCCTCTCTATTCTAGTCTATAGTGGCTAGAAACCTCCTGGAGACCAGTGGGAGTTTCTCACACTGCCCAGAATAAAGGGGGTTATTTAGGCATCTTCCCTGGAGATCTTATGTCCCCAGAGAGCAGAGTGGAGTTGGGTCTGAGAGGTAACTATGCCTGGATATTTCCTCTTTCCCAACACCGAGGAGGCACTTGGAAAATGTTAGCTGCCTGGATAAGGGCCATGGAGAGGAGCAAAGTGGAAGCAGGACCCCCACCCCAGCCCCAACCTCCTGTCCCTCCCAGTGACAGTGCTGAGGCAGGGCCCAGAGCACCTACAGCTCGGGTGCCCTGAGTGAATGATTCCTTGCACATGAGCAGGAGTCAGATGTCTGTGTTGTCCTGAGTATGTCCCCAGGAGTGAACTGCTGCCTTGGAAGTCAGTGCCTGCACCTTGTTTTACACCATCTCTGTGATCCCAGAACTTCTGAACTTGATTTTATAAACCTGGTAGAGGAGGAGGGAAGCACAGCCAAACCTGAGGCTCATTACTCATAAAAACTAATTTTTAAATACACAATTCTAGCATAAATTTACATATAAAGAAGGATCTTGGTTGGAAAAAAAATCCTGTTATCATAACATTGTGGTTGTCATACAAAACCACAGGAGGCACATATGCAAAAGTTATGGTTGCTCAGCAACCCTAATTGCCCAGTTTAATGCCTAAGCAGATAGACTGATGGTTGGAATAAAGTGTGGGGAAGATCCCACGTCTCCTACCAACAGAGTGGTTAGGTGATCGCTCAGCCCTCCCAGACAACACACACAAGGAGGATAATTATTAAATGGATGAAAATATATTCTGAGCTCTCTAACTCTGCACTGCGCTTGTGGCAGTTATTTGTGCCCTAAATAAGGATGTTTCCATCTTGCCTATCCTTGTTATGATACATGTGAACTCAGAATCATCAGCACACACAGTGCTTGTATAGCCCTAAGTGCGGGGCGCCGGATAGGGGGCTGTGACTCACTGGCAGCCACTGTGGTGTGCACTGTCATGTCTCTGGCAGGAGGGCCGAGAAGGTCTCCCTGACAAGGTTACTGGGATGAGACTAGGAGAATGGCCGTCATTATCTTTTGCGGACAAGCTCTGGGAAGCAGGGATCAGCAAAACTAGCAATTGATACCAGGAGAAAAAAACGAGGAAACTCAGTATTTACCCATCAGTCCTCCCCACATGCCTCTCATTCAAAGTTCTTCAGGCGTTCCTTAAGCCTTGGAGATAAAATCTGAACAACACTCAATACTTTGACCGTCTATTCCTGAAAGGACACTGTAGGTGAGGAGTGGCACAGGTTTATGACTGCACTTTTCCTCATGGACTTGATAAACTGCCTCTGCTCTCCTGCTATGTGTGATCTCCTGGGACAATGTCCAAATAACCCCTTCATTACAGGGAAGTGTGAGAAGCTGCTGCTGGCCTCCAGGACATTTCCAGTCCCCATGCACTGGACGGGAGACAGAGCAGATGAGTCCCCTGCACTTCAGGTGGGCAAAGCCACCTAAGATCAGCACAGTCTTGCCAGGAACTAGCTGGAGGCCTGAGGTTAAGGGTAGGGCTCTGACGTACCTCCAATCCAAGTTGAGCTCTGACTCTGCTAGTTAGTAGAAGAATTACTGATACTCTTGGGAGATGCTCTTCCTCATCTATGTTTGAACATCTCCTACTACAGATCAAGCATAGAAGATGAAGAATGGGGGAAAAAATAGAGAAATGTAAAGAAAAGTCTTGCTTCAGTGTGCTTATATACAAACTAACACACATTCTTAACTTCACCGGTAAAGAAGATGATAATGTTTCATTTCTAATTCCATCCTTGGATTTCTGCAGGGTTTCCCCAAAAGAAGTGCCGCAAAAGACAGATGGCTTCATCTTGGGGAGTATTGATCAGTGGCTGCACCGCTCTCTGTCTTTCTTGTGGCCAGCCCTTGTGACCAGGTGGTGTGGTTTGTGTTTATTATGACATTTACTCACTTCCACCTTCTTTTGTGGCAGAAGATATTTCCCACTGGGGAGGGAAGGCAACCGAGGGCTTTTTCTCATCCTGAATGCAGCTGAGATAGAAGAAATGGGATAAGACGTGCAATTCGATTCAGCACGGTGCAAAGTAGCGGCACCATTTTGAAATGGGTCAAGGTGGATGTGGAGGCTGTATAGGAAACTGCTGTGTTCTTGCTCTCCACCCTACCCTTAAAAACAGCACTGCTTTTGAGGGCAGGTGGAGTGTTCCGTGGACAGCATATCTTGGAAAGCAATTAGTAGAGCCTCCTTGAAGAATCATTTCCATGCTTAGGTAATGGAAACTTTATTTGTAATAGGCAGACTCTTAAAAATTAAACCCAATGTCTGATTGGGTTCTCTATTAGGAATGAGGAAGGATCCCTAAAGCATCGCTTTTACCTGGGGGGACTTTAATGTTCTCAGACTGAATGACCTGCTGCTTTCTGAGCTTCACTAATACACTCCGTTCATGTGTTTTTTATAGAGAGCCTATCACATTGTACTGTTAAATGGATTTTTTTCTAGGTCTAAAATAATGGAACATTTTAGAAAGTCTAAAAAAGTGAAAAGAAATGAATTTAAATCACCTACTAACATTGTACTTCCGAAATTCAGTGATAACACTACAATACTTGCCCACATGGATTTTTCATAGTATACTTTAAAAATGTGCCTTTCATTTTTATGACACATGAAATGTTGTAATGGCACAGGCCTTGTCTGTATAGATGTTCAGTAAATAAATACTATGTTAGAGGAATACTATTTAACATAAATACTATATTAGAGGAATGAGTGAAGGTACACATTAGTTTTTGTCAGTGATCTTTTCCATTCTTTTGCTAAGATTTTCAGTATTTCAGCTTTAGAAAAACAAACATAGCTACGATGTCAGTCAGGAATCATACATTGATATGCTTCTCATAACCGGCGTGATAAGTATTATCTAAATAGTGTGCTTAGCTCACTGGACACATTACTTTCCTTCTTTTATGTCAAAGAAACTTAGTATGCAGCCCAAGTTGAAGTCCACTTATCAGCAGCGCTGCTCCGTCACCCCATGAAATGGTTACACTTATTATGAAAACATTGTTCAACTTTATCACAAGTTAAAATTCATGTACATTCCGCCCAGAGGGTGCAGGCAGAAAAGCGGACGATTTCCCCTATCACAACTCTCTCACTATGTAGGAGCGTATTTTGATAACTTTGCATTTGAGCATCGTCTCTGGTCCTGTGCGTTTGAGGTTCTCAAATTCCTCCTTGAAATGAGATGGAATACAAATGAAGAGATGCATAAACAGCCTTGGAAGCATTTTCGCTCCAATTTGATGAGGGTTACCACAAAAACCACTGGTCTAACGCGCTCCTAGTTACATCCCTTTTTTTGCGGAACAATTACAAGTAAAGCATCCATGATTGATGTAATGAATCCTATGGTGGTTGCTTCCAATGTTCACATCTTGTATCTCCCCTTCAAATCTGCACTCATCATGGAGACAGAAATGAGCCCACATGATCTTGCTCCCCTCTTTGATGAAGAAATGTAGGCAGTGTGGGTAATGCTGACTTCGTGGAAATCCCTAGGATCCTGGACAAATGACTTCCCTATTGTCTGCTCCATTTGCCCTGGGCCACTGTTAGGCTATGGGTGATTGCTGTCTTTGCTTCCTTACCTCCTTCCTGATGTTCTTTTCCTTCTGGTTGATTGCCAAGTCTCACCTGTGCTGCCTCCCCGCCACTTTCCTGCACCGCCCCTCCCGCCAAGGCTGCAGGAGAGGGTGGATATCAGTCCACTCTCTGGAGAGCAGGGCTGCCTCTCTCTTTGCTCAGGCTGGCTGTAGAGGTGCTTATGCCTCTCCTCTGCCCCCAACCTCTTATTTTTGTAAATCAGAATCCCCACGATTTCAACTTACCAGGACCTTTAAAGACCAGCCAGGACCTTCTGCATTTTTCAGAAGAGAAAACTGTCAGTCCATTGGTTCATTAATAAGCATTTACTGAGTGTGTACCACGTGCTAAGACTAGCTCCAAAATCCATCTGGATAAACTAAATATAACAATTCATGGGGTGAAAGCTAGGAGGATTAGACCTATTTGTTGAGGTCCATCCAGGAGTCTGTCACAAATATCTACTTTTGCATAAGTGATTTTACTTTCCTTTATCTTCACAGACAAGACTTGTGTCCATGAAGATCCATCCAGGGATGCTTATCCCTAACATGAGACTTCTGCCTTCCCCCAGCTTATAGATCTGTTCCTGACTGCTTCAGTCTCCAAGGCCAGCTGCCTCAAGAAATAATATCCATTTCCCTGTGGACCTCATAAGTCATACTCAGGGAAGAGGTGAGTCATTTAAATATGTTTTCTTCTGAATTTTAAGTTTTCCTGTTGCTTTTGAATAATGCAAAAAGAGCCGGGAGGTAGGTAGAAAGTGTGCAGGTTGTATCAAATCCAAATTTGTCCAGCAGCTATGGTTCAAAGCGAAGACTATCTGGGTTGGGAGAGAAAATAAAAGGAAACTTATGAGATAATGCTTGAGACAGATCGTCAATAGTCTGTGGAAAGGCCGCTTCACTTGATCAGCTGGGTCGTTTGGAGCAGAATTTTGATTAAAGAAGACATTTCGGGCAGGGCTGGTGCGGACAGGCCGTCTGTACAACGCATTGCTCAAAATGAATAAATGTGAGTCTCAGTGTCTGAGGCTGGGGATGAAGTGGAGCTGTCAGGCGGAGGGAGAGCCATGCTTTCGCCCTGCTAGACCAGCCCCCTGGTTTATCTGGACTTGCAAATCCCAAGTGATCAACAGAGCCTACCAATGCAGGGAAAAAACACAAAACTTGACCAGTTGCATGGCACAGGAAAGCCTTGGGTCAGGGACCGAGGCTGCCTCCCTGCGACCACCCTGGGCTGGTACTGATGCCCTCACCCTGTCACCATGATGGTCTTCCCAGGCGCTGGGACCAGCTGTGCCAGGGATGTGGGGCTGGCTGTTCTCCTCAGACCCCTCCCATTGCCCGCTGACTCCCAAACACAGACAACTAAAGAACTCCAATGGAAGAAATGTTTGCACATATTTGAGTCAGAAAACCATGACTCTTGATACTATGATATAAAAACTTCTAGAAAAAATATATTCTAGGGTCTGTGTTCAGGAAAGAATAGCTGATGCAGATTCCATTCTTCCTTTGGTCTACTGGACTCTGGAAAATGGAAGTTGCCTCTGTAAAGGGATGCAGCCCTCATCACAGGTAATCCTTCCGCACGCAGGTGCACCTGTGATGAGAGCTACTTATTCCTCCCAGCTTCTCACTGAGACCCCCCGTAGCCCCTCTCATTGTCCCTCTCCCAGGCATTTCCCTTGCTCCTTGTTGTCTTACCCAAGAAGATAAACATTTCAAAAACCATCCATGTAAAGAGATATGCTGAGAAATCCCTTGACTTGGGACCCTGTTGCAACTGCCTGGCCAGCCTGCATTGGCCGCAGGCTGGCTTTGGGGCATGTGGCTTTCTGCATGGGAAAATCATTTGTGTCCAGGAACAAAGCCTGCTGTTTGCTGGGAAGGCTCTGGATGGCCCCTAATGAATACAGCAGTGGCACCTCATGGTGATCAGGACCAGGCTCTCCAGTCTGCAGCCCGCAGGCCATGTTTGGTGGGCAGCCTGGCTGAACTGCTGGGTCACGGCTTTCAGTAACTAAATGGCTTCTCACTGGGTGTGGCTGTGTTGGGGTACGGGTCTGGGTGGAGCAATGCCTTTTCGTGGTCCCTGACTTGTGCCACATCCTGGCTCACCCCAGTCAGTCTTCACCTTTCTTTTGTCCCCCACAATTCCTATCAAAGCTTGTCCGCTCTCTGTTCCTCTTCCTCTGGGCTAGCTTTGGTAGCAGGTAAAGAATCTGGGGCTAATTCATGCTGTTGAGGCACCAAGGGGTCATTGCATTAACCTTTCCAGGGATGTTCTTGCCTTTTACCCAGAACCTCCCAGAGAACCACCCAAGGGGAACAGGCAGCATGGGAATTTCTATAAGATGCAGTCAGCGGTGGCTTTGGAGTGCCTTCAGAATGACACTGCTAAAACTGACTGATGCTCTGAAGATGTTGGAACTTACAAGGAAACAGCAAGGCAGGTCTTGGTTTATTTCTGCCCACAATGATCTTGGCCCTGTGTCTGATGGGGCTTAGCCATGTGACCCAAGAACCCAGCTTTGTGTTTTGGAGCAGGCATTCAATAAGAACTTGCTGGTGCAAGGTTTTTCTTGGGATGACCTTCCAAAGGGCCAGGCGCCTGTGTGGATTATGGCTCAAAGGAGTCTGTGGGCAGCGGAAGAGATGCTGCCTCCTGGCTTGGGCACTCCAGGGCATGGTGGGCCTGTGTGAGTCCCATTCACGGCCCTGGTCTCCTGAGCCTCTTTTAACAGCTGTCCCACCCACCAACCACCAGCAGCCCCCTCAGGAGTACACACCTTGGCTGAAGAATGCTAACACAGCTGGCTGGAGGCCACGGGGCACCACTGGAAACGTTTCCTCCAAGTGCATTTGGGGGCTCACTCAGTGCCTGGGCAACAGACTGACCCCAGTGGGGTCGCTGGAAGGGAAGGCAAGAGGCAGCCTCTTCTGGGGCCAGGAAGGAAAATTAGGACAATTTATTATTTCCCTGTTGCACTGAGTAAATAGACTTCAAGATAAATTATTGGTGCCTGCAGCCTCCTTGATGCAAAACCCTTAAGTGAAAGCAGACTTTAATGAACATATGCTAGCTTGCCCTCCCCTTCTCACTTCAAGTCTGCTATTAACTTCCTACGCACTTGGGAACCTTTGGCTCTTGGCCTATATAATAGAAGAATAATTAGAATAATTACTGGAGAAGGCTGGGTCAAATTTCCAAGGATCTTCTCTTAACTACTTGGTTATCCTTATTTTATTTGCTTTTAAGAAATTCATAAAACTGACCAAACATTGTTACTTTGCACCTAGAGGATTTATTTATATAAAATAAAATCATTGCTTTGTATCATGACTCTATCATTGAAAATAATCACAGTAATTAGTGACTGCTGTGCTAATCAAGTGTAGATGAAGTTTTCATGCCAATTTTTATATTTTGTGTTTCTAAGTCAGGCTTCCATGGGATTACCTGGAAGATGGAACTCAGATTAATCCAACTCATCTGAGTAGCTCGTGAGGACGTAGGAATTTTGGCCACTTTCTCTGTTCTTCACTTAGTTGTTTTTAAAGGAGAGAAGCAAGAAAAAACTCAAATCCAGATGGAGGCTCCCTCACTGAGCCCATGTTCCATGGCAAGGGCCACAGGTGGGGATACAGGTATGAGGTATGGGAGTGATATGGTTTGGCTGTGTCCTCACCCAAATCTCATCTTGAATTCCCACGTGTTGTGGCAGGGACCTAGTGGGAGATGACTGAATCATGGGGTCAGATCTTTCCCATGCTGCTCTCATGATAGTGAGTGAGTCTTATGAGATCTGATGGTTATTATAAGGGGGAGTTCTATTGCACAAGCTCTCTCTTTGCTTGCTGCCATCCCTGTAAGACATGACTTGCTCCACCTTGCCTTCCACCATGATTGTGAGGCTTCCCCAGCAATGCGGAACTGTAAGTCCAATTAAACCTTTTCCTTTGTAAATTGCCAGTCTTGGATATGTTTTTATCAGCAGTGTGAAAACGGACTAATATAAGGAGTCATCACACGAGCCCTAAGTTCCTCTTGCCATGAGGGGGCCTTTTGTGCCATATGTGGTAAAGGAGCTTCTTGGATGCTGCCCTGAACACACATAACACTGTCATTTTCGTGAAGTCTCCTAAGTGCCACTAAAACCTCTAATGTTTCCATTCCAGTGTCTCTTCCCTGGGACCCCATGGCTGCACAGAGAGAACCCAGGTCTTGGCAGAGTCAGGGCTGGGCTCGTATCCCAGCTCTAGAGTTGTTAAGGCTGATACCCTGGGCCTAGGCATCAGTTGACTTCTTGGTGACTCTATTTCCTTCTGCGTAGAATGGTAATAAAAATAATAGCACTCACTTCGTGCGGGGTTCCAGGAGATAACGTACTTACTAATGCACCTGACATGGAATCAAGGGGAATTCATGCGAGTGTGTTGTTTTGATGCCATCTCTTCATATCACAACTATTAAATAAAAGCAAAACAAAACAAAACAAAAACTGGACAGGGCATCTATGTGCCTCACCAGTGCGACCTTTTGTCTCTCACTGCATCCTGGCATGATGGTGTGATGGCATGTACCCAGGGCTGTGTCTATTTTCTCCCAGCCCAAGTTTAAATATCCGAAGATAATTCTGTTAACAGCAGATATAGGAGGAGAGGGGAGACGGTGACTGCAAATGCCGTGAAACAAGGCAGGTTTATTGAAAGCAGCCACTTGAAGATCAAAGTTGCATCAAATCAACAGATATCCTGATACACATCTGAGCCCTAGAAAGGGGCCACAGAGAGGTCCCTCTGTACTTGTCCTCAAGAAGCCAGGCCCTGGGAGAGACACAGAAACTGTGGGAGAGCCATGGGTGGCAGGCGTTCAGGCCAGAAGGTTACAGAGCCCAGTGTGAGCGGAAGGTTCCAGACTGGAGGGTGCTCTCT
Organism: Homo sapiens; assembly: GCF_000001405.40. Taxonomy (NCBI): domain Eukaryota; kingdom Metazoa; phylum Chordata; class Mammalia; order Primates; family Hominidae; genus Homo; species Homo sapiens. Next base: position 128,964,223 of record NC_000010.11, on the reverse strand, counting down.
GCACACCTCTACCCAGTTGGCCACGCTGCCATCAGCACAGTCTGTGGTTGAGGGTCCCCCTGTGGCTGAGGATGAGGGGTGGTGCTCAGAGGGGCTCCCTGATGGCTAATGCTGGGGTTCTGGAGGAGCAGCCATCCCTGTGGATAGAAGTGCCCCAGGGCTTCCTTCCAATGCCAAAGTGCCACATGGAAAGAGGCTCTGACTCCCCTGTGTGCTCAGTGACGGCTAATGGAACCTGCTTCAGCACAACCAGGCACTCATCCAGCATGTCACTGTGGATTTTAAATATTCCTCCTCCCTCATTTTTTGATAATTAATAATACGCATCAATAATGCCAGGCTCCAAACCTGAATCTACTATAAACTTGACAGACTCCTATGGTCTCTCTGTTGAGTTTGTTTCTACCCTAAAAACACCCGGGATGCTGGCAAAGCACTGCTCCCAGGAAAAGGATCACCCACGAGGCTTTAGCTGCATGGTGGGCACCAGACCAGCTAATTGGCTTGGTTTCATCCTTCTGGTCAGAGAACTAGGGCAGGCAAGAGCAGCTCACACATGCCTTCCCCACCATTGCAGATGGGATGCATCTTCATGTCTCACTAAGATGCTGATTAGTTTTCAAGGTTAATAAAATTATGGGTTTTGAGTCTGAAATCTTCATGTACAGTTTCCCCCAAATTCCTTTTCGAGACCTGCTTACTCATGCAGATGGCAGTGCAACTCCAGAATCACGGCATGCAAACCGTCCCTGCACCTCTCGAGTGTGAGAGATTCCTAAATGAGAACTTATTACCAACCTGTCATTCTTCCGTAATTATCCACAGCCAGGATGCTTTCAGTTGTTTCCATATCATTTGGAATGACACAGAGAAGATATTACCCTTGTCTATGTATCGCACACAGCAAGCTTTGCAGCCGGCACCCAGCCATTTGCATTTCGAAAGAGGCAGAGGCCTGACAGAGATTTTTTGAGCTATTATGAAGCACTTATTAGTAGAAATTGAACCAATCCACCCCCCCATCATTTCCCTCCTCATAATCATTATTTCTACAAATTCTCTGCACTTTCCAAAAATTCTAGGGCACGCTGTCTATAAAGATCACCTGCTGCTGAAAGCACTATTCATTTGGGTTAATGTAGCTCCAAATGCAAATAGCTCCTTCCTTCCTATTTTCCATAGATCATGGAAGGATCACCTAGAGGGAAAATCACTCTATATGTTGCTAAAAGGTATACCAACATATGTATATATATGTGTGTGTGTAAGTGGTGCACACATAAAAAAGATTGTGTGCATACACAAAACGAATTATATGTTTCTATATGAACATGCTTGTGTGTATACGTATAAGTATACGTACACAGGTGTGTGTAGTTTTGTGTATACGTCTGTGTTAAACAATTAGACAGGGAGCAGGGGAAGGCCTGCTGTTCATCCTGGGTTTAAATGTGACTTCTAAAGAAAATTACATACTGAAAAAGGCTCAATTGTGGTAACAGAAAATGTCGGGTTTGGAATCTTCTCAGCTACTCTGTACTAAAACCCTTGGTTTTATAAAGTGTCATTTTGGTGCTGTTTAAAAATACCTCAGTGTCAGCTAGAGAAGCAGATTCTCCACTCGCTCTCAGAACAGGGACAGCACAAAGAGCAGCTATGTAAAGTGTCCCCGGCCCCTCATTTTGGCTTTACTCCAGTCCACTTAGCTGTCCTGCCTCTCCCGTCTTCCCTGGGTCCTGTCTCCTCTTGTGGGGACACATGGCTGTCTCCAAGCTCACCCTGGCAGACCCAGATGGGCCTGGCTGTGGTAGCCTTCTTTGATTTTCCCCAGGCCCCTGAGCAGCCCCATCTCCTTCGAGGGTCCCACCTGGTTTGGCTCCAGGGACACGTACGAGGTCTGGAAATGTCCACCCTCAAGCTGGAAGCAGTTCCTAGCTGTCTCCCCGCACCTTGACTCAGGCTCATTCCCCGCCTGTCTCTGGAGTTCTCCCCGCACAGGGCAGCTCCCGCCCGGCCCTGCTGCACTGGCTATTGGCACAGGCTCCTTTCCACATGGGGCCTTGGGAGGTCTGGGGCTGCCCCTCCTGTCCTGTTCCCTCACCAGGGACAGCGCAGAGGACAGAGGCTGCTCAGCATGGGAGTGGTCCCCCTGGCATTGCCTTCTGCGGGCCTCCCGGTGGAGGAGGCATGGCTGGCCAGTGAGACAAACGTTCCTGCTCCCCCACCGGATAAAAGGAGCGGGCGCAGAGACTCATAAGGATGTTTCTGGCGATGCCCTGGGGAACTTCCCATGGAACATGGAATTAAATTTGAGTATCCTCATTATTATCAATTATTATTTATTACATGCCCACCAGTGGCCCTGGCACGCTCCGGGCTTAATGTTTCAATAAGACCTTATTTGTACAGTTTCCACCAGGGTCCCAAATTTCAGTCCTCGTCCCAATTACCTTCTACGTGACGCTTTAGTGATTTTTAGATTCTTGGACGAAACCTTTCTTGTCTCTCATCTTCCTGTCTTTTATTTCTCCTGCAGGTGATCTCAGTATCTTTCGACTTTTTTATGCAATGCCCACCGTGTTTGGGGCTTCTTCGCTTTCTCACATTTCTTCTGTGCTGCCCATCCCCTCCTCTAGTGGGTTAAATTCAGAGCCTTTCTTCTGCTCCATGCAAGCCTTGCGGCTGGAAATTTGTCTCCACCTCCACACAGGTGCTGGCGGCCTGGGTCCTGCCTTGGCGAGAGTCCTGCTGGGCTTCCATGGTATTCCGAGGAGCATCTCTGGGCTGTGAGGAGCCTGGCTTGGGCAAAAGCAGCAGAGGCTGGGATGAGAGTGAGCAGAGTTTCAGGGAAGCCACCCAGGGCAGTGCTGCCTACACAGACAGAAGGGCTCCTGGTCACCCATGACTCCGGCTTACCCTCCAGCTTCCTGGGCATCACTTTCTGATACCATGTGCAAAATTTTGCGTTGAATTTAAGCAAATTAGGCTTAATGTGGATCAATAACCATTTCCAAGTTCATTAACGAGTTCCCAGGCCCTGTTTTATGGACCTTTATTGTTTAAAGGAATCCTGACTGCCTCTCTATGAGGGGTCCGGAAATATGCATGCTTTTAACAGTATGACCCAAATGTGCACATTTATTAGCGTTTAGCTGTGGACTAGTGCTGAGATGTGTTTTTAGACAGAGTTTCTTCATCACTTAAAAAAAAACCTGGCATTGGAAAAGGAGAGCGTGGAGCTCCAGCCCTATCCTTCAGCTTCTGTCTTTGGAAAACTTAGTCTAAATCAACCAAAGACAAGCTGACTGCAAATTACTCTGAGCTGCAGTGAGGTAAGGTCGGCACAGCCCCATTCCAAAGACCGTTTATCAAACACCACAGACTGACATCCGCTTTCTTCAGATCTAATAGATCACACGAGACAAGCAGGAAGAAAAGTGGCATCAAACAAACACCCCCCCCCCATCACTTTTTGGAATGAAATGCAGAAGAGGAACCCCTCTCTGCCCTAGTTCTGTAATCCCCCTAAACTACAGCCGCCCTTGGGAGCAGAACACTCCGGCTTCAGAGAAAAAGAATTAGTGTTTCATTTTCCAAGGCTGTCACGCCCCTACCTTAATGAGCACTTAAAAGAGATGAATGTGCTGGGAATGAAAAGATTTATTTGAGATATTTAAATAATCTCTCTCAGCTATAACTAAGCGGACACCCTGGGCTCTCACAATGATCTTTTTCTGTTATTTTTGATAATATCCAATAGAAGTTTGTTGCCTGCCTTTGTGTGGAGCACACCTTGTGTGCTGGAACTTACAAGGAAAGTGACCGAAACAACGCGGCTCAAGATGCTTTTACTCCGCCACACGACAATCAGGCCAATTAAGATATGTCGTTACATTTCCCAAAGTAAACAGCTAAATAAATAGCTCGTTAATTTTTTTTTTTTAATTAATAGTGCAACAGATCTTCCATACTTTACAGCACACTAAAATTCCTTTGGAGAGTTATGGTGCCGTCCGTTACAATCAGCCATGAAGTACATTACAAAGGTAATGTGTGTTTAAGAAGGAACTACTGCAGAATGTATATTTTCATTATCAAAAACGTTAAGCCATTTATCCTGAGGAGTCAGAATAATCATTAATGGCTGGGAATTTATGGTGCCAGATCTTAAACTAATGTGAATGATTCCAGGTGTTACTAATGGCTTCAGTGAAATGTGCCAGTATCTAAGACTTCTACTAAATCTGAGGTAATAGTCGGACGCTTAATCTCGACAGATGAGTAGCAATTTAACTGACACATTGATTGGATTCTGTAGGCTTAAATGGCACCCATTGTGAAGGTGCACGGTCACACAGAAATCCGGAGGGCGACTTAGAAGTCATTCTCTCTCCAGGTACCCCAGCCCCAGAGCTGCAAAGGTTGCATTACTCTTACTTGCAAACAATGATATTTTTATATGTGTGGTTATTTTTTGTGGTGAATGTGATAACGAAGTTTAAGACTCTCCTGCCAGCTATTAACCCTTCTCTGTAATGTTTGCAGATAATTCTTTGAGGTAGCGGCATGAACAGCATGGGAGCAAGTGGCTATGTGGAAGATGTCAAGCCAGGTAAATATTTTAATCGGGCCCAACCTGCACTAGTTTAGTGCAGCCATGTGAAGCTCTGCGTCCCGATCTGTGCAGCATGGTTTTCACCATCCCTGCTCTCTGGGTGACACCTGCCCACGTCCTGGGGGATGTTTCAGGTGGGTGGCTTTAGCTGAAAGTAATTGGGCAGAACCGTGTCTGAGTCTGAGTCGGAATCTCTTGGACGGAACCGGATCTTGCTGGTGCGGGGCCCAGGCTGCACGCGCGGGTCTGGAGGCCGGTGGAGCTGGACGCCCTTGCAACCGCCACCCCTCCTGCTCATTAACAGTGACCACTGGCGCTGCGAGACCCACTCCCCTGAACACGGACGTTCCTGACTGTTGTCAACATCCTTTGAAAGCACATAAAAATAAATTATCCATAGGTTTACCTGTCGGGAAGATAGATTTGGTGCATCCGACTGTTGCAGGCATTTCAAATGACAGGGGTGCCTATCATGTTCCTGTAATAGGGTCAAACAGCTGGACGGGGATTTAACGCTCAGCAAGGCCAGAAGGGCCGAGCACTTGTAGGGGAGGATGAATGGAGTGAGAGGAGGCAGCGGGGCCTGTTTATTACGGCGTTTTTCTGCTTCACTGCAGACCTGTAATGATCGCCACGGCGCTGGATTGACGGTTGCCCTCTCTTGTCTGGCGCTGCGTGGAAAGCGGGTGAAGGCAGAGAAGCCTGCCTGCTGACCCATCGCTCTGCCCCATCAGGAGTTCAATTTACTTCCCCTGACACGCAGCGATGAGGCGGTATGGGTTGCATTTGATTGGTCCATGTAGGTTAAATAAAAATTGGTTTAATGAATATTTCAAAATGCCTTGTCTGGATCAGATATTTTAATTAAGGGACATGCATTCCGCATGTGTGCGGGGCCCCCTCTCCTCCAGTGTCTTTCATGGGTGTCTATAGGGTCTTCGGCTTCAGTGGAAGACAGGAATGTAAAATGGCCAGGTGTCAATGTTTGTGTGGGTTCTGAAAAGCTGTGATCTTTGTACGGCCAAGAAGGAGAAATGTGGGCAGGAAGCGGGGCTGCCTGCAGAGAATGAAGTCTGGTCATCAAAGCCTCTGGCCTGGGGCACACGGGGTTCACCTGTGGACACTCAGGGGCGTCTTCTTTCTCCAGCCTGAGGAGCACCCTGGCCAGGCCACAGTTCAGTGGCCTTGTTCCCAAGGGGCTGACTCGCCCGCTCGGAGGAGGGCATGTCCCCTTGAGATTTGCTACAGGCCTTCCACAAATGCTTGAAGTGGACAGAGGCTGGCTTGAGCAGGAAATCGGCCTGTTGCCCCTTCACCGCCTGAATGGGAACCCCGAGGGACCACAGACTGGTTCTGATTTATGCCTGCATCTCTGTAATGTCGTGTTTGGCACTGTTTTGTTTTGCTCCGTGAACATATGTAGTCCATCTCTTGTATCCAGAACAGAGGATCCACAGAAGAACCAGGCCAGGCACTGCCCTCATGGAGCTTATACACCCATGGGTGAGGCCGGTGGAAACAAAGCTGTGTCCAGTCGGACATGGTTGGCAGTGATGGCAAGAACAGCAAGGCCCCGTGTGTGCTCTCTTCACTAGTCATTCTGTGGTTGTGGTGCTGACACCTTGATGCTTGTGGCCTTGCCTCAGTTTCCTTCTTGGTAAGTGGCTTGCCAGAGACCACACACATAAACTGTGAAAGGTGTCACCAGCTCAGAAACAAAGCTGGGGGAGAGCTCCAGCACCTGGCCTTAAATCCCCCGGGAGTGCATCCCGAGGCTCCCCACAGAGCCACACACCCTCGAGAGTGGACAGTCTCCCTTTCCTCTGCTGTGGAAAAATATGAAATGCGCTCTGGAGCACTGGTCAGAGAGTCTGAGACATTCAAAGCCAAGAAGAAGAAGATGAGCATTGAAACTTCATGTTGCAGGCAGAAAGGGGATCATACAATGCAGGGGAATCACGTTATTTATATGGCAAAGAACTAGAATTATATTTTCAAGTAATAAAAAAGTTCATTTTCAGTGTTTATTGCAAATGCTTAATTTTTTCTATGCCCTCATCCTCTGCTATTGCTAGCGTCAACATAAACAGGTGCTGATTGAAATGGGATGTTGTGAAACCACACATGAAAGGCCCCCAAATGATTTTACCCTGGGGGAAGAATATTCTGAATCCGGACTTCCCAGGCAGGGAGCCCAGGAGTTGCTGGGAAATCCTCTTGTCACCTCAAGGCATAGTGCTGGGAGCGAGTCCCTTCCAACATTGCCAATGCTGAGCCCGTGTAGGCTTCAGAGGCACTGGGTTGCAACCACTGCCCAAGATGGCAGAGATCTTGTCCCTCTGAACATGGAGGCCCCCAGGCTGGTGGTCTTCCTTAGTTCCCAAAGGTGATGGATTACTTGGCCAAATCCAATGGCTCAGATTTTATTTGAAATTATAAGTCAAGTTATCCAGCTAGTATTAAATGCTGTTCATAAATTGAACTCCCTGAACCCTCATGTATCCTTGGTAGAAGTTTAAATTGGTGCAAATATTCAGGGGGGGTGATGTAACAATATTTAGGGAAATCAGATGTGTGTATCTTATGGCTTAATACTGCCCCATTTGCAATAATGGTACACATTTCTTGCAGGCTATTTGCTATAGCAAGAGCGCAGGTCAGGCAAACATTGCTAGGATGAATGCAATGTGGCATAGGCACACAATGGTATTCTGTTCTGCAGATGGAAGGAATGGACAGAGTCACAAAGAGAAAACATGGACAAATCTTTAAAATGTACCACTCAGTGGAAAATGTAAGAAGTAGACTGCAATCTATTATACAATACCGTGTATATAAGTTAAAAGCATTTTTTTTTCTGGGCCAGGCATGGTGCCACATACCTGTAATCCTAGTACTTTGGGAGGTTTGGTGGGAGAATCCCTTGAGGCCAGGTGTTTGAGACCAGCCTGGGCAATATAGTGAGACCACCTGTCTCTACAAAAATAAAAATAAAAATAAGTAGCTGTGTTTGTAAGTGCGTGCCGGTGGTCCCAACTGCTTGAGAGGTGAGGCAGGAAAATCACTTGAGCCCATGAGTTGGAGGCTGCAGTAAGCTATAATTGTGTCACTGGAATACAGCCTGGGTGACAGAGGAAGACCCCATCTCTAAAAAGTAAAAAATAAAAAAGCATATCCCCACATAAGAAAATGTTTAAGGATATTAAGGATATGTACTTATGTGATGTTCATAGATGCATTATGCTGAATGGGCACTTCTGGGACTGGGAGCACCACAGAAGTAGAAATGGAAGAAAAAGAGACAAACGGCTAATTACAATGACATAAAAATGGGGTTTTGAATAATGGTGATACTGTGCATGAACTGAGTGATGTGATTAACTCAATTCTAGCCAGCTGAGGAACAAAATAAATACAAGTGAATACTTGGGTGCATGAAGGTTCCCACCTGTTGTTTTCAGTACCAGAGAAGTGAGGGGGAGTTGGCCCTCCTGTTTCTGCAGGAGCATCGGCGTCACACGGAGCTGAGGCTTCTTTTTTTTATTGAGATGGAGTCTCGCTCTGTCACCCAGGCTGGAGTGCAGTGGAGCGATCTCAATTCATTGCAAGCTCCACCTCCTGGGTTCACGCCATTCTCCTGGGAGCTGAGGCTTCTTAAGGATGGGCGCCATCTGCCTCACTTGCTGCGGTTTCGGGATCCTGGCATACTGCTCGGCGCCTAGTTGAAGTCCAGTCAATATTTTCAAATGAACGGTACCTAATTGCTTACTTAGGATGTATTCTTTCTCTTTATTAATATAAAAATAAATATACTGGGTAAAACCTTTCAAATATTGTGAACAAATATACCATGCAGGTGAGAACCCCTCCAACTCCTAGCCCCCAGGGGCTTCTCCAGAGTTCACCACCACCACAAGTTTGCACTTGCTTTCAAAAATTTCCATGCATGTATGCACCTGTGCAGGATGACATCATCCTAATAATAGCTCCATACTGATTATTAGCAATTTACCTTTGGGCAGCACTGGGTCCAATCATCTCTTACTATCTGTGGTGGATTCTTCCAGGAGCCCCCGATGAATACCAAATTCTGTGAATGCTCAAGCCCCTGATAAGAAATGGCGTAGTATTTGCACATAACCTATGCACGTCCTCTATGTACTTTAAGTCATCTCTAGATTAGTTAAATTACCTAAGAAGAGAACACCTATGCATCACTTCACTCACGTGGATTCAATGCCGTGCTGCAAACTGACATTTCCTTTTTTGGAACTTTGTGGGGTTTTTTTTTTCCAATATTTTTGATCTTTGGTTGGTTGAATCCATGGGTGATGGGTGTGGAACCCACAGGTGCATAGGACTGATTGTGATTGATAGAGAATGCTCCCTCCACAGTGCTGGAAGCAGGGCCGAGGTCATTCTTTAATTTTATACCCAAAGATGCTGCGACTCAGAAGTTAAGCATCATGCACCCTGAAGGGCAAGGCCGAGCCCTCAGCGTGATGCTTGGCCCAGAAAGGAACCGTGTCCAAGGCCTCCCAGAGGCAGTGTCAGCAAGTTTCAGGGGAGGTCGGCTCTGTCTAGAGGCAGCACTTGTCCTGAAGGGTCAGGCTTCCCTCCCTCCTTCCAATTCCCAAGCCCCAGCTCTCAGTTTCTTCATCTTTCAAAGAAATTAATTGGAACAGATGATGCCTACATCTGCCATCCTGTGGCCGGGATGTAGGTCCAGGATGTTGTGCCAACATTTGCAAGGGCTCTATGTTTCCCAGTGAACACAGAGAGTGCCTTTAGGAGGCCTGTCTGGGTATTCCAAATGTGATGTGATTACAAAGAAAAGACATGAAATAAACTTTTCAGACTTGATGCTTCAAGATGATAGCGCCATGTGACAAGCCCTGGGCCAGTCACGTCCAAACATGTTATGGTTCAACAGCACAAGCAAAACTATTTTACGTGTGCACCCATTCATACCATTCACACGCTGCACAGAGGATCCATTACACATCAATGCATCCATTATCTCTCCATGTGTACTAATGGTATACTACCCTTTATAAAACAAATGGAAAAACACAAATTAAAACAAATGACCCCAAACAACAACTATGCCAAAGGGAAACAGGCATGAACGAAAGAGCTCTCAAAGGCCAAAGCTACAAAAGAAATAAAGTGGTATCCGATCATAATTGAAGTATAAATATCCATGGGAGTCCATATTGATGTAAATAAATAATGAAAGAATAAACAAAGAGGGTAGAACAGACAAAATTTCCAATGAGAACAACTCCAAATGATCTATGTAGCTTCTCCACCTTCAAGTATAACTCATCCTTCAGCCTGGCCTACTACACACAGTGACTTCCAAAAATTACAGTATGGTGAAGGGGTAGAAAGAGTAATTTTAGTAATTTTACAGTGGAGACACCTGTCAAACACCCCTCAGCCTGGCCATTGAGGTCAACATGTACCATGCTAAGACACGCTAATGGCACGTAGCGTTGATATGAAGCCAGGAGAAGGGCACTTAACCTCTGTGACCTTTCCCTCCAGAACACATAACTCCAGTTTAATCATGAGAAGAAATCAGACAAATTTCAACTGAGGGACCATCTACAGCATATCCAGCCAGCTTTCCTCCACACTGTCAAGGTCATCCCAATGAGGGATGTCTGAGAAACCGCTGCAGCCGAGAGGAGCCTCCAGAGACATAGGAACTAAATGTGATGTGGCCCACCTGGGACAGAAAAAGGACATTCAGTCACCACTAAGGAAATCCGAATAAGCTATGGACTTTAGTTAATAATAATGGGTCAAGGACGCTGGTTCATGAGCTGTAACAAATGCACCATCCTATTGGGAAATGTTAATAATAGAGGAGTGGATGTGGGGCATATGGAAACCATACAATCTGCCCAATTTTTCTGTGACTCTAAAGCTGTTCTAAAATTTTAAAAAAATGAATAAATGAAAAAAACCCCGCTCCAATGGAAGTCCTAATAGTTCCTTCACATAAGGCAGTGAAGTGCCCCACACACCTTGTGGTATGTGTACAACAGCATGAAAGCCTCTTCTTCAAGCAGTTAAGAAAACTAGCTGTTTTGGGGCTGGGTGCAGTCGCTCACACCTGTAATCCCAGCACATTGGGAGGCCAAGGCAGGAGGACCACTTGAGCCAGACCAGTCTGGGCAACGTAGTGAGACAGACATTGACCAGATAGTATAATTTTTAATACAAAAAAAAAATTAAAAAATGCCAAACGTGGTGGCACGTGTCTATGGTCCCAGCTATTCAGGAGGCTGAGGTGGGAGGATCCCTTGAGCCCTGGAAGTTAAGGCTACAGTGAGGTGTGATCACCCTACTGCACTCCAGCCTGGGCGGCAGTGTGAGGCCTTGTCTCAACAAAGAAAGAAAAAAGAAAAAGAAAAAGAAAATGAATTGTTCTCAGGAACGTTCAGATGAGGTTTTAGAAGACCTAGCCTTGGGTTCCTCACAGCGAGAATGAATCTTCTCACTGTCCTCGCTGGGTCGACTCAGCACCCTGCCTTCTGAGTTTATCCGCAGGCCAGCACAGGTCGCTTCAGGGACTAAAGGGTTAAAGACTCTAGTACGATATAAAGAAAAGTATCACTTTCTTTTTGTACAGATGAAGAACCTGAGAGTCAGTGTATAAATTACTTTCCCAAGACCTCTGTAATGAAATGCCACAAACTAGTGGCTTAAAACCAAAGACATTTGCTCTCTCACAATTCTGGAGGCTGGAAGTCTGAGGTCCAGGTGTCTGCAGAGCCGTCCTCCTTCTAAGCCTGTAGGGAGACTCTCCTTTGCTTCTTCCTGCTCTGGGGCTGCCGGTAATCATTGGAGTTCCTTAGCTGGCAGCCTCCCGGCTCCGTTCCCTCCCTCCGCAATCACAGCCCATCTTTCTTCCCCCGTGTCTGTCTTTATGTAGCATTTTCCCCTATGTGTCTCTTTCCCTCTTCTCAGAAGGAGACCAGTCGGATTGGATTGGGGCCTGCCTAGTTAAATTTGTCTTAAGATGATGACATCTGCAAAGACCCTATTTCCAAATGAGGCCACATTCACAGATACTGGGGTACAGGACTTCAACATACTCTTTGGGAAGACACAGTTCAACCCACAACAGAAGGAGGCCCTCCCTCTGAGGCTGCTGGTCAGAAGACAGTGGGTGGGAGAGAGCCATAGTTGTCAGAGTGTGCTGAGCTTTTCTGACTCTGTTCTCCGTGACCCTACACCAGGCGCACTGGCTGTGGTCTGGCATTCATGGAGAATGTGGCACTGGGTGTCCAGCCGCCCACTGCTTATGTCATCTTATCAATATCATCAGAGGAAATGTTAAGGGGGAAAAAAAAGTACCCAAACTAAAACATCTGATTTCATGTTTCCATTTACAATCCAGTATGTTTTCCTAATCAGAAGAAACCTAAACCTAAATGTGTACATTTTTAAATACATTCTAGTTCAATTGGCTTGTCCAGTCTCCATAACTATAGATTTAATGGCTAAGCACTATTCCACTGTGTTGATTTACTATCCTCTGTTGGATATTAAGATTTTCAAATTTTTCACAATCGCAGATAATGTTGCAAGGAATAACCATGTAACAGAACGATTTCTTTAACTTTTTTAGGATGAACATGCAAGGTTGGAATTTTTAGGTCAAAGGACATAACAATTTTCAGTATTGTAGATATTACCATAGAATATTCCAGAAGGTTTGTCCAATTTACAATGTTGTGTACCATGGGGAAGTGAGTCATTTGGCACATTCTATCCAGCATCAGATGCTGCCACTTATTTGGTTAATTTAACAAAAACAAGCTAAAACCACATTGTTCAGGTTTTAAATTTTTTTAATACAATTCTATCACACTATCACAAGCGGAGAAGAGGTGGTTTTTGGCCGCTGTTAATGTTTGTTAACTAAATAAATGATGACAGGAATAAATGAATGGAGGTAGGCTTTGACCCCAGGCAGCTTACAGCGGGCATAGTGGGTACACTGTGCACAGAGAGGGGCTACACCCCGTGAAGATGCCAGATGCAGAAATAGCGAGTGTCTTTTGTGCACTCACTGTGAAGGAGGGTGCCTGTCAGCCCCATGAGGTCAGCTCCGTGGTTACCCCACTTTACAGGTAAAAACACTGAGCCCCAGGTCAAAGAGCTGGCTGGTGATGGAGCCAGTGCTTGATGGCAGAACTGGTGCCACCGTCACCCTGCACCTGCTTCTCTGACCACAGGAACTGACCTCTAATCTGGGAGCCAGAATGATCCCCATGGTAACTGCAAGGACGCACTGCCCGCAGGTGTCTATAAACCCATGTTATTCACGAGGCAGGCCTCCTCTCTGGGGGATCCCTGGAGTTCTCTCTCCACCTGGGGTCCTCCTCTGACTGGTGGTGAGCCCTGGAACAGCTGAGAGTTCCTTGGGTGAGGAGTGGCCAAGAGTAGAGGAGGTTTTCTCATTAATCGGCCTGGAGAGTTGTTGCCCACAGTGAAGCGTGGATAATTGCCATTTTTAATGGGGTTGATTTAGCAGCAACAATTTTGCAATTTTCTCTTTTCCCTGGGGCTGTCACCTGGGCCCCTGCACACCTGGGAAAGATGGTGGGCTGCTGGGGTTGGTCTAGCTACCCCTTGGGGCTCAGCCAGCTTCAGGGCAGGGCACGTGCTCCTCAGACCACCTGGGGACCTAATTAGCCCCCAGCAGCCGGGCCCTAAGTGTTGTGAAGGGCAACTGAAGTCGGCTCTCTCCCAGGAAGCCAGGTTCTCCTTCTCCACAACGTGGCAATTCCTCACTACCATGGCCTGTGCGCACCGTCCTAGCTCTGCGGGGAAGGGTAAGGCCGAGCCAGAGGGTCCCGGTGTGCTCTCTGGGGGAAGCGCTTAGCGGATGTTGCCTGTGTCCTTGCATGGCCTCGGGAGGCTTTGGGAGGCAGGGAGCAGCACGGTGGGCTGAGCTGCTGGGACCCGCTGGATGCCTCTCCACTTTACATATAAAATATTTTAATAATCATTTCAGTGTTAAAGAAAGGGTTACTCAGTGAGAATGGAGGATTGAAGCCACACAGGACGCTGTGTGAGGATTCAGTGGACTGTTCCGGAATGGTGTCTGAGTGAGTGGGAGGAGCCTTCTTTGCTGCAGGGAAGGGAGCTGCCCACCCACCATGTCCTTGAGGTTAGGGTAAAGTGGCCAAGTGGGGCATTGTTCCTCCCCAGGCCCAGATGAAGGTGTGGGCTCCTCCTCTCTTGGTGACACTCAGGCTCAGCCAGTGCACAGCCGCTTCCCCGTCCTCCTTCTTCTTCAGGACGCCACCCAGTGCCCCTGGGGGCCCAGGTCTGCAGGTCTATGCCAAGCCATGCCTGCCCTCCTGGTGCCTCCAGGGTACCTGCACCTTCTGTGGCTCCAGTGGGGGCCTTCCCATGGCCCTAAGGAGCTTGGAGTGTCCAGGACCTCTGCTGCAAACAACTGCCTTAGGCCTCCCAGGCCTCACCTGGGGGTCACTGATGCAAAAGGTGGCTCCCCCTTCCTGTGGTCCCTCTATAGCCTCAGGCAGCTTCTGAGGACACTTGATGGATCCATGAGGGCTCTTCAGGCCTTCAGAAAGAAATTCAGGCTGGATGCAGCCATGGCTGTGCACTGGGAGATGGTGGCTTTCCAATTGCACCCTGTTCCGACAGGTGCCAAGTGGACTGTGCTAGGAATGCATTCACCTGAGTGCTATCCACTGATCCAAAGAGAATTTTACATTATCTGATGGGACAAAAAGAAGAGCCTCAGACTGGAGCCACACTTGCTGCCAGTCCAGGACCCACCTTCATGCAGTGGAGTAGCTCCAGGTAGGGGTGTCAGAGCAGGTGAGGACGACTGAGCCAGCTGAGGGTGTGCTGACCAAGGTAACCTGCATGGCTCCATGCTCTGGACTGTCCACTGCGCTCTACTGGGTGTCCACTCTGTAGGCCTCACAGGGCTTCCCTCCAACTGGACTGTGCCCTTCCACTGGGGCCATGTTGTTCCAACTGGACTGTGTCTCTCTGACTGGGCTGTGTGTCCCTCCAATGATGCTGTGTCCCTGTAGCCTCTGAGGAAAGAGCGGGGCAGAGGGCTTCTCCTGTGCTCTGGCCTCTGGGAGCTCCTGCTCCGCAGAGGAGCCTCATTGCACTGAGCTTCTTTGCCTTCACCCTGGCAGCCATATGGGGCTCTGCAGGGACGAGCCGCGTTCTTTTTATCTGCAGTACTACTGGAAAGCTAGGACCCTTGTTTAGGTCGGAGCAGACAAGCACTCCCCCTGCCCCTGGGGCTTGTCTTTTATATTACAACAGCTCCATTTGTATTTCACAGATATCCACATCCTTGCACCCAAGGCAATCTGTGGAAAGCATTTGATGGGAGGAGGCTGAGAGTCCTCTTCAGTTTGACGCTGTGGGTGTTGAACTGCTCGGCTGAAGAACTGGTAGCCTGGAGCCCTCCTGGTCCTCCTGCTGAAGTGCTCTTTCTACAGTGGGGTGTGGCAGCAAGGTGGGCTCTGCTGCCCAGCACGACCCTGGTACAGCAGCCTGGTTATCAGCCCATTCAGCAGTCCTGCTCACAGCCTGGAGAGGAGACTTCCCACGGGCCTTCTCCTACTGGATCCACAGTCCGCGTCGGGAGGGTGGGGGGCGGGGGCGGGGGCGGGTGGGAGCATGAAGCTTGGTCCTTGGGGGCACAGATCAGATGCCAGGCGTTGAGTCCTAGCCTTGAGTTCTTGAGAAGCCATCGGTCACTTTGCCTGGGAGGAAACCCATCAGGAAGCCTGGAGGCCTCACAAGGCAAGTCGAGTCTGGAACCCTCCACAGCCGTGGTCAGGTGACACTTTCCTCTGCCAAGGAAGAAAAGAGAGCTGTGTCTTTGCAGGCAGATGGCAAAACCTCAGGGTGGATGGCTCCATCAAGTCAGTGGTCCCTTCAGACCTTCCTCCTGGGCCGTGCACACTGCAGACAGCCCGCCCCTCATCCCAGGGCCTTGCTGTGAGGCTGTGAGGGGAGTAGCCATACGCTGTCACCCATTCTGTGTCTACATTTTCAAAAGGACATGTTGACTGTAATTCTGAAAACGTACTCTGCTGGCTTGCAGGTGTCCCTGCTCTTGTCCTCTGCTATAGGACAGCCAGGGTCTGTTCTGGTGAAATCAGAGACAAGCCGTGAGAACATAGGTGAACCACCTGAGACTCTCTCCATGCTCTTGTGTTTGCATTGGCAAGAGCTTGTGTGTCTTGAAGGTCTGACTTTTGGATTCCGTCAGAGCTTCTCATGACTGGGTCGTACTCCTTCCCTTTTTAGTGCAAGCTCCCTCATCCTTTGCATCTTGTCACCTGGTCTCTGGAGTAGAAGATGGCACAGTTGTCCTGTGCTGGTTAATGCTACAATGTGGAGGTGATGGCAGGTGACGTGGTCCAGAGGCCTGGAAGGCAAAACAAGAGACCCATTTATTCTGAATCCAGTGTGGTAAGAATCCTCTGAATCCCACGGACCCAGTGAGACCTTGTACAACCCTCCTTGCACCCACTGGAAGCGTGTCATCTTCTCTTAAAGACTATATAAACCACCCATAATCGAATCCAATTAAGAGGAGATAGTCTAGCTTTAAACAAATGGTGAACCAACAGAGCATCCTCTGGTGAGCTACAAATTTTATGCCTTGGCACTTTCAGATGTTGTCAGGCCAAGCACATACCCAACTTGGAGCCAAATACACTAATGCTGAGAATTAGTTTCAAAGCACATGAGAGACTGGGAAAAAGAGAATGATATTTAGGACTTAATAGTTTAAAGGCCCAGTTCACTCTATAGGAATATGAGCAGACATATCCTACTGGCAATGGTACCGATTACCTTTTCATTTCATAATTAAAACATTCCAGGAGTTTGAATTTACAGGACATTAACTCCTTTTTAGCAAACCTTATACCATGCACCCTTCCTTTGCCCCAGTTAAGAAAAAATGTCTCCATGGAGACAGTCAATGTTTTTAATAAAAAGTTGATAATCCATTTTTCCCATATGTTAAAAGTAAAACTCAAGTTAGAACTTATGATTCCATGATTCTATGTGTTCCATGTGGAGTTTTTCCTTTCTTGCAGTCTGAGCCAGAGAAGTAAAGACGATTTACAAAATATAGGGAAATGGAATCATACTGGCCTGTTTGAAGCGACACTTCACAGTATGAGCACGCTGAAAGATGTCTCTGGTATCCAGGGAGCAAACAAGATGAGTCGTTGGACCATGGGTTGGTGTTCCAGGCATGGAGCAAATAGAGCTGGTGTGTGGGGCCCAATATGACCTCCACTTCATTGAAAAATGTCAATTGTGGTGTAAACCATATGCATTTCTATGTTCTTCAATGAGGAAACAGTTAAACAAACTGTGGTACATCCAGGCCAGGGAATAATACTCTGTAATGAAAAAGGAATAAATCATTGATACAGCTGCTCGTATGTATCTCCAGAGAATTTTGTTGAGTGGACTAAAATGCCAGTCTCAAAAGGTTATGTACTGTATGACTCCACTTATATATTAACAACATTCTTGAAATGACAGAATTACAGAAATGAAGAACAGACTAGTGGCTGGCCATGAGTGAGAGAGGGGAGCTGGCAGGGCAGCCCTGGGAGGGAGGTTAAAAAGGGCCACATGAGGTCTCTCTGTGGTGACTGTGGTGGTGAACATAGGAATCTACTCACGTGATAAAATTGTATAGAACTAAATACACTGACGTGCAACTAATGAGTACTAGCAAAAACTGGGGAAATATCAGTAACATTGGTGGGTTATGTTCATGGCAGTTTCCTGGTTGTAATACTGTTTTGTAAGACATGATAGTTTTGTAAGATGTTGCCAGTGGGGGAAACTGAGTAAAGGATACCTGAGATTTTATGATTTCTTACAACTGTGTATGAATCTTTGATGATCTCAAACACACACACACATATGTGTGTGTGTGTGTGTGTGTGTGTGTGTGTATATATATATATATATATATATATATATATATATATATATATTTCATTTTATTTTTTTTTTCTGAGACAGTGTCTTACTCTGTCAGCCAGGCTGGATGGAGTGCAGCGGTGCGATCTTGGCTCACTGCAAGCTCCCAGGTTCAACTGATTCTCCCACCTCAGCCTCTGAAGTAGCTGGGACTACAGGCATGCGCTACCATGACCGGCTAATTTTTGTATTTTTTGCGGAGATGGGATTTTGCCATGTTGCCCAGGCTGGTTTCGATTCCTGGGCTCAGGCAATCCTCCTGCCTTGGCCTCTCAAAGTGCTGGTATTACAGGTGTGAGCCACTGAGCCTGGCTAAAAAAAAAAAAAAAACAAGAGAAAACATGTGCAGATGGTCTCAGAATTCACTTGTATACATGTCCTTCACATCCGGACATTACTGTAACATGTTGCTCTTTTTCACGTGTCCATACGCTGCTTTCCCACGACCATCTGAGTCACTGGACATTGAGTCATTTCTTATCTCGACGCAGGCAGTTCAGTCTGGGGGGCAGTCAAGGTGGGCTTCCTGTCATCCCCCAGAGGGTTCGAGGGGAGCCCTGAGCTGGGCAGATGGAATAGAATGGATCTGGAAGTCTGGCAGGAGGCCTCGGAGTGGGATAGGGTAGGCAGGCTTCCTCTTGCCTGGACACAGGACAGCCTGGAGCCCCCTGGAGCCCCCTGGGGTTGATTTCAATCAACCAAGAGGTGTGTGTTGTGGCAGAAGGAACTGGACTCAGGGTTCCAGAGAATCAGGCCCTCCTTGTGTGCTGCCTGGGAGACCCTGAGTGTGGCCCTGAAGGTCTCTGCTCAGAGCCTCCTTTTCCTCACTGAAATGAGAGTAACAGTAAGTTGAATTCAAGGGTGTCTCATGAGGCTCACGTAAGATGCCATAAGTGAATGTCCTTGAACGTCTCTACAGCCTTGCCTATTTTTATCCCTTGAGGCCCCAGGGCGCAGTCAGCACTGCAAAGTCAGGGCTGCCGAGGTTGAGGGAAAGGGTAAAGCTGTGCGTGTGCAGAGCATGCCCCCGCACCTCCAGGCACTGTGCCCAGCATCATCATTTGGGCTTCTATAGAGGAGGCATTGAGGGTGGTCCCGGGTCTGTGTTCAGGGAGCTGTGTGGGTGGTCATTCCTTGTCCTGAGAGAGGACACTGCTGATGTGCAGGGAGAAGGTGTGGAGGCATAAGGTTGCTGTGTCCGTGGGCAGACCTGTGGTACCCAGCAGGCAGACCTGTGGTACCCAGCGGGCAGGAGGTGTTCCTACCTGGGGTTTGGGAGGAGATGGGAGTGAATATGAATCTAGGAGTCAACGGGAGGCAGATGCTTGGGGTAGCCTCGAGCCCGGATGGGGTCACCCAGATGCTGGGGATCCCAGGGATCATGCAGAGAGAAGGTTAGCACCAGGGCTGGGAACTTGGGAAGCCCTGGGGTGTGGTCCACCTTGCTGCAGTCAGGTGACAGGTGTTGGCAGCTGAGGACTATGGGTCAGGAGACAGCCTGTTTGAAGCAACACTTCATAGTATGAGCATGCTAAAAGATGACTCTGGTATCCAGGGAGCAAACAAGATGAGTCGTTGGACCATGGGTTGGTGTTCCAGGCATGGAGCACATAGAGCTGGTGTGTGGGGCCCAATATGACCTCCACTTCATTGAAAAATGTCAATTGTGGTGTCAAAGCTACTGCTCCCATGTCTGGAGCCCAGATGGGGAGCTGGCATCCCAAGACCCAAACCCAGTTCTGCTGTGTGTTCTGTGGTTTTAGGAAGACAAGCACCCCCTTATTCTCAGCCTCCTTTTCCTGATTATTAAGATGAAGGGGTGGTTGAATCAAGGATTTGCTAGTTGGCCTGCAGGGTCCTTAGGGGGCCCACAGACCCTGCCATGGGCCACAGGAGGTGGGGTGGGGCCCATCCCGGGCTTTATGTTGCTTTGGGTATGTGTACATACCTGTGTGTGTGTGTGTACCTGTGTTAGAATACCTGTACGTATGCATGTGTGTGTGTACCTATGTGAGTGTACCTTAATGTGTGTGTGTACCTGTGTGAGTGTACCTGCATGCACGCATGTGTGTGTGTACCTGTGTGATTGTACCTGTATGCATGTGTGTGTGTACCTGTATGAGTGTACCTGTATGCATGCATGTGCATGTGTGTGTGACTATACCTTCCTGCATGCATGTGTGTACCTGTGTGTGTACCTGTATGCATGCATGTGTGTGTATAACTGTGTGTGTCCCTGTGTGTATATGTGTGTGTACCTGTGTGAGTGTACTTGTATGCATGCATGTGTATCTGTGTGAGTGTACCTTTATGCATGCATGTGTGTGTGTTCCTGTGTGAGTGTACCTTTATGCATGTGTGTGTGTGTGTACCTGTGTAAGTGTACCTACCTTTATGCATGCATGTGTGTGTACCTGTGTGAGTGTGCCTTTATGGATGCATGTGTGTACCTGTGTGAGTGTACCTTTATGCATGCATGTGTGTGTGTTCCTGTGTGAGTGTACCTTTATGCATGTGTGTGTGTGAGTGTACCTGTATGCATGCCTGTGTCTGTGTGTACCTGTGTGCGTGTACCTGTATGCATGCATGCACATGTGTGTGCTTGCGCATATGTTTCATTTGATGAGTCTCTCTTTATATAAGACTTTGAGCAAAGGGATTGCATGTGTCAATAAATTGGAAAATAAACAGGGTAAATCTATAAAATTTGAGGGCCCTTTTTACTCAAATATCCTGCAAAGACATCGTTAAAAAGGAGAGATGAGTTGCGAGGGGCAAACGCTCTCTCTAAATTGTGTAAATCTTTTCTACTGCTGACAAGGAGACATAGAGCTGTGCCTCCAGCCCAGCCCTCCTCTCTACCCACTTCCCTTTCTCAGCAAATGTGTCTTGTTCTTTTCACCATGAGATTTTTGCCTGGGACAGCTTAAATCAAAGAAGAAATTCCAACAGATGTAAATTAGGGAGAATGTATAGTGAGTGTTACCCATGACTACATCTGTTTGCAAGGTTTAGAATTTGCTGGGAACCTCCACTTTTTTTTAATAGCTGCCCACCTGAAAAGAATTTTTGCGATGACAAATGGAGCACATGTCAGCTCCTGGGGCAGAGTGAAGGGAACGCAGGCAGGTGCTGCATCCAGGCCCTTCCTGCCTTCCTGCTCTGTCTCTACAGGCTGTGTGCAGTGCTAAAGCTCATCAGCAACTGAAGAGGCTCATTTGTAGAACAGACATATTTGGGTCAGCCATGTGCGTGTCTGCATAGAAACGCTCTTTCTGCAGAACAGCCCCCGCTTGGAACTGGAAGGCTGAGCCCATGCTGGGAGTGGTTGGAAGAGAGCAGCGTGACTTGAGCAGTCTACTAGGGAGGAGGTGAGGCCAGCTTCTTCCCAGTGAGAAGCTTGGAGGCCCCTGCCATTATCCAGGGGATATTTCTACCAGTCCTGAGACTCACAGATTGACAGAGATTTGACTCTGAATTGACTATTTTTAATTTTTGTTGTTTTGTTGTTTTATTTTTTTATATTGTTTTATTTTATTTTGTTGTTTATTTTTGAAGCACTTTGCTTTTTTTTTTTTTTTTTTTTTTTTTTTTGAGACAGGGTCTCACTCTGTTGCCCAGGCTGGAGTGCAATGGCATGATCATGGCTCACTACAACCTCAACCTCCTGGGCTCAAGAGATCCTCCTACCTCAGCCTCTTGAGTAGTTGGGACTTACAAGCACAGGCCCCCACACCTGGCTAATTTTGTTTTTTTTTTTTTTTTGTAGAGATGGGGTCTCCCAATGTTGCCCATGCTGGACTCAAACGATCCTCCTGCCTCGGCCTCCCAAAGTGTTGCTAGGATTTCAGATGCGAGCCGCTGTGCCTAGCCACTTCTCCTTTTTGTAGGGTTTTCATTTTTAATTCAAAGTAGCCTTGCCTTGCCTGCCCAGTGTGGGCATCCAATGAATGTTTGTACACTCATTGGAAGGACAGATGAATGGAATTGTGAAAACATCTGCCTTCTCAATGCAGGGAATATCCTGCAGCTGCCATCCTGGACAGATGCGCCGCACTGGGTATTCTGTTCTCCACTGTAGTGACAGCAGTTTAGCCTCTAAGAGCTTGGTGTTGGGAGCAAGGATGTCTTCCACACCCTTGCATCCTGCTTCCTATAGGGTCCTAGGGCAGGCCTTAAGCTCTCCCCACATCTTGGTCTCACCAACTTAAAATTACCTTCCCTGTAGGCTCGCTCTGAGAAGTCAATGGGCTGCTTCTTATGAAACACCATGCCTGGCTCCCAGGGGATGCTGGACACATATTCACAGAAAGTGGTGACTCTCACTGTCACTGTGCATTCTTTAGAAGGTCACTTTACTTCTTTGATGAATATCTTTCCTAGTGCTACCCAGGGTCAAGAATTTCTGTTTTTGTGTTTTTTTTTTTTTTCTTCAGAGTCTTGCTCTGTCACCCAGGCTTAAGTGCAGTGGTATGATCTCAGCTCACTGCAACCTCTGTCTCCCAGGCTCAGGCTATCCTCCCACCTCAGCCTCCTGACTAGCTGGACCCACAAGTGCACACCACCATGCCTGGCTAATTTTTGTATTTTTAATAGAGATGGAGTTTCTCTATGTTGGACAGGCTGGTCTCAAACTTTGACATCAGGTGATCTGCCTGCCTCAGCCTCCGAAAGTGCTGGAATTACAGGCGTGAGCCACGGCGCCTGGTCTTCTGCTTGTTTTGAAAACCTTTGAGCAACCAGTGCCTGAAAAGAAGTCCCCTGTAACCTGGGCTAGAACAGTTATCTAGTGGTTTGTAATAATTAGTCATAGCCATCCTAGGGGTTGATTAGCTGGAGTCAACTGAGCATTTTGTACTTCTTTGCCGTAAGGCTTTTCAGAGGTAATTCCACCCATCATTAGAAAGGCGAATTTGGCCTTTCACCAAGAACCTCTGCCAAAGCCATCTTTCCCATCAGGAGATTTTGAGTGAGGCTGCACTGCTGTCTCCTGGGGGGCGCGAAAAGAAATCCCTTTGTGGGTCTCAACTTAGGGTGAAGACTTGCTAAAGTGTGTGTGTGTGTGTGTGTGTCTCTGTGTGTGTGTGTGTGTGACAGAGAGAGATATAAAGAGACAGAGACAAAAAGACAGAGAAAGAGAGGGAGAGACAGAGAAAGACAGAGAGATATGAAGAGACAGAGACAGAAAGAAATAGAAAGACAGAAAGAGACAAAGATATAGAGACAGGCCGGACACAGTGGCTCAGGCCTGTAATCTCAGCACTTTCAGAGGCCGAGGTGGGCAGATTGGCTAATGTCAGGAGTTTGAGACCAGCCTGGCCAACATGGTGAAACCCATCTCTACTAAAAATACAAAAATTAGCTAGTGGCAGGCACCCCTAGTCCCAGCTACTTGGGAGGGTTAGGCAGGAGAATCGCTTGAGCCTGAGAGGTGGAGGTTGCAGTGAGCCCAGACCACACCAATGCACTCCAGCCTGTGCAACAGAGCGAGACTCTGTCTCAAAGAGACACAGACAGAGACAGAGAGATATGGAGAGATAGAGAGACAGAGAGACAGAGACAGAAATGGGGAGATGGAGAGACAGAGAAATAAAGAGACAGATAGACATTGATAGATTTCTGATCCTTCAGTCCTCATAGTAACCAAGGCAAGAGTGTGGTTTTGTTCTGTTTGGAAACTCAATGATGTTGTATTCTGGAAACCTCCCCATGGTGGGCATTTGAGGCCCTTGTGGAGAAGAGGAAAAGTGTCCTCAGGGCTAGCCCCTGGCTCACTGGAGACCGTCCTTCAACCCAGGAGACTGTAGCTCTTTCACTTTAACACACAGCAGACTTTTCTTCTGATGCCTGAGTCTGTGTCTTGAAGACAATAATTGCTGAATTGAAATTTGAGACTGTTATCTTAATAACCAATTACTCAAATAACTTTGAAATTGGCTTAAATTGGCTCGTCATGCTACATTTACCTGAATCTTTTTATGGGAAAGTTAGGAACAAGAAAAAAAAATTCTTGGCAGTCTGATTTGTTTGGTATTGCTGAAGGGCCTTGCTTACAACAAGCAGGTGGCTCTGGGTCCCCTCGGCGCAGACCCTGCCTCCTGTGTTGGAAGGAGTCGTGGGGTCAGTTCTGCTCAGCTCTGTCCACAGAACGCCACAACCTGCATGCTTCTGGGAGCCCTTACTAAAATAAAGCGTGGCGTGAGCTGTGTTCACCAGCAAGTATTTCTGTGTGTAGTGCTCATCAAATAAAATTTCCTCTTCTTTGCAAAAGATTCCAGTCTCACTGATGTTTTTTCCTTTTGGAAAGTAACAGATGAGGTCATGTAGCTTTAATTTTTCTCTCTTCCAACAGTTATGAAAACTTAAAGATGAGAGTCACAAGCTTTAAACTGAAAGAATCCACTATTTATTAGTGGTTTGAACAGAGGAGGGCGAGTAGCTGGGAGTGGTGTACTTGGATTTTATACCTGGCTATAAACCCAGTAATAGAATATTACATCTTTTTCTCAAATAGAGTCTTATATCCCCTCATTTTTCTCATAGTCTAAAACTAAAGTCAAGGGAGTTCTTAGCACTTGTCATGGTCATATTACCTTTTACTTTGCACTGTTCAAAAATGTTGTTTTTGCAAACACTTTACTGATTGCGTGAAGACCTGATTTACTTTATTTTAGAAACAAGAGTAAGATGCTGAGGTCCTTACTGAGTAGCTCTCATTCTGTGATGAGAAAAGGCAGCGTGAGAAGGAGAACAGAACAGGCACAAACCGTCAGAGCATCCCTGAGGACCCAACCCATCGCACAGCCTTGACTCTCTTCTCCTCTTGTTTCTCTCTCATGCCTGGAGCCTTGCAGGCTGCGTGGAAATTGAGAGTCCTCTGTCACGGGTATGCGTGGCCTTATCTGGCTCCAAGGAAGGCCACTTTTGTTTCCAAGTTGCCATTCCATTCAGAAGGGTGTTTAAACTTAGCATGTGCTCCCACTGACCAAAGAGAGGCTGGAAATCGCATCACTAAAGTCGTATCATATATGTGCTTCTATTTTAAGGCATTGGAGGAAACACAGGAGAAGAATGAAGATAATTTCCAGGTTGGATATGGATCCCCAACCACAGTAAAATGAATGACTCTTTCCAGACACACAACTGTGCTCCGGGGAGGGAGCTGTCCGACCTGTGGGGAGTGTCAGGTAGCTGAGAGTCAGGTCAGGATTGCACTGTCACCCCATGAGCCACTGGATGTGCCAGGGGCTCCTGGGCCCCAGCATCCTCATACGCAACATGAGGTGCGTTAGGTGAGGATCATTGAACTTGCTTCCCCAGTGAGAATTGTGGAGACACAAGCTGGGAGGTGGTGGGGGGTGCTAGTGGGAAGAGCAGTGACCCCAGAAACAGAAGTCCTGTCCCTGTGGGACCTTGGCCAGGCACCTGGCTGTTGTGAGTTTCAGTTTCTTATCTACCGAGCAAAGAAAGATGATGTTTCCCGCCTCCCCTCAAGTGTTTGGGAGGGTGAAATGAGAAAAGGGATGCAATGGAGTTTGAACATTGTGAAGTACTATATATGAATATGAAATATTAGAGCTTTCATGACCCAACAAGATTTTCAACCTCATAATTTACCTCAAACTCCAGGAGGAAATCACCTTGTCATAAAAACATCTTGGAATGGCAATCCTTTATGCCTCTACACCGGGAGAAAATGCAGAGAGGTTTCCAAAAGAAAGGGATTATAAAACTGTAAAAGAATCTAAGTTCAAAAGCCCTTGAAAACTGCTGGACTGAGCCTTAATAATTCAAACAATTCAGCCAAAGTTTTTCTTTCTTGTGTAATAAAACATGTGTTTTGGACAAACCGGATAATGTGTCATAGAAAACCCAGGCAGGATCCAGAACCCATGGATTCTGAGTCTTCTCCCACTCTCAAGAGTCCTGATGGATGCCCTACTGCCTGGGTTTCCCGGATGGTGACCAGATCTGATGAGCTTGAGACTTTCCCTGGCCTTTCCTTGATTCCACATCTCCCCTTCCTTTCAGCCCCTTACCAACCACTTCCATCTTTCCCCCTTCTTCCTCTTCTCTAGCCAAAGTCAGGGTTGTCCCGTGACCTCATCCTGAAGGGGCATTTCTCCTCTCTGCAGCCTGTTTCTCCCTGCTCAGAGCCTGGGTTGCAGGCCTCAGCCATGTGGAGAGACATCTCTGGGTGGCCTAGTAGGGTCAAGGACTGAGGAGGAACAGAACTCAGGGCTCTGGAGATGGGGGAGGAAGGGGAGAAGCATGCTGGGAAAGTATTTCTGGCTTTCTCTAGATGATTCTAATGATGTTGGCAATGCCACAGTGGCTTCAGATTTGCAAGAACACATATTTTTTTTTTCCTGGAAACTGTTTAATATAAAAAACACATTTCCAATTCTATCTGTAATTCAAAAGAAAAACCTAAGACTCCAGGCCATTGAGGATAGGTCCAAAGCATTTAGGCAAACACAGTTTTTAGTATAACAATATTGTAATTTTTGTTTCTATCCACAGAACAGCAATGATATTGAAACATACTCATATTTATTTAAGTTTCAGATCGTTTGCAGTTTTTGCTTTAGATTTAACTAGGGAAAGTTGATCAAGTGGAATAAAAGCCGCAGACATCGTTTGAGGGAACCCTGAGTGGCTGTTATAAAATTCATCCAGGAAGTGATATTCTATCAGGAGGAGTTCAGTACAAGAGCAAACATTCGGGGCTGAGTAATATTTGATAGCTGGGAATAGTTAAGCAACTTTATCTGGCCTCAGAGATGGAGTTGGCACTGCCGGTCCTCAAGCAGTAGAGTGGGCCTCAGAAATCCCAGGGCCAGCTGTGGCTTCCTGGACCCTAGAGTCCTACAGGCTGGCTTAAAGATGGCCCAAACCAGAGAGGCAAGACCTGAGGCTGGATGGTGCAGGGGTGCTGGGGACACACAGCCTCTCAGCGCCTCTCACTGTGTGTCCTGTAGATCCTGTGATGCTTAGTCTTATGGGTCAACTTGACTGCATTAAGGAATAGCTAAAGAACTGGCAAAGCATGATTTTGGGGTATGTCTGTGAGGGTGTTTCCAGAGGAGATTGGCATTTAAGACAGGGTGAGCAGGCACCTTCCAATTGGCTGACTGCCCAGACAGAACAAAAAGAGAGAGGCAAAATTTCCTGCTCCCCACCCGCTTCTCTCAGAGCTGAGACACACTCTCCTGGCTTTGGATACCAGGACTTACACATCTGGACTCCAGGACTTACACCTTCTCTCAGAGCTGAGACATTCTCTCCTGCCTTTGGACTCCAGGACTTACACCTTCTCTCAGAGCTGAGACATTCTCTCCTGCCTTTGGACTCCAGGACTCAACACCAGTGGCCTCTCAGGTTCTCAGGCCTGTGATCTCAGTCTGAGAGTTACACCATGGACTTCCCTGAGGTTTTAGGATTTGGACTGAGCCGTGCTACATACATCTGCAGTCTGCAAAGTGCCTGTTGTGGGACTTCTCAGCCTCTGTAATTGCACAAACCAATTCTCCTCTTAAAACCTATCTCATATAGACATATGAGATACACACATGCATATATTCGTGTACACATGTGTATGTATATATACGCATATATATAGATATGAATGTGTGTACCCTGTCTCTCTGGAGAACACTAATACAGTTTTCCCAGTGGTTACAAAATTGTGGTTTCTGAAGAAAGAAGCAATCAATCACACTACTTTATTTGTGTCCATTTCACAAACATGAACTGTTAGAATAGTTAGGACTTCATGGTAATCCCTTTGCATTCTTGGAGTTTGCACAGCGCTGCAAGGATACAGTCCGTCTTGGTAACATTCACTTCATGTAGTTTGTTTTCTCCCCCATAACTTCAGGTTAGAAGTTAGCATTTATGTTAATTAGGCCGGCATGTGTGTTGTAGTACTGTGTGGAAGTAAAACCATTTTTAAAAAGTGAATCAACAGGTGTTTCACTGAAGTCTAAAACTAAACCTAAAACTAAAACCTGAGGAAACAGCATAAAAGACGACGGTAAGGAGTGAAAATACAGAAAGAAGATCCAAGTGGGAATCTTGGGTAGCGATCACCACTGAAGAATACAATTGTCAGTGGCAGGCGTGCAGGAATCGTCCTCAAAACTGGAAGGCCTGGCCTGGAGGAAGTCGCCCTCCTGGGCTCTCTACTCCATGGCCAGTTAGGAAATGGCAAAGTGAGCACGGAGACGATTCTCATCAACACACAGCGGCCCCGCCGGTAAATACCTCGAGCTTTTCGAGGCCAAGTTCAAATTAGACAGAATATGAGAGCAAACAGTACAAAACTGATGATTTTATTGTTAAAGGAAGAGGAGAAATCAAAACCCGCCTTCAAAATCACACCCTGCATTTTGAAAGGAAAGGATCCCAGGTACACATTCTGCAGGAGCACTTGGATAAGCAGCCAGGAAGGTCATAACAGGAGAAGTAGAAGGGACTGTGGGCACTATTTGTCACCAATGGGGTGGCTGCCATGGTGTGGCACTGAAGGCAGCCTGGGTCGGGGAAGCTTCCGGGGCATGTGCAGGTGTGTGCACGTGCCTCTGCAGGTGTGTGTGCACTTGTGCTGCATCTCTGCTTTGCACGTGAACGAAACCATGGAGAGCAGGAATGCATGGTTCAATGCGCATGAGAAGTGTTCATGGCCTTCAGATAGTTGAACACTATCACAGCAAATCTAAGCTATGAGATGGGATACTTTTAATTTAGTTAATAATTATGTTGTGAACTGTGGTGAGGTTGAAAAGTCTATTTTTCTGGGAGATTTGTGGTCTTACTGCACCTGAGCAGCGCTGGGCTGCACCTGACACCAGTTCAGACCTGGGTCATTCACAGAGGCCCCTCAATCAGCCATATGCTACTGACCCCAGGACTGTGCACTGTGAATGTGCCCAGGGCGGAGGGTGCCCAGCACCCTTTCAGCAACGAGTGCATAAGGTGAAGCTTTAGCACAGGAAAATTCTCTGAAGAACAGGGGGAGAGGCTAAGGAACTACTTGGACATGGGAGGCATTAAAATACGTCTGCGCGCCTTGATGATGCTTGAAGTCTCTTTGAGCAGCTTACTCCAGGGGCATAGCTCAGCAAAATATTTGGTTTCTTGAATTGCCTGAACCTGGCATTTAAGGATGGAAATATGAGTCTGAATTTGCGAGCTCGAGTAGCAGTGATTTTTTTTAAAGATCAAACTGTGACCCAAACACATTAATCACTGGAGTTTACCTTTTGTAATACTTGATAATTTTATCACACACTGAAAAAAGAAATTGATTATGTGGTATTGGGAATCCTTCAGAACTTCAGCCAAATGCTGAAAAAGAGTATAAGAAAGTTTTTGTCAGATTCAAATGCAACCAAACAATGGATTAAGATGCTATTCAAGATTATCTCTCAAACTGAAAGATAATTCTGCCTCCCAGCTGTTGAGTCAAATACATACACCAAAAGTCACTGGCAGGCAGAGCAACTGTGGTCTTCGGCGAGAAATGTTTCCATTATTTTGGGGTCCACATTCAAACCAAATGTTCAGAGTCATAAAAAGTTTGATAGTTCCCAACAATATATGGTCCACAGTTAGAATTGTCTAACTTGGTAGTTCTAAAAAAAATAAGAAATGGACTGATTCAAGGCTGAAGCTCTATTGTGAGCTGCCCAGAAGTATCTTTCTAGGAGACTGTGAACAATAACATGACACTCACTGATCCAAAGTAACTCTTTTAACTGTTAATTTAAAAGAAGTTTGTGTTCAAATGAATGTATCAAAACTGGGATCTCAAAACAGAAAATGGTGAAGCAGAAAGAAACCGCAACTTGGCGCCTCTTGCAATATGTGGTTAAATGTAAATGAATGTGGGAAAGTTGTCTGGAGGCCCACAAGCTTCTGAGAACAGAAGGGACGCCGTGCAAAACAATTCCTTATAATAAACTCAAAATAAAGTAATAAGTCACCGCAGCAAACCTAGGAGTGCATGTGGGCCGTGGAGGGGGAAATAAAGCCATTCCCAGGGCCTCATCTGGGGAAAAGAGGGCAGGGAAAACAATTGAGAGTTAGCAGGCAGAAATGGAGGAATAGAGTATCTTTTGGGAGAAGGATTTAGACTCTGTTTTGACATCTTCTAATAGAAATATTTGTTCGATGATGGTTTCCAAAGAAGGGAAGCTTTCTCAGCCAGCGTCAGCAGGAGCCAAGGGGCACAGTCCAAGTGGGAACTTTGAGAAACATTTACCAAGAGACAAGCAGGGACCTTGCAGCATCCCAGGGATCAGCAACTCTGAGGCTGCTCCCCGGCCCAGGCCTGAAGGAGGAGGTGGCAGGGTTCGCCGGAAAAAGAGTCAGAAAGAGTCAGGAGAGCAGGGTCATCAGCCTGTGCAGGGGCCTTCCCGGCAGGAGCTGAGATCTTTCCTCAAAGTATTCAAATGGCGCTGGGAGCTGCAGGGGGGATGTGGTGGCCTCACACCCACTCTCCAGCTGGTGCTCCCCACTGCCGGAAGCCAACCAGTATTAAAGAAACAATTACTCAATGTCACTTGTTAAAGAACAGGAGACTCTCTTCAGGACCATCTCCATAGGTACAGGGACCAAGGCAATGGGATTTTGCAGTGACTGGGCTCAGCTCTGAATAGAGCATGGGCCAGTAAGCATCTATAGCCAAGGACAGGATGAGGGTCAGTGTACGGAAAATGACTAAAGAGGAGACATCAGGGCTACGGGAGATTCTGACTAGAGATTCAGATATCACCGAGAGTTATCAGATGCCTGTGGATTGGGGTTTCTTGACAAACTGACTTAGCAGTGTTCTTCCCAAAAACTAAATTGTACAAGGAATTACATGGATGGGCCTAGGAGAAGCTTCAAGAGCATGACTAAAGTTTGGCCAAGCAAAGAAATTTTGTCACCGAAGGCCTGGAACAAAGAAGCCTGATGAGGGGATCGACTTAGCTCAGGCCCTGGCCCAGCGTGGCTGATGGGAGTAGAGGCTGGGACGGGAGGTGCCCAAGAATGGAACCAAAATGCACAGTAAAATGCCCAACTAACAAGAGGGACAGGAGTGACTAGTAATTGATTAAACCAGCAAAAATAAAGGAAAAAGAAGAAAGAACAATGTTAAAAATGCAAGCAATACATTCAAGTAAATCGTGTTATGTAATATGCTAATGAAATGAACGCTTTCATTAAATTTAAGAAAACCCCATGTTTTTCAGAGGCAGCCAGAGGGAACCTCTCCCTGAACGCCTTTCTCCCACCCTAGGCCACGATCTTCTCAGGACTTGGTAGCTTTGCTTTTCCTCCGTGCCCCTTATGGTGTCCAGCCACGGAGGTTTCCATGCACATTTAAACTAAATGCCCCATCCTCATAGCTTTGGTCATGCAGGGGAGCCCCTAACCTTGGCTGTCACCACCGAAAACACTTGCACTCATGTGTTCCGTGGGTGCTGGCCTTGTTCCTAAGACAGCCGCCTTCCATTTTGGCCAATTCTACACCATTAGTGGGGAAACATAGTGAACAACCCAACCCCACAATTTGCTTGACTGTGAAGCTTTCCAAGAATTGGATGAATTATAACTCATGTGAAGAGAAACATAAAATCCTCTTTTTTTCCCCACTAATCCAGCTTTGCTCATCGCCACCTGCCTATTGATTGGTAGGGAAAAAAAAAAAACGTAGCTAAATAAGTCTGGCCTTCGGCTTATTCAGACCCGGTGATTGAAAGGATCTCTGTAGGTGGTTCTGGTTCTCTTGGAGAATGGTCCAGGTGTCCCCCACCTTTGCCTCTTCCTCCTTCCCAGGGGCCTGTAGATGGGGGTGGTAGGAAGACTGGGGCATCGGGCGTGTCCCTGGCAATGGCTGTGACCTCCAGGGCATTGTGCCTTCTTTGCCTGTGAGTCAGCTCCATCGGCTGCCCAGAGTCTGGTGCTTGAAGCCAGTGGATATGCCAGGCTGTCCCCTGCAGCGGCCTCCTGGTGTCTCCAACAGAACAGAGAGCAGAACCCCACCTTTGAGGTCCCTGAACTTTTCCCAGTAATTAAGACAAAGATCTGCTTAACTTGCTCTCTGGCCTCCTCTCCCCATCCGAGCCTCAGAGCCAGAGAAAGGGCAGCATTTCCTTCTTCTCGCCCTTTGCCATCTTCTCTCCTGCCACGGAGATGGTTCGGCCTTGTCGTGAGCGGGTGGGCCACTGCCCTCACAGCCAGGATGAGGCCCCTGAGCTGCATTTGAATGGCTAAGGGGAAGGGACAACACATCCTTTCCCATGGCCCTCTGCTGGCAAATCTCTTGCCTGGCCGCCTCGTCTCCTGTGTGCATGACCGGAACTGGACATTACCCAGCTCTGCCTTTCTACCCCTGAGCGACAAACCCCACTGGCCCTACAGGCAGTTGGGAGCACTAAGCAGCTATGGCAAGGGACAAGAAGAAGGCGCAGGAATCGTTTTCATGAAACGCCCTCATTGCGAGCGGGAAGCATGCCTCCCTCCTCTGTCCCATCGCTCCACTGCCTGCCTTGCAGAACTGTGGTTTGCAGGCAGGTGCTGGGTTCATCCCTGAAGTTCTGGCTCCTAGCACAGGCCCAGCAGAGAGCAGGACTTGGGAATTGAGTAAGGATCAAGTGTGCGAACTTGTGATGCCCCAATCCCTGCCCCCCACACACACATTCTCATCTCCCCAGCCCCAAGCTCCTTGGAGTAGTTCCCTTAAGGTAAAGAACTTAAATCTCAGAGAGATTTCTGTACCCCCATGTTCATTTCAGCATCAATCGCAGTAGCCAAGATACAGGAACAACTAGGGTCTGTGGATGAGTGAATGGAGAAATCAAATGTGATTCATCCATTCAGTGGACTATGATTCAGCCTTAAAAAAGAAGGGGACGCTGCCTTTGCAGGAACATGGGCAGACCTGGGGGACATTGTGCCGGGTGACACAGGCCAGGCACGGAAGAACAAATACTGCAGATCTCACTTTTACGTAGTATCCAAAATAGTCAAGCTCATTGAATCAGAGAGTAGAATAGTGTTTACCAGATGTTGGGGGAGGGGAAAATGGGGAGATGTTGGTTCAAGGGCTCCAAGTTTAGTTATGCAGGATGAAAAAGTCCTAAGATCTCCTATACAACACAGGGTCTGTAGGTACACTTAAAATTTTGCTAAGGTGGTAGACCTTGTACTCAGTGCCCTTACCACAAAATTTTTTAAAAATCAAAGAATTAAAACATAAAAATAAAGGAAGCAGGAAGAAACTTCCTCCAGTGGTGAAAGGTAGGTTATGGCCTTGATTGTGTTGAGGGTTTCATAGCCGTGCACTTATCCCAAACACATCACATTTTATACATTAAATATCTACAACTTTTTATATGACAATCATATTTTAATAAAGTAGTTTTAAAAATAAATAAAATAAAGTCAAGGGGAAGTAGCTAACCTATCCTGGCAGAGAGTTCAAACACGCCCTTCCAGCCTGCAGACACTGAGCAAAGTGGCTCTGAAACAGAGGCTGGAACTGGAGCCCTGCAGGGACACAGGAGGCTGACGGTTCAGAAATTCAGACAGGCGATAGTCTAGACAAAGGGAAGCTTTTTGTGTGTTCATTGGTAAGCAATGAACAGAAGATTTTGTTATTGATTTAAATAAAAAGAAAAGAAAAAACAAGATGAAAGTTTGCAATGGAGAGAGGGAAGTTGTCTCCGTGAATCCAAGTGGTGGCTAATAATGAGGGGAGTGGCATGTGGTGACTACACAGCAGCTCCTGCTTGCTGGGGACTCTGATCCATGCCTTGGCTTCGGTTTTGTTTCTTTTGTAAGCAATGTGGCTTCCACTCTCTGTTCCTCAGCAGCATCCCTCGTCGCCGTAAGAGGCATCATTGCCTCTTCACAGAACTGTTAGCATCACAGAAATTAGCATTAAGTGACACAATATGACATAAATAATACCGATGCCAATATCCACAAGAGATTAGCTCTATTAACCTTTCAGTTGAGCTGGAAGCATTGCAACTTTTTGACCCCCTCCCCCCAAAAAAGCTAGTGATGTTTGCTTTCAAATACACAAACTCAAAGCACCTGCGTTTAATTTTCATCGGGAGCACCATTTTCATTTCTGAGCTGCAAAACTTCCGTGCTTCTGGCCCCTACTATGTCAAAAATGCACAGTGGCAGATTGGCATATTGAGCTATTAATAATTTGCTATATGTGTTACATATGTTGCATAAATGAACAGTGTTCTATCACTATTTCTTGACACTGGGGCCCTTGGGGTGGCAGGCTAAGACCCAGATCTGTCTACAACCTGCCCGTTCTGGAAAGAAAGGGAAAAAAAAGTGGCCCCTTAGAGCAGAATCACATTCCAGCTTGCAGAGCCAATTTTTCAGATGTTCACTCTTTCCTGTTCCTTGTTCCTCCACTCAGACCTCATCTGGCCATGATGAAAAATGATGTGATGCAATTTTTTATTCTACGCTTGACACTCTCATGGAAGGCAATGTGGTTCATTGATTCCAAACTCCAAAAAGGTCAAGAAATGAGGAACAAAATTTTCTGGAAGCAGCCCAGGAAAAACTTTCAACTTGGACCACGTATACCCAGGAAAACAAAACTGCTAATTGTTACCCCTTCTGTTGCTATTAAGCTTCAGAGGAGCCCTGAGCATATGTTTCATGAGCATGTACTTTTATATTAAAACATTATTGGGCCACCAGATGAAATGTATATTAAGTGTCTAGCTGAAAATGGACAGTAGGTTTAAATTTTGACAGCAAACAGCTGTAGGATTTCTTGAACTTAATTCAAATAATGAAATCAATAGGTTATGCTACAGTTTCAAGTTTCCCCAAACAAATTTATATGAAAAATGATATTAATTTATTTGAGATTACTTCAGCCAAGAAAGAGATTTTTCTCTGTCACTTCTGAAGGGTAGTGGGGGAGAAAAAAATCTGAACTATTACAAAAAATGTAGCTTGGATGGTTTAGAGATCTAATAAACAAAATGTGGCTTTTCAGTTCAGATTAATCACAATTGCCTTGTTTACCCGTTCTGCGGCGGCAACAATTTTTGAAATGCTAATAAATTAGGTCTCCTTTTTATCCCCCACGTTGGGAGAACAGCCCTTTCCAAACCTAATGTATGTGTCGGCAGCATGCCCAAGTTTTTCTCTTTTCATACACACTTTTAAAAAAATGCCACACAGCAGTGAGCCCCCTGTTGAATAATTCCAGTATGAGTAAATCCTGAAGGTTAGCAATCCAAGTTTAAGCCAAATGGTGCCAGATAAAAATTCCAATTTAGACACGGTTCCAATTCACACTGCTTTCAGCCTGTAACCTTCCCCGAACAGTGCAGCCAAAAGATTTAATAGTGTCACCAGTAGGGCACGCATAAATAGCAACTTTTATTGGTCACTATTTTGGAAATGTCAGGAGGGCTACAATATGGTTCTGGTTTGCATTCAGCCTTCACTTTGCTCACCTAGCTGAATCTTGGAAAACGTTTTTTCACTGTGACATATTGTAATTCCTTGTGAAAAAGCGTTTTCACCCACGAGACTTCTGATGTGGGACTTGGCACTATATTTTCTAGTAGTGGCAAGGAATCCACATCCTCTCATTGAATCTTCTGTAGGGATAACTTCTGTCCTGGTGGCCGTGGGACCCACACGGTCTTGCTCTCTAGCAGAGAGGAGAGATTTGTACCTGGAAGAGTTAATGAGGTGTCCACTGTAGGAACAGGGTATTGGGGTTCAAGGGGACAAGAGCAGACCCACCTGGGACGTGAGACAGACTGAAGGCGGAGGGCCTCGCAGATGGTGGAAGAGGGAAGGGCATCTGTGTGAGATGCGGCCAGCATGGGCCAGAGACTGGGGGAAGGGGAGGCGGGAAGTGGGCGTTCTGTTCAACACAGTGGTTCAGAACTCAAAAGCGGTGTTTCAAAGAAAGTCCTCAGTCCTTGCGGTGTGTGTGCCGCGTGCAGGAGCAAGACGCTGCCATCCCACGATGACGTTTCGCTCAGTTCATGCATGTCCTCGGAGGTGCCGTGTGTCTGTTCCAGCTTGTGCGGCGAAGGAAGATCTGCTCACCTCCAGGCACCATCCCGGAGTCCGCGATCTGGTGCGCGGTGCGTGCTCATTTGTTACGGCTGAAACTTTCTGCAAAGAGCATTTCAGGGCAGCACCCCTCCCGGTGATGGGGCCCCCGGCCCCGCACTTTCTGAGAACCAAGGGCGGTCTCAGAGAGTGCAGGTCCTGTCGCTCTAGGCCCTGCCGTGCCCAGAAAGAGGCCAGCGTTTTACTCCAGACGAATGATTTCAATACCATGTTGGAACAGTGCTCCTCACTCAAAGATTTCTGTCCCCACCGCTCGGCGGCTCACTCAATCACCTTCACCGTGAGAAAGCTCCGGAGCCTGGATACCTGTGGACACAGGTGAGGAGCCGGTGACACTGCCATATGTGCCCCCCAGCTGGCCTGGGGGCTCCGCGCTCCCTGGGCTGAGTTTGCCTCCGAGGGCTGGGCTGATCCCGCCCCCTTGGCCTGCCGTAGGCGGTCCTCAGCTCTCTAACCTCGGGGCAGCTGGGCCGGGCTGGAGCGTGGAGGATGGAAGCGGAAAAACCCTTCAATCCTGGACAGAAACAATCCCCTAAAGACAAGCCCAACTACAAAACCAGTCTAGAAGGAAAACCCGTCTTGTTTAAGGAAACGTGAGAGCTTTTTCCTATTGCAAAGCCAGCTCGATTCCCTCTCCTTTTCATTTATTGGTGACTTTAACAAATGTTTTAAACCAAATTTAGAACAGCTGGTTTTCCAGAAACTGCTGGAACATAAAGAAAATGCTTCGTTTGGTGCCATACCCAAATAAACAGGGGTTTAAACCTCAAGCTCTGACGAAGTCTGGCCTCTGGTGGCTCTGGTTACCGAAAAATTGGCCTTTGTTCAAGGTGGATGGTGTATACCTTGCCAGATTGAAATACCTCATGTGTATTTCGCAATGAGTGCAATTGAATTAATAGATACTGCCTCTCTAAGACCCAGGTGATTTTCCTATAATGTGACATGGACAGAGGAATTAAAAACACCATGGGTGGAAAGTCTGTGTCACTTGTCCAGGTTTTCAGACAAGGGCAGACCACTTACACGTTCTTCTCTGGAAAAAAAAAAAATCTCACCTTCCTACATGGTATAATGATGGGCTTTGTTTTTTAAAATCTGTGTCTGGTATATATGTTCTTTTTGTCTTTCAGCCGTATCACATTTCCTTTCTTCCTCATCATCTGAAACTGGCTTCCGGAATTAAAACAAACAAACAAAAGCTTCCCAGATTGTCAACATTTTAACTCTGGAGGAGAACTCCATGCATCTGAAGCACCCCCTTCTTAGTGCCGGAGAAGGTGGAGCTATTCATCACTTCTGTTTTTTATTAAAATAAAATAAAATTTAAAAAAACCTAGCCTGCAATCAGAAGAGGGAAAGGATTTCCCCCCAAATATGACTCTGATGGTTTAATTCTGGTTTCTATTCCCCTAGCAGCACTTACTTGTTAATATGCCAGATATCAGGGAGCAGGGATCACTGAAAACATGTTTATGAACGTATTAAACTCCGCGTCAGGACCCAGGGCCAACGATCCCCTGGACAGCAGGACCGAGGCTGCTAAATGAAGTCCACAGGCCGCAGGCCAGACCTACCCCGCAGCAGCACAGAGCGGGGGCTGGAGATAAAGCACGAGTCAGAAGCTCAGCAGAAGCATTTCAAATGCCCACTTAAAATCAACACGGGAGTGTGATCTCATGGAGCCTGGGCTCCATGGCTTAGAAAATATAGACCGTGTGGGCCAGGCACGGTGGCTCACGCCTGAAATCCCAGCCCTTTGGGAGGCTGAGGCGGGCCGATCACAAGGTCAGGAGATCGAGACCATCCTAGCTAACATGGTGAAACACCGTCTCTACTAAAAAAAATACAAAAAATTAGACAGGCTCACTCCAGCCTGGGTAACAGAGTGAGACTCTGTCTCAAAAAAAGAAAGAAAGAAAGAAAGAAAATATAGACCGTGTGATGCAGCCTGGTGTGGGCACCCAGGGTTGCTTGTGTTAGGCCACATCTGTGGCTACAGAGGTACCTGAGCAAAACTCAGAAACGGCCACCAGAATGCTGGCTTTGACTGCAGGGGACTGAAATTACTGCAGTGAGGTGAGATTTCCCTGAGAAGTGTTGTCCTTTTACTAAAGCATAAAAGAAAATCTCTGAACCCAAATGCCTTGCATATTAGCCCCTTCTCATGCTACTAATAAAGACATATCCCAGACTGGGGAATTTATAAAGGGAAAGAGGTTTAATGGACTCACAGTTCCACATGGCTGGGGAGACCTCACAATCATGGTGAAAGGCAAAAGGCACGTCTTACATGGTGGCAGGCAAGAGAGAATGAGAACTAAGCAAAAGGGGAAACCCCTTATAAAACCATCAGATCTAGTGAGACTGATTCACTACCATGAGAACAGTATGGGGGAAACCACCCCCATTATTTGATTATCTCTCACTGGGTCTCTCCCCTAACACGAGGGAATTCTGGGAGCTACAGTTCAAGATGAGATTTGGATGAGGACACAAACAAACCATATCAGCTTGACTTTGTAAAGAGTCCACTACTTTGACATTTTAGCTTTCCTTAAGGAGCAATAATTTTGCTTGGCTAACAGATCTCTTTCACAGTGTGGTAAGGACTCGAATTTTGAACAGAGCCAGACAGGCCATTTGCAAACAGAACCATCTGCAAATGGGCCCAAGTTACTCCCAGCACAAGTGAGTGGTTTGCCTTGGTGGCCCATACAGTCTCCTCTAAGTAGGGGACTCTGGCACATCTATAGTTTATGCTTATTCACCTGCTTTAATCAGTTTAGTGCTCCCAAATGTCCCAGTTCAGAAGATCAGTCATAAGGCCACCCTGGCTATGAGGCATCTCCATGTGTGCGAAAACACTGGCTCACTTGCTGGGCTGGCACTGGGCTGGGGACATGAACGTGAGGACTGAATGTAAGGGAGAAACACTGGTGACTGTCACTGGCAGTGGGAATGCAAAGCACTGAGCACCTCAAGGTCCTTAGTTAGCCTTCTCAACTTCTGTTGCTGGTGGAGTCTGAGGTGGCCCGAGTTTTCAGCTGGAAAATTGCATAAGCCACTTTAAAGAGCTTTGAGTCAGATGTGGAAACCTAGACTCAAGATGAGCTTTGAGTCTAACTGCTGTGTCCTCAGGACCCTTACTGGAGCCAAGGAATGCGTGAGAAGTGCCTCTGGGCCCAGCCAGAAGAAAGGTATGGAGTCTGAGCTGTGCCTTCCTGAGAATAACCTGTTCCTGGCCTCTGAGTTCTGCCTGCTGTGGGGATATGACATGCTGTATCCAGGAACCAGTGGAAGGCAGCTGGGCTGGAGAGCTAGCACTGATGGGTGAGCAGCCTCCTCCGGCTATTCCTGCAGGCAACATCCAGGCCAGGCAACACCCAGGCCAGGCAACGGCAATAATCGGGACACAGAGAGAGCCCAAGGGATTCAGTGACTGACAAGCAACCAGCTGGGGGCACCTCATCTCCTTGGCTGGGGAATGATCTTGACCACATGAAATAGAAGTGTATTGGGATGCTTATAGGTGAGACGAGATTCAGAAGCAGTCGTACCTCCTCTATGCAAACCAGTTGGCCTATGGAATGTCTAGCTGCCTTCCATCCTTCTAGATATGGTCAGCAGCAGCAACTTGTATGTCCCCAGTTCTAGGCACCCAACTCTGGAGAAACAGGTTTCAATACTAAACAACAGGAGACAGGTTTGATAGTAATTTCAAACCCACCTACCCACAATAAACAGGTGACACTGGTCACCAAACACTTCAATCACACTTCCGTCAGCAAAATATTACCCTCGGTGTGAGTATATGGATGTGCTTTTAAGTAGATAGATGATAGATAGATAGATAGATAGATAGATAGATAGATAGATAGATGATAGATAGATGATAGATAGATGATAGATAATAGATAGATGATAGACAATAGATAGATGATAGATAGATGATAGATGATAGATGATAGATGATAGATAGATGATAGATAGATAGATGATAGATAGATGATAGATAGATTATAGATAGATGATAGATTATAGATAGATAGATGATAGATGATAGATGATAGATAGATGATAGATAGATATAGATAGATAGTTAGATGATAGATAGATGATAGATAGATAGATAGATGATAGATGATAGATAGACAGATAAACAGATAGATAGATATTAGTAGATATGTCTTGTATGGTATGCTTTATAAAACATACACAAAATACAAATTCTAAAACCATGAGTTGCAAAAATTATAAATAGAAATTTTAATGTTTTCTTCCCATACCCATTGAAGCTTCTTCACCCCGCACTTGGAGACTGCTGTTCCAGAGCACAGAGGTCTGAGTTTTGAGCTGGCCATACCAATCTCAGTGTGACAATGGGAAGCTGCTGGTGCCCCCTTCCCCGTCTCCAGGCCTCTGTTTCCCTGTCTGTGAATTGAAATGATTGAGAAGAGAGTAGATCTGATGTGCTGTGGGATCTAGGGACTGAGATAGACATGGAGACAGAAGAAGAGAAGGAGGGAGAGCAGAAGATGGAGAGAAGACGGAGATCAAAGAGAGCAGGAGAGGGAGAGAAGAGAGAAGGAGATAGAAGCAAAGATAGAGAAAGAGAGAGAGTGAAAGGAGGACTGCATAGATAAGATAGCTAGTTAGTGATAGATAGATAGATAGATAGATAGATAGATAGATAGATAGATAGATAGATGATAAATAGGCTCCAATTTTCAGGAACCAAGCTAACCAGCCAGCTCCATGTAGCACTGCCCAGCCATCATCAAAGATGCTGCTACCCCTACATCCTTTGCTGTCTGTGACCACTGGGCCCCAGGCTACTATTTGCTCCTGGTTGGGGGTATGGGGGACTTTCCTTCTTCCTTAGGCTCAGGTTTCTTGATTGAAACTGACTAAAGGAATCAGCTTTTTTCATCCCATGAAATTGTTCCTCCGACTGCTGGAGACTCAATAAGTGGCTGCTGCTGCGTGCCCCAGCATGGCCTTGGGGCGTTTACATATGAGAGCACTCAATACTTGCCCAAGAGGTAGGTGTGATACTGTCACCATTTCTGTGTCACAGACAAGGACATGAGCTTCTGTTGGGTTAGATGACCTGCCCAAGGCCACATACCCAGCAGGAGAAGGTGCTACCCGCCTACTCCCTCCACACTATCCCTCGGGCGTCTCTCTTTCCAGCTGCAGGTCAGGAGTGGGTGCATGGACACTCCATTTATACCTGCACTGCATATTGAAATGGCTTCAGGGAATGCTCAGATTCTGTTGGTATTTGTGCCTTCCTCTAGACTGTCAGCACTGCAGAGCAAAGCCCCCATTCAGTTCCATTTGGGTCCCCGCCCCACTGCCTGCTGAAGAGATGGGATCTCAGGTTTCACAAGGGGCTGGTGAAGGTCACCACTCTCTGTTGGATCCTGCAAATGGTCTCCAGTCCAAGTTTCTTAAATTTCCAACTGGCTTGGAGCAGTTCATTATTGAAGGTCTGAAATGGCTGAAGCATCCAGCGTCCCTGCCGGCTGAGTCTGAAGCGATTCTTACTGCAGTTCATGCAGGAGGAAGTGTGTTCCTACACCATGCCACCCAGAGGCGATGCCCCGAGGAATCTGGGAGTTCCCATGCTCGCCCGGGGCGGGGGCTGGCTCTTACCTCGCCTTGAAAACCTGGAGCCTAGGGTAGTGCCTTTCGCAAAATAAACAAATCAACACAGAGCATTACAAAAGACTAAAAGTAATACAAATGTTTCCCTTCAGTTTTACAGCTGAAATAAATACAAAATTCTTTCAATTACACTTGACATTTTAGACATTGCAATTTTATGAAATGTTGCTGCCATGTATTAAAAAGTTCCAGCTCTATAACAAAACAGTCTTAAGCTTTTGAAACAACTGGAAAGTAACAGCCAGGTCAAAGGAACATAAAATACAAGCAATGACATATGTAAGCTATACTTGGAGAATACAGTGATTCTGGGAACACATTGCCCAACTATGATTTCTTAACACATAATATTCAGAGAGCAGATGACCTGCTGGGGCAGCTGCAGTCCCAACACTGACCTGGAGTTGCATCAAGAGAGCAAGCTGCCAACCCCATCTGCCTGCCTGAGCGTCTACATCTTCAAAAGATGGAGAAGGGGCCCCAGAGACTGTTTTTCCCCCAAAGTCCCTGAAACAGACCGGGTGTCACTTGTCAATAAAGTTTCATGTGGCTGAGGCACTCATAGGGTGTTTGAGTTAACTCTGGACCAGCAAGGGCTGCTCTTGTGTCTGGCTCTGTCATAACGTGGCCAGTGATTAGTGTAGAATGTTCTAGATGCTCCATGTGGAAGGGACTCTGAGGCCTCAGAAATTTGGGTGTTTGCCTGCAAAGATCTCTTGGAAAAGATTGGTTTTCCCCTCTCTTCATCTGTTTCATCACCAAATAATTTTGGTAAAGGATATTGAACGAGATAATAAACTCTTCTCCACTCAGTTTAAATTTGATAAAAGTAAATGCCAAAGTGAGTGTCGGGCAGATTGGGGTGTGCAGAACTCACAAAGGAAGTGGCTAAGAACAGATCCCACAAGTCTCAGACTTCCAGCCACATTAAGGACAGAGCGGTCGTAAATGGAGCTATAGCCAGGTACCCATGCTGTGCAGGCATCCTGTGGGTGCTCTGCCCTCTGTTCCCCCAAGGTGAGAAAGGGTGTCCAGTGAGAGGAGGTGCCTCCATGAACTGCATAGACTCTGAAGCTGCAGGAGTTGGAATGCTGCCCAGTCCTGCCTGGGAGAGCTCAGGGGCCACTGAGCCACGGGGTAGGCTGTGACCAAGAGAGCGCAAGTTGCTGCTGCCCAGCTGGGGAGTAATGGCTCCCCCTCACCCCCATTGTAGTCAAAATCTGGGAGTCAGCACCAGATGCAGAATCCCGGAAGGAGGGGAGGGATTTTGACCTGGGATCTGGGAACATCAGGAGCTCTGTTCTGACAGGCAACAAAAGTCTGCGTTGGGTGGACAACCAGAAAGTTGCAGGCTGAGCAGGGACTAAGTGCACAGAACTCTGGTGAAACAGGTGCTGTGCAGTGAGAACACTATCCATCTGCATTTCGGAAACCAAGACCCCATGGTGGGCTCTTTGTGTGTGTGTACAGATGCAGGCGTATTACATGTGCCATCTGTATCTATGTCACATGGTGATATACATACACACCTTGATAGAAAGCCAAGAGAGTATGCTTATGTGTGAATGTGTGTACATACATGCACATACATGTATACATGTATATAATCAATAAATATGCATTACATATATCCATGCCCCATAAAGATACTATATGATATGGTTTGGCTCTGTGTCCCCACTCAAATCTCATGTCGAATTGTAATCCCCACATGTTGAAGGAGGGGCCTATAGGGAGGTGATTAGATCATGAGAGCAGGCTCCCCCCTTGCTGTTCTCGTGATGGTGAGTGAGTTCTCATGAAATCTAGTTGTTTAAAAGTGTGTAGAACTTCCAGCTTCGCTCTTTTCCTTCTGCTCCAGCAATGTAGGACATGCCAGCTTCCCCTTTGCCTTCCACCATGATTGTAAGTTTCCTGAGGCCTCCCCAGCCATGCTTCCTGTACAGCCTATGGAACTGTGAGCCAATTAAACCTCTTTTCTTTATAAATTACCTAGTCTCAGGTAGTTCTTTATAGCAGTGTGAGAACGGATTCATACACTTTACATATCTTTATATATAGGCAACATAGCATGCATGTATGTGTATATACGTATATATTTGTGTGTGCATGCTCACACACACGTGCAGACACACACACAAACTTTCAGATTTGCAATGCAGATTGAGAATATTTAGACCTTCCGGCACCCATCCCTCTTATGGCACCTGAATCCCAATTACCCACATATTCTCATCAAAGATATGGCTCCTTGAGGGAAGCTGTGATTCAATTATAATGTGACACGTGCTGTATGACATATGATCAATATGTGATGTGTAATATATATGCATACAAATATATTTATATAATTCTCTTTAATATATAATTAATATATGGTTAATATATATATAATTCTCATTAAAATGCATGTACCAGAGGAATGAAATTTGAGCTGAATTTCTAAGGAGAGGAGTTGATATTATGCCTGAGAAGGGGAATTAATATTCTTTAAATGAGGAAAACGGCATATGTAAAACCATAGGGATTCAAAGGAATTTGCTAGATTTGGAAAATGGCAAATATTATCAATGTAAAAACAATCCTTATTAATTATCAAGGTTGAATTTGGGAATGAGCCAAGATGAGTCAGGCCAGAGGATTTTTGAGCTAAGAGTAAGTCGCGTCTACTGTAAACCCTGGGCTTGTGGGCACATTACATTGCATTTAACTATTTATTTTGAAAGAGTAATAGATTCACAGGAAGTTGGAAAGATAATTTAGAGAGATGCCTATATCCTTCACACAGCTTTTGCCAATGGTGAAAGCTTATGTAATTATAGCACAGAATGAAAACCGGAAAATTAACATTGGCACAATTGAGATTTTGCCAGTTCTACATGTACTTGTGTGTATGTGTGTGTGTGTGTGTGTTTGTATTTAGTTCTATGCAATTTTAGCCCATATGTCAGTTGGTGGAATCACCGAGTCAAGGAATAGGACTGCCCTGTCATCACAGGGGTCCCCTTTGTTCTATCACTTTGCAGTCACATCCATTTCCCTTCTCCTCCTCCTCCATCCCAAAACTTGCATCACTAATCACCTTCTATCTGTATCATTGTTAGTTTAAGAATGTTCCAGAGAGGGGATCCTACAGTATA
The DNA here is from genome assembly GCF_000001405.40 of Homo sapiens. NCBI lineage: Eukaryota > Metazoa > Chordata > Mammalia > Primates > Hominidae > Homo > Homo sapiens. Next base: position 128,919,622 of record NC_000010.11, on the reverse strand, counting down.
TAACCTTCTGATATTGGCTTTTTTATTCAGCATAATGTTGTGGAGAGCCACCCAGTTGTGTACGGCGATAATTTGCTCTTGTTTACTGCCGAGCTGTATTCCATTATATGGACATGCAGCAATTTGTTCAGCCATTCATTCACAGAAGTTGTTGATTTGGGTTGTTTCGGTTCAGATTTTTGTTTGACATCAGTTTTCATTTCTCTGGGGTATATGACCAGGAATGTAACTGATGAGTGGTATTCTATGTGCCTGCTTGGCTTTTTAAGACTGACAAATGATTTTCCAGAGCGTTTGTATCATTGGCATCCCCTAGGCAACATATAAGGGATCCAGTTTCTCTGTATCCCTGACAGTACTTGGTATTACTTCCAAGTACTTTTTTTTTTTGTTTTAGCAGTTCTGGTAGGTGTGTAATTGTATCTCATTGTGATTCTAATTTGCATTTCCTTAACGGGTAATAATCTTGAATATATTTTAATATGCTTATTTGCCATCCATATATCTTCTGGTAAATGGCCTATCTTTTGCCCAGTTTCTAACTGAATTGTTGGTATTTACTGCTGAATTTTGATCATTCTTTCTATGCATCTTTCGGTCAGATATGTGGCTTGCAAGTATTTTCTCCCAGTATGTATCTTGGTTCTTGTTTGTTTGTTTGTTTTTGTTTTCATTCTCTTAACAGAGTCATTTGCAGAGCAAAAGTTTTAAATGTTGATGTAGTTTGATTTCTCAAAATTTTCATTTATGGATCATGTTTTTGCTCTAATGTCTAAGATTATTTTTATCCCTGGCCCTATTCTTTAATCTACAGAGCTCCAGCTTTTCTTGGGTCTATTTTTTTTTTTTTTTTTTTTTTTTTTGGTCTGTGTCTGTTGACGTTTCTGATTTGCACACTTCTCCAGTGCCTCATTCCAGATATAAAGGAGGCAAAAGATAACCCCTGGGGACTTGCCACTATGCTGTTTCTCGAGGCCCAGGTCCCCTAGCTCATTGCATTCTTCGTTCCACCATTCAGAATTGTATGTTTATTTCACATATGAGGTCTGGGATTGTTAGCTACTCTTAGTCAGGGAGTTAGGGAGAAATTTGTCTACTCCATCTTGTCTGGAACCAGAAGTTGGTCCATAGCATTTTGATTCTGCTGTTTTTTCCACATATTTTTCATTCTGGGAATTCTTTGACAACAGTTTATGAATGTAAGTATTTGAAAAAAATTTATCAACATTGGGTTTTTGTGAATAAAGTATTTTCTGGAGCAAATCCAGTTAAACCCATTTCAAATAAAAATAGAAACACTTGAAATATTTAGCTGCCATATAGAAAATTGGTCAATGAATTATTTCACCAAAACTATTTTCATCAAGATCAGTTTTCTCCCAAATAAATTTTGCAGTCAAGTTTTGATTCATAGATCAGTATCTTGTCTACATATCGTTTATTCATTTTAGTCTTTGCCAGTTTTATACTTTCTATTGTGGTCATAGTAGTTTTTAACTCTAATATTTTCTAGATCAGTTTTTACAGATCTGGATGTACAAGAAATTTTGATTCTTCTGACAGCTTTACAGCAAGCATTTCAGCTATCGTTGCTTTTATTTTGTACTGATTTGTTTCTGCCATAATAAATTATTATGAATAGAATGAAGTATTGGTTTCTGGTGTTCATTTCTTAGCAAATCCTTAAGAAAAAAAAATTCCCCTTCTATTATCCAACATGGCTGCATTGTTGAGGACTGGAGAGCCTTTCTCTCAGGATGTACATAAAAAGAAATTGAACCTGTATCCTTAGCAACCGCTAGAAGTTCCGTCTCCTCCCCAGCACTCCTGGGCACCCTCCAGAGTAGGTCTACACAGGTCTGAGTGTGGGAGGAGCTGAAGGCTCAAGGAGGAGCTGGCTGCAAAGATGCTGCTGCCAGTGCAGGGGCTGGCCCTGGTGGCTGCGGCGCAGGAATCAGGGGAAGGAGGTGAGCAGATGTGCCCAGGAGCCAGCATGATGGAGACTCCTTTGATAACATGAGGAAATCCAAGTTTGTCCAGCCACTTTTCCTTACCTCACCCCTTCTCCTCCCTCTAGCATCTCAGTGAGTTTCACAGGAGTCTTCCACGTTGCCACACCTGTCCTTGCCCCGTGGCACTGTCGGAGTATGCCACTCACTTCTTTCTCATCCTGACAATGCCTTCAGCCAGAAGGCAAATCAGCAGTGACCCGGCAGCTTCAAGAAGATCAGACTGAGGAGGCAGAACCAGGCACTTCCCTGGGCTCCCCTCGTCCCTCACTCACTCAGGGATGGAGGTTTCTATCCACCTGCAACGTTGTCACCTAACATTTTTCTGGTGGAGGCACTGCAACGGTCAGCAGAGCCCCCAGGACTCCTCTGGAGTCGGGCTGGGTTGAGGTGTCTCTTCCAGGATGACGCAGGCTGAGGAAGAAAAGAGCATCCTGCAGAACAAAGAGGACAGACACAACCAGAAGCACTCAGGGTTCACAGGGGCACCTCTGGAAAGCTCTCTCACCAAAGCAGCACCACCTGTGACCCTGCTCTCCAGGCAACCGGGTCGGGAGCATACCCAGCCAAGCCTCCAGAAACCTCTATCACCCTCTGCCTAACCCCCTTCCCTGGTCAATGTCCAAGTCTATGGATTCCTGAGAATTCTCAGGGTGGCGCCCTCCTGCTGCGGCCTGCAGCCTCCCTGCTTCAGTGACTTGCCACTTTCTCACTGGGTTTTCTCTTCCTTCTGGGCCTTTTTCCTGCTACCTCACCTGTTTCTCCCTTTTCCCTCTGCCAGTGGAGAGACCCCAGACAGAAATCTGGATCTGTTGCGGCCATAGCTGAGCAGCAATGGGTTGCTCCCCATTGCCCAGAGGGGGAACTCAGAAGATGAAGTTCAAACTGCTAAGACTGACTAAGGTCACCCAAAGGTCCCCAGATGTCCAGCTTCCTGGAGGCTCCCTTTGCTTTAAGAAAAAAAAAAAAATTGGACTGAAATGTTGCAGAAAGTCCAGTTTCCTTCCTGAGGACTTTCAGGGGTCGCTAGGGAGGCTGACATTTCCTGTCCATCTTTCACTCTTCACGGCTGTTGTGGACCTTGCAACATGGTCCTTCTTGCTGCTGAAGGCTATGGGCCTATGTCCAGCCACTAAACGCACACAAGCATTGGGACGCAGCATTTAACACACTTGACTGAATAGTTAGGAATGAGATAAAGGAATGCTAATTCTGAAAGGGGGAAAAAACAGACTTAAGATTATACATCTGGTTCCAGAACCATAGGATGCTCTGTCCATCTGTGCCCTTTTCTGGAAAGTCTCATGCCTAGAAGGGAAAGATGATGAGGCGGAGGCAGCAATTTGGGATCCTGTGTTGGCAGAGGCGTTGTAACTGTTTATTGGGGTGATATGCGACTGGCTTCAGGGTGGAGAGCCTGGAGAGTGGAGAAAGGCTGTGCTAGAACTCAGAATCCTGAGGTCAGGTTCCAGGTGCTAAGTTGCATGGCAAATGTGCCTCATTCATGTTTCTCTAACCTCCATTTCCTTATCTGAGAAATGGGAATAAAAATTCTGGCCTTACTTACTTCCCAGGGTTATGAGAATCAAATGAGAAAACACAGGCAGCTGTCAAAATATAAAAGTAGAGTATCTGCATTCACCAATTCCTTAAGGAAATGGGGGCAGAGTTGAAGGGCAGGCCAGACCCCCGTCCATGCAGACTTCACAATTCAATCCCGAGACCACAATGTGTCTAAAACATTATGAATTTAGGAAATGCCTTTTCAATATGGTGAAGAAAATAGGAGGGCCCCGGCGGCGGTAAAGCCCAGAAGAGCTGCAGCCGCTTCCGATGAAAAGCAAACCAGGGGAGAGCGTCCCACAGCGGCCCTGGCTTTGGAAACAGCCACAGCACAGAAGATGACAGCCGCCTCTGGGCTTTCACAGCTTGGGGGAATTGGAAGACTTTACTAGGACCCAGAAAACCTACTTGGTCTGGAGCATGAAGCATGGTTGGGTGGGTAACCAGGAAGGAATCTCTCCTTGCTCCCCTGTGGCCTGCCGGGGAGGCTCCCCATATGGATAAATGCACCCAGAAACCTTCTCAGGAGAGGAGCTGTAAGGGGGTCAGTGAGGCGCATGTTTTTAGGGTGACCCCTAGACCTGCGGCTGGTGACATCAGAGACCTGCTGGCTGGCAGCAGCAGCCCTGGGACAAAAACAAATGCCACCCAGCCACAGCCACAGCCAGCAAGTGGGAGCAGCGGAAGGCTGAAGAGCTGGAGGCACAGGCTGCTCCCAAGGGACAGGGACAGGCTCCACAGCCACTGTGTGACCAGGGCCCAGGTGCCTGCCACGGCCCCCAAACAGCTGAGCTACAAAGCGTGTCTCTGAAAGGAGCCCTTCCTGGAGAGAGGAGACGCGTGCATTCTTCTTTGCTTGCCCGGTGTGTTCAAGGTGCCCCGTACCTCTTTTTCCTAGGACTCCATGCCAACGAAGAATGCTGACTTGCTGCCAAGGCCCACAGGAACATTCTCCACCAGGTTGAACAACAGGAAGGCCAACTTGAACCCCGACAACTTCATAAGAGTTTCTTACAGACATGCCTCTTGGTTCCAGATAAGGTCTCCTTCCTACTGGAAATATTTATTAGCAATCTGCCAAGGAACTGGAGATTGTTCCTTAGACAGGAACTTGGCATGTCTTGGGGTGTGTCTCTGTTCCAGCCCAGAAACACCTCCAGGTGGGGATGATGACGCCACCAAGCTGGTCATCTGTAGAAGCCTCCCCACATCCTGAGGCTCTGAGCGGAGCCTGTGCCGGGCTTTCTCTGTGCTGCCGTCCCAGCCACCGCCTGCTGCTCCGGGAGATGACACTGGCAAAGATGAACGGGGGATAAAAATAGCAGGCTCAGGAATAGACTTCATTAAGCATTCGATTGTCTTTGCCCCAGATGATATTCCTGGGAATTTTGCTTCAAATTATTTTGCACTATATTTTAAAGCAAAAACAAAAACAAACCTGAAACTCATCCCAACCGATGGCTACTGGCCGACTTCTGTTTTTTTAATTCTGTATCAAATGAAAGGGCTTGAATTCCAAATGGGTTTGCAGTCAGCTTTATTTACAAATCAATTTTAAAATGGGGATATTTTGTTCCCAAATATGAATGAACTACTTAGAGCTTGAAAAATCAGAAACAAAACCCACATAGCCTGTGATACTCACTGTGTAGTCCAGCATGAAGGTCGTATAAGTTGACTTTAAATTCAAGGAAAATATGCTCCAGTTAGGATCAGTCATATGCATGTTTTAGGGCCGTTTCGCTTTTCTTTAAACTTTGCACTGTTCCCTGCCCTCTTGTTCTCATACCCACTCAAGTTCCCATCTCCACATTAAAATGAGACTTTCAGAAACTGTTCAAGAAGTAGCTTTTCCTATAGAAACTGTCAGCCTCTTTGCTCTTGTGAAGTTTCGGGTGCAACTGATTGAAAGGAAGCGTGCAAAAAAGGCTACCCACATTGTTTTGGAACAGAGAACCCAGAAGCCCCCATGGCTTGTCTCTAAGACAGCATCCACCTGCCCCGTTCTCCCTCTACTCTTGGACGGTCTGCCTATGGGAACTGCTGCATTCTGCCTCCAACACGTCCTCCTCCGAGAGGGCTTCTCTTTCTTCATCCTTTTCTGTCTTTGTGCTTTTGCCACAGGCTGGCCTTGTACTCTCTCTCCAGCCTGGAGGGCAGGTTCAAAGACTTTCTCTTTACATTTCACTTAGCAAGAATATGTCTTAAAAGCTTAACACACATTCATGCCTCCCCAGAACAATTAAATTCGCTGTTGGCAGTGTCCCCCACAAGCTAGAAGGGACTAAGATTCAAGTTAAAACCTATACACTTCTCCTAGCAATTAAATGGGGTAACTGAGAACTGGGTGGGTGTTTTTCCTTTCAAATTGAGAGCGTGTGAAACCCAAGGCTGAGCTGGGAAGAACTGGAGGCCTGGGCACATGAGCCTCTTGTGACGCACTGCCATTGAGCTTCTTTGAACCTCTGTCTCTTCATCTTTAGAAGAGGTATAGATATACCCATCAGCCCTTCTCTCAAGCCAGTTACAAGGACTGAAATGGCCTCATCTTTCTCACTGTCCCTATTCTTCACAATGTTATTAGAAATGATCTAAAGTCAAATGGGAAATTTACTGATAGTGGTTTCCTGTGAAACCAACTAAAGACGGTCAAAACAACCACCTCTCTGCAACATCTGAACAAAGACCTCATGCTATCATCACTCCTGCAAGCTTCTTTCTACAGACAGGGCAGCCCCAACCTAACCTCGTAGGATATTTTTGCTTTATCCACTACAAGAGAAGGCCTCAAACCCAGCAGCCATTCATAGGAACTTCCGTCCTTCTGTTGCACAGCTGAAGCAATGCCTTCATTTCTAGAGAGGTGCAGAGTCTGAAGCCCAGAGAGTGGGTGCAGCTCACCCAAGGTTATACAGCCAGTCAGCTGCAGGGGAGGGAGTTACAAGCAGTCAGGCCAGCTCAGGCAAGCCTCTCACTGGTGGAAGATCATATCCCAGCATAGAGGCTGGGCGTGGAGCTCCCTGATTGACATGTTACAAGGACAGGTGTGAGGGTCTGAGTCCCATCACCTGTCAGGGAGCAGAACGAGGGTTCTGTCCTCCTCCTTCCTAATTTGTTTTATCCTCACAGTCACCTTCTGGGGACAGCCTGAACTTCCCCAGCACCCTCCAGCCTTCCGCCTGGCTTTTAAGACTCTCAGTATTTAGGTTGGAGCATCTTCTGCTGTTCAACAACTGGGAATAAGTATGAGCATTCCAAGGGAGTGGTTTCCATGGCAACAACAACCTCATGGAACGTTTCAGAACTTTTACCTCCTACTCATAGTACTGCAGAAATTCAGAAAGCATAAGGCATAAAGATGAGTGCTAATTATCTGACCTGAATTTGCTGTGGTGGGCAGAAGAAAGACAAGTGCAATGCAGTCTGGCAGGCATTCCTCATTGGCACAGATTCAAATTACTTTCTGGAAGTGAATCATTGTCATATTATTATAATTTTCTGTTAGAGGTGGCACTGGGTATCAAACAGAGGTGCACTGTGGAAGGCTCAGCCTCATGACTTTGAGGGTGTAGAGTTGTTTTCTGGCACTGCCTTTTGGTCAACCTGGCAGAAATAATGATCACGTTGGTTAGGCTGTCTCTATCCCTGTGTTGTCTGTGGAGTAGCAGAATAGCCGGTGATAATTAGTTAGAATTGAAACATAGATCACTGAAGTCCTAAACACTTGGTCTTAGATGTCTGAGTGCTGAGGCTGACTAGGTGGATGGACTTTATCTCATGAGATGAAGAGCCCATTAGTCCACTTCTAGGATAATGGAATACAGATTCGAAATGAGCGTCAGAATGGCTGTGAAAAGCCATATCAAGAGATTCTCTCTTGCTCAAGACACTTCTGGAAAACACTACCTATGAAAACAAATTGTCCTCTTTCATTTCTTTAGGGCCCGTAAGGTGGTCATCTCCCTTACCTGGTACTGAAGCCAAGTGCTGTTTGAGCTGATGCATAGACTGGAAGCTACAGGCACAGACTCTAGAGCCAGAGGACTCCAGCAGAGCAGCCTTGGACAAGGTGCCCAACCTAAGTTTCCTTACCTGCAAAATGAAGATAATAATATGATCCTCCTAGCAAAATTTCAAAGGAAGTCACACATAATTTTTCAATCTATAATAATTGTAGAAAATCTTGCATTTTATAAGCATTAATTTAACAAAAATGACACAGGCAAAATGTGGTGGCTCAGACCTGTAATCCCAGCAGTTTGGGAGGCCAAGGCAGGAGGATTGCTTGAGGCCAGGGATTCAAGACCAGCCTGGGCCACATAGTGAGACCCCATCTCTACAAATAATTAAAAAGTTAGCTGGGCATGGTAGCATGTGCTTGTGGTCCCAGCTACTCAAGAGGCCAAGGCGAGAGGATCCCCTGAGCCCAGGAGGTCAAGGCTGCAGGGAGCTATGTTTGTGCCATTGCACTCCAGCCTTGGCAACAGAGTGAGGCACTGTTTCAAAAAAAGAAAAACAAAAATTGACAAAAATTGACATGGAGGTCCAAGGAGTAGCACTAGTTTGGTAGACAAAGAATTGCAGTTTGGGTACACTGAATCAGGCCAGCCCCAAAGAGTGTCCTCTCAGGCAAGCACAGGGGAAGTTTCTAACAGGAGATTTCTACAAAACGTTGTTTCTGGAGGTAGTCCATTGGCTAGGCAGAAATCCTAAATGGCAAACCCATTCTGATTGGTTAATTAGGGTACATCCAGCTAGGGGATGTTGAAGGCCGGGGATACCGACATCCCTTGTTTTTTCAAGTCTACTCGAACATTCTGTGGTTTGACCCTTAGCAGGTGTGAGTGCACTCCTCCTGCAATCTCTGACTCCACTTTAGGAAACCTTAGCCTTAGTTACTTCATTTTCTTTTGCATAAGCCATCTTTTTAATCTGTACTTTTTAGCTTGAAATTTTACATTTGAAATAATTTATAATCAAGAAGTGAGTGTGAAGACAGACCGAGATTTGATTTACGTGTTTAGACTCCACTCTAAAAAGCTGTAGCATCAGTTACATGCATTCTTACAGGCTATGTTGCCATTACAGCTTATTAACTATAACACAAATTGTGACATATTCACCATAAAAGGGCACGTGTACAAAACAATTTGGGTTAAAATCAGGTGCTTGGAATGGCAGCGACGTGTCTGCCTTCCCTGGACCCTTCCTCACCAAACTTTCATTCTTGCTCAAGGATGTTCTTTCACTTTGGCCCTTAAATGGTTTCTCACTGCTTCCTAATTCTATCTTTTCCAGTGAGACATGAGAATAATCGAAGGCATGGATTATCATCGATATGCCTTTTATGCCACTTCCATTCATTCAACAGATATCATTGTCAGACCCAGCATTTGTGTCTCCTCAAATTCTCTTGTCCACAACTCATGACCCAGGACCTTGGACTACTTCCTGACCCTCATAATTCCCATGGTCACATGGGTTTTGCGGGCAATGTTGTCCAGCCATCTGGGACAGACGCATCCAGTAGATAGGCCTTGAACTTCAGGGTTTGCAGTCTGGCTTCCTCAAGTGATGAAACCCAGAAGTAAAGAAGTGTTAATTTCATGCCGGGAGCCTTTTGACCTATGGGAGAAGTAGACAGGGGATGGGGAGTCTACTAGTTCATTCTCACACTGCTATAAAGATACTACCTGAGACTGGGTATTTTATAAAGAAAGGAGGTTTAATTGACTCACAGTTCTTTATGGCTGGGAGTCCTCAGGAAACTTACAATCGTGGCAGAAGGTGAAGGGGAACCAAGGCATGTCTTACATGGTGGCAGGAGAGAGAGAGAAGGGGAAAGCGCCAGACACTTATCAAACCACCAGATCTTGTGAGAACTCCCTCACTGTCACGAGAACAGCATGAGAGAAACCACCCCTATGATCCAATCACCTACCACCAGGTCCCTCCCTAGACACATGGGGATTACAATTTGAGATGGGATTTGGGTGGGAACACAGAGCCAAACCATATTAGAGGAAGAAGTTCCTCTCCATTGCTCCATTCAGCAGATTACTCTGTGCATAGCTTTTCCATACAAGCTGTCCCGTGACATCCACCTGTCTTCGAGAGTCACCTGTCAAGTGATGGCCCGGTAGCTGAGCATTCACTGAAAGCAGGCCAGAGGTGTAATACATCACCTTGTTTTTGCTTACCACTTACCTCTAATTTAATTCTCTCTTCCCTCACTCTTGCTGCCCTGGGATTTCACTTTTCTGTGAAACATTGGCACTCATGCCTTGCTTCAATCATTTTCTAGGGAATCTAAGCTAAAACAAGAATGTACATATGTTGCAGGAGCTGTAAGCGTTGGGGTAAATGGGTCAACAAGAAAGGCAGGACCTGTGCTTTGATGAACCCTACATCTCTGAGGGTAGACAACAGACTTTCTTGAGTGAATGCAAGCTGGCATGTATTACAGCTAATGCAAAGGGATAGCTGATTTTAAGTAGCTGAAGAGAAATTAAGAAACAAAAGAGAGTGTCAGGTTTCTAGTATTTTGACAACTGATTTTCAGCATCAAGTAATCAGGTTATGTAGTGAGGTGATTGATGGGGCCAAGGAAACCACAGCAGGCTCCTGACTGGCATCCTACAAGGGAGGAGGCTGCATGTCTCACTGTGGCTGCGGGAAGATGCCCTGGGGCGATCCACCTCCAAGTGGGACTTATAGGCAAATTTTTGAGCTAACTCAGAGGTTATTTGGAAAGCTGAGATGGAGCTATCTGTGCCCCTCCCCCACTCCTATAACATGCACACACGTGCACAGACACACCCAAGCACACACACAACACAGGCGCTTGATGTCATGTATTCATCCAGTGCTATGGGAGGCCTGTCGACCACTGCACCACAAGTCATCTTCACGGCCGCAATCTTTTGTACACAGAGTAGCCAGGGAAAGGGGGCTGCATACTGGATGGAGCTTCAAGTTCCAGGCCACCCTCAGCCTACTGAGAATAGAGGGCTTGGATCACCAGGGCATTTATCTGCGGGCACACGGAGGACCTGTCCTCGTGGCCTTGGCTAGCTAAGCCAGCTTCTCATCCATCAACAGCATGCAGGAGCACTCCAGGGCCTTCTCACCCAGTACACAACTCAGTATCAGCACCCACAACTACAGAAGCTTGTTTCCAGGGATGCTTGGGTGGGGGTGGAGAGACAGAAAGCTTCAGTAATTTCTCCACCGTTGACAAACACACAACTTGAACTCATTTCAGACCCTGCCTAGCAGTACCCTCCTGTGATATTGCAGTCCAAAAGCCCTGCTCTACCCAGAGAAACCACTAGGCAGGTGAGCTCGCAGGAGCAACTACTGATTTACCAATTAGCATGACTGTGCAGACCTAACAAATGATGAGGTAGAAATGCCTGCATGGTAAGGTCTTAACCTTTTAGGTTGACATTAAATTGGAAGAAACTGCTCGCGTTAGAAATAATTACTGCTGATAATGAATACAATTAAGCATAAAAGAATCTTTATAACTCTGGTACCATTTGTGCACTTAGAAATCGGCTCATATTTTTCCCTTCACAGATGTTACAATAATGGTGTCAACACTTTTATTTCTTTGTCCATAAGCTGAAAATTATGGCTGTTTCATAAATTGCTAACGTGCTCAGAAGATGGAGGCCCAGCTGCAGGGCACATGAGTTCAGACTTCTGCTAGAGCCTCATGTTTCACAATGACCTCAGTTTCCTGTGCTGAATGGGAACCGATGCGAGTAAGTACTTGTAAAACTGTTTTTGAAGAGTGAAGTTATGAAGAGGTGCTGCGTGTCAAACATCTGCTTCATCCATTACACTCAGCTAGGAGCTGGGAATGTACAGTAGGGGCAAGACGCATCAATAAATTAAAATTCTCCTGTGAGCACACTTTCTAAGTGTGTGCCAATTTGAGCCATGAAAAAAAAAAGATGCTAAACAAGAAAAGGGAAGTTTTTTTGCTCACTTTACCAGAGCTGGCTTGGGTGGCAATCACTATAATCTGAGTTTCTTTATGTAACTGATGGGTTTCTTTGTCAACTCATATGCAGCATTCCATGGTTGATGTGTATAATTTAGAGGCTACATAAAACAACGAGGCTCCCATTCCTTTGAAAAGCCATGTTCATTTTCCTCAACGATATAATCTTTAGAATACTTTGATGATATAATCCTCAAAAGACTAGAAAGATGGAAGAAAATAAAGTGTCATTCTAGCTAAGTGTGTAGGTTACAGATGGCATAAATACTCCAATGGTTATTTATTGTCTGGAATTCAATACTGTTAATTATGTTAGGTTACGTCACCGTACCTGGAACAGGAAATTTCTCAAAACTGATGCATCCATTAGTGAAAGAACAATATGTAGAAACGCAATGGGGTTTTGAAGTTTTTAAGTGAGTTGCTGCAGGTTCCTCCTCTAAATAAGTGGCTTAGGTAGAGGGCATTCCCCACCCCTTCTCACACACATGCGCAACCACCGCGGCGGATCTGAAGCCAGGCACGTCCACGTGGCAGGACGACGGAGTCAGGAAATTAGAAATGGAATGCTCAGTAATCCTCGCAGCCTTTCCCCTTGTCCCGGCATCTTCCCCTTCACATCATATATCAGAGACAGTGCAGATTGTTTATAACCCCACATCATTCCTGGTACCAGAGGCCAGGTCTCTGTGCTGGGTGCGGTTTGGCCCAGCAATGCGAACCACGTGCAAGGCTGCGTGTGCAGCCAGGAGCAGACAGGGATTGTGCAGCTTCCAACTGGGAATTCAGAGTGTGACCTGCAGGATCACACCTAAGCTCCGTCTGGGACAGGCCAGGTGCCTGGCCCATCCTTGCTAGAGTGTGCAGAGAGGATGAAAGACACAGTCACACCTCCTCCTGGGTGGCACTTGGGGCACTCCTATCCTAGAGCACCCACCACCCTCAACCCACAATCCCGGGAAAAGTAACTATAAATACTTCATGGGCCAAAGGCTCTGGGTATTTGCTGAATTTCCCCTAAATTAATGAGTGACTGTGGATAAATTATGTCTCTTCACCTCAGTTTCTCTTACGTACAAAATGAGTCACGTAATGCTGCTCAACAAGAACAGAATTCAGTCTTTGCATCCCCTTTTAAAAATTCTGATACTAATCTGAGATGATAAATTAGAAAGCTTATTCATATTATGCAAAATTATTCAAAACAGATGGTGAAGTCATTTTAAAGGCTACTTTTTTTTTCTATTTCTAAGAACAAATGCTGTTACAGAGAAGGCAAAAGAGTTGATTTTTAATCTGTTTGCCCTTTGAAATGACCACCCACAACCTCCCTCCAATTACCTGTGCCCTCTGATTGGGATCCTGGGAGCTGGCTTTATGAGTTAGAGGCTGTTTGCATTGTCACCAGACTATGCGAAAGCCACTGCTGGCCCACGTGCCTTTCTAGTTTCTAATTGGCTTGTTAAGCAAAGTGAGTGTTCAATAAATATTTGGCTTCAAAGTCATTGTTCTTAACCACCACACTCAAGTGAGGTTTGCTTATTCAGGCAAACCTGGATTTGAACCTCAACTCTACGATTTACTAGCTGGGTGACCTGGTCAAGCAAAGTAGACCATCCTCACACCTCATATTCTTCATCCCTAAAACAAGGGTAATTGTGCCTAGAGGGCTGTTGGGAGGATGAATGAGTCAATGCAGAGTTATTAGCACGGTGCCTGGAATGTACGAGGCAGTACCTGTTACTATTACTGTTATTATTAATGTTTTAATGATGAAATAATAAAAGGTTTCCTGCCAGTTTCTCACTCTCTTCTTTATCCACCTAACTTGGTTTAATTATAGTTAAACCAGTTTGCCACAAATAAAGACAGATATGAAGCTTACCCAATGAGAGCTGTGCGGTGCTGTGATTTTATCTGAGTCACTGCTATGTGTTATTATTAATTACTCTAAAGTGATTAATATCAGGTTCATTAGCAGCATTCCATTTAACCAGTAGTTATTGAAGTTTTCATGCACAGAGCAAAAGCTACAAACACAACACTTCATAAGGAAAGTTGGATGAATTCTTATGAATTAACAAGGAAGAAAACGTACAAGCAAGCTGAATTGAGTCAATTTCTTCCAAAGTTGTGAAGGTGCAGAAAAAAACTAGAATAGCCAGAGATGCTCAAAAAGTGACTGGATAATTCCTGATGTTGGCCCACATGAAACCCTGTGCCTCTGCTGTGACATTCATTGGAATCCCACACACATCCAAAGATTCTCATATAGAAAATCCAAGTGTCTCCACCCCCCAAAGAACTATAAGTACACACGTATGTTTATTGCAGCACTATTCACAATAGCAAAGTCTTGGAACCAAGCCAAATGTCCAACAATGATAGACTGGATTAAGAAAATGTGGCACCTATACACCATGGAATACTATGCAGCCATAAAAAATAATGAGTTCATGTCCTTTGTAGGGACATGGATGAAGCTGGAAACCATCATTCTCAGCAAGCTATCGCAAGGACAAAAAACCAAACACCACATGTTCTCACTCATAGGTGGGAATTGAACAATGAGAACACATGGACACAGGAAGGGGAACATCACACACTGGTGCCTGTTGTGGGGTGGGGGGAGGAGGGAGGGATAGCATTAGGAGATATACCTAATGTTAAATGATGAGTTAGTGGGTGCAGCACACCAACATGGCACGTGTATACATATGTAACTAACCTGCACGTTCTGCACATGTACCCTAAGACTTAAAGTATTAAAAAAAAAAGAACTATAAGCTCCTGGGAAGGCAGCATAAATGGGTACTTTTTAATTATACTGTGAAGTCTAAATCTCTAACCATAATTGTGAATTTGTTCATTTTCCTTTAAGTTTTGACTGGTTTTGTTTATGTATTTTTTAGCTCTGTTATTAAGCTCATACACATTTTTTAAAGTTATGTCTCCTTGATGAAGTCACCTCTTTATTATTGTTTAATGCCTATATTTGTCTCTGGTAATATTCCACACCGAAGTCTACTTTGTCTGATATTAATATAGCCACTCCAGCTTTGTTTTAAAAATTAGTGTTTCTTGGTGTATCTTTTTTCATTCTTTTACTTTTAACTGATATGTGTCTTATTTAAAGTAGGTTTCTTGCAGATAGGATATTACTACGTCTTGCTTTTATGTCTAATCTGATTATATCTTTTACTTAGGGTGTGTAAATCTTTATGTTTAATGTAATTTCTGATGCGGTTGGGTTTCAATATATCATGCTGCTATTGGTTTTCTGCTTGTCCCACCTATCCGTGTTCCTCTTTTCTCATATCCTGTCTGTTTTGGATTAATTGCTTTCATATTTTTATTTTATCATCACAGTTGGCTTATGAGTTATACTACTTTTTTACTTTTTATGATTGTTCTAGGATTTGTAATATACATCTTTAACTTCTCAAAGTCATCTTCAAATACTACTATGCCACTTTAAGTATTGTATGCTAACCTTCTAACAGTAAGCTTCCATCTCCTCTGTCCCCTCCTTTTGTTGTCATACATTTTATTCTACATGTTATAAAGCCACAAAATATTTTTACTGTTTTTTCTTTAAACATTCAAATATTCTTAAAATAAAATAAAATTTAAAATTATTTTATATTTACCACCATTTTAAAATTTCTGGAGGTCTGCATTCCTTTGCCTAGAACCAAATTTCCAATTGGTATCATCCTGCTTCTATCTGAAGAACTTCCTTTAATGCTTTTTGTCATGCAGCTTTGACAATGAATTGGCTTAGCTTTTGCTTGTATGAAAGAGTCTTTGTTTTACCTTCCTTTTAAAAGATATCTTCTCTGGCTATAAAATTTTCATTTGGCATATTTTCTCCAGTACACTAAAGGTGTCACTCTATTATTTTCTGGCTTTCAAAGTGTCTGACAAGAAGTTTCCTGTACTTCTTGTCTTTGTTTCTCTGTATATAACATTTTCTTTCTGCGGCTGACTTCAGGATTTTCTCCTTGTTTTTTCTCGTGGTTTGAACTGGCCTGGGTTGAAGTGTGTGTGCGCACGCCTGTGTGTATGTGTGTGTGTGTTGTTTAATCTACACTTCTCAAAGTTCTTAGCTTCTTGGTTTTCTGGTTGGCTGTCTTGCATTAATTTCAGAAAATGCTTATTTTCTCTTCTGTGTTTTTTCTGCGTCTTTCCCTCATTCCTCCTTCTGGAACTATATTTGCAAGTATATTAGACCATCTGATACTGTCTCATATCTCTTGGGTATTCTGCTCCATATGTCCCACTTCCACTCTTTTTCCTTTTTGTTTTATAGATTGGGTAATTTCAATATATTTAGCTTCAAATTTACTATTTTTTCTTGCCTTGTCTAGTCTGCTAACGTGTCAATTGAAGGAATTCTTCATCTGTGATACTGTATTTTCTATTGCCAGCATTTCCATTTGGCTCTATTTTATAGTCTCCATCAGTTATCTGGGGTTCCTTCGTTTCCTTATGCAAAATGTTCACTTTTCCAATAGATCCTTTAACATATTGATTAGTTATTTTGAAGTCACACTCTGTTAGTTTTAACAGTTGAATCATCTCTGGTTCTGTTTCTGTTGACTATCTTACTCTTGAAAGCTTTTTTCCCCTTTGCTTTTGGGTGCACCCGTGCACACGTGTGTGTGTGTGTGTGTAATAGTTTTTGATTGACTGAAGGACATCATGGGTAGAAGTATAGTGGATACTGAGGCAAAGAGCATTTGTACTGTAAATGGGCTTGCTTCTTCCTATTCCAGGTCATTATTTTGTAATGTTGGGTCTACCTAGGTGTTAGCTGAGTTGTGTTTGGATTTTGTTGTTGCTACAGTTATATTTAGTGTACCACAGACTTAAAATTCCTCCAGCTACGAGCTGCTGCTGGCTTGCCTAGGCTGCTAGGTGGTCTTTTAATGTTATTGCTTCATCTTAAGCTGTCAACAGACCTTGCACGGATATGAACAGTGGGGTCTCTCTCTATGATGTGTACTCTCCACTGCTTGACTACTTTCTTCTGCTTGGTGCAAGGCTCAGGGTGGGATTGGGAGACAATTCTCAGCAATGTTGGCCTAGCCACAACCCTAGGCAGGCGTTGCGTGTCTGTAAACGAGGTGGAGTTTTCTTAGTTTTCTCATCCCTTAATAGTGTACCAGATTTTGCCATACATGTATAAGAGAGAGTTTGGTGGGAGAGTTTCCTGTTTCTCTCCCAGGAACAGACTTCAAAGCTCTTGTTTGAGGCAGGGAATATTTTCTGGTTCTTCGTCAGGAAGAGGTAGGTTTTGTTTCTACCTATTCTACAGAGGAAGTGGATGTTCACTTGTGTCCTGGGGTTGGGAGGAGGGTTCCTGGCCCTTCCCCGGTGGTTTAAGCCTTTTCCTTAATGTGAAAGAAGATTCTAGGAAGCAGGGTTTTGTGCATATATGTCAATGGGGGAATTTCATAAATCTGCTGTCTGCCCCAGCTTTTCTTGTAAGCACCTAGTGGTGGCCTGAGAAAAGGAGCCTGTGAATGATTGTGGATGCTCCCTCTGTGTGTGGGGCACCCAGGGAACCCATTTATGCCTAGTGTTCCATTATTGGAATGCTAAGCTTGTGGGAGTTATTTATATCCTACTGCTCAAAGTCATCGCTATGGTCTGATCTTTCACACACACAAAAATGTGCAGCCTCCAACATAAATGGGTTAAAATTCTCATTGAATCCCATACTCAGCCTTTAAGAGTTTGTTAGAACTTCAGTTTTTTTCTTTTTACTTGTTCTCATGGTTTCTGCTTCCTTTCCCCACATCCTGCCAAAAGTGAAGCCATTAATGTGTCTTATATCTCCTAGAAGAGGCTTATCAGATTTCAGTTTACCTTGCTGCCTTATGATCTCAGCTCAAGAAAATGTAAGATTTATAGATTATCCAACATTTTTGTTTCTTATTGTAGGGTGGGAGCAATGTTATTGTGAGGATTTCTATATCCTAAATGGAAGCCAAGCTCAGAGGTGGAGGAAATTAGTAAAATGATTTCTGAAGCCTTTTCTGAAGCTCGGAAGGGAAAGAATGGCAATGACTTGGTTGGAGGCTTGAAGTCATGCCTTATGTAGATGACTTCTGTTTTGTCTTTTCTGTGCTTCTCCAAACCCAGCTTCTTCTTTGCCCTTGTATTTACTATGCCTTTCCTTCCCAGGGTCCTTCAGAGATGGGAGGGTGTTAGTAGAAATGGTGTCCCCAGGCAAATCAACAGCAGTAGAGTGAGATTTTCAATAGTTTTTATTTCAAATTAGAAAATTCA
Source organism: Homo sapiens (assembly GCF_000001405.40). Lineage (NCBI taxonomy): Eukaryota > Metazoa > Chordata > Mammalia > Primates > Hominidae > Homo > Homo sapiens. The sequence continues at coordinate 128,901,742 of NC_000010.11, read as the reverse complement.
AATTCTATGCTATAAATTCTTGTCAACTGTTTTTTTTTTTTTTTTTTGATGGTGGTACTTGCTTTGTTGTTGACTTGAGTGGAACAAATATTTGGCTTGGCTTTTGGATGAAACAGAGAATTGTCATAAAATTTACTCTATTAATTTACTAAAAGAACTGAAAGATTTGCTTAACAAACACATGGTGGTTTTCAATGTTGTTATTATTCCAGAAAATAGACCAGTAATAGCATTACACAATAGTTGTTGGATAATTATTTGCAGATAAACCATCTTTCCATCTCTGGAAGACATTATTATACTCAGAAAAATTTTGAACTATTTGTACTTACTGTTTGTGTAAGTTTTGTGCTTTCTGTTACATTATTTCACATCAGCAAGATGGAAAAACACAGAGAGATAGAAATGAAAATTAGAGCTTCCATGAGTAGACTGAAAGGAATCCAGTTTCCCTCAAAGATTGGTGAAATAGTCCTACCAGACACCCATGTAGTAAAATTACCATTAATCTCACTGTTAAGAGAATTTAGCTGATCCAGTTGGTCTTCTAGCAGTGACATCTCATTGGAAATTTCGGAGAAGTTGGAGGTGGGATCACATGTGTAGATAAAGGTTGGAATATATGCATATTTAAATTTAACAGTGAATACTTTAACATTTTAATGGTAAAGGTATTATTGAAGGTATTCAACACAGACACGCCAATGGTAACAATGGCATGGACGGTATTGCCCTGTCTGAGCTGAGGTGGTGGAGAGTACACCAGCCCACCTCAGAGCTTGATGATAACTCTGTCAAGTCCCTCCTCCTACCATGGATCTCACCTCATCATCCCCTCCTTCAATTGTTTTTTGTCCTTGGTTCCCCATCCAGATCAGCGACACCTCTGTCCTTCAGGCCCCAACCAGGAGGCTGAGAGGTGTCTCCTGCTCTTATTTACCTCACTCCTCAACAGTGGCCAGTCCCTTCTCCGATCCCTCTCCTCTCCAGCCCACAGTGCAGCCCGCCTTCGGATTGGTCTCCTTTCCTGAAGTCTGAGACCTTTCCTGACTGCAAAGCTGATCATGATGCTTCTTACAGAATTCTTTGGTATTCCCCCTTGATTACAAGATGGGGTCCAAATTCCTTCTTCTGGCATAAATGGGCTCTGTGACCCATCCCTGAGCACCTCCCTAAACTCTCCCTTGCCCCTCTCCCTCACCCCAGCTAGGCCCAGCTGCAGGAATTCCTCAGCATCGGACCTACTGCCCCTAGGCTGCTCTCACTCCTTTAACCTGGATGAAGTAAACAGAGTAATACAATGATCAATCTGCATTGAGTAATCTAAGATGCCACTGGAAATACTAGAATAATTCCGAGGAATAACTGGGGTCTGGAGAGGGAAATGTGGGATTGGCGGGTAGGTCAAGCATGGCTGAAAGTCTTGAAAAGACTGAGATGGCCCAGGCACATTTCATAGAGGAAGGGAGCAGAGCAGATGGAGTTAAAGGAGTGAGAGCAGCCCATGGGCAGCAGGAATTCCTCCCTCCAGGGATCAGCTCAACTTTTCCTTCCTCTGGGAAGCCCTCCCTCTTTTCTTCTCTTTATCTCTCATCTTGTATCCTTAAAAATCTCTCCTGTGAGTCACCAAAGTAATCAGCAAATGCTCACCTTCACCAATGGCCCATAAAAATTGATTGCATTTATTGATTTGAGGTCTGTGATCTCAGCCTGGCATGTACACACCCTTTGTCCCTTTGTCGGGGATGGGCAAGTAGGGCTGGGGACAGGGCCTGTATCTTATTGCATTTTATATTCATACCTTGTCGTATACTTCATGCACATAAAGTCAGAAGGTAAGTCTATTAAATGAATGTAGATTGCCTGAAGAAATGCATTTTTCTGAGATGCCGTCTTGTGCTTTTGAGTAGCAGAGGGCAGAGAAGTGGCACTTTGCAAGGTCTTGGATGAGTCCAGAAGCAGATGGGGTATACATAAGCCAGTTGGAGCTTTTACCCAGCATTGCAGGGGCAGGGTGAAAACCAGTAGTTAGGATTTGAGAGTCCTTGGAGTGAAATGCGCTGCTACTATCCCTAAGCCCCTCTTGACCTCATCTGCTCTGCTCCCTTCCTTTATGAAATGTGCCTGGGCCATCTCAGTCTTTTCAAGACTTTAAGCCATGCTTAACCTACCCACCAATTTCACATTTCTTACTCCATACCCCCAGTTCTTCCTCAATCATTCTAGTATTTCCAGTGGCATCCTAGATTACTCAATGCCGATTGATCATTGTATTAGTCTGTTCTTACACTGCTGTAAAGACATACCTAAGACTAGGCAATTTATAAAGCAAAAAGGCATAATCAGCTCACGGTTCTGTGGGCTGTACAGGCTTCTGCTTCTGGGATAGCCTCAGGAAACATATATGGTGGCAGGTGAAGGGGGAGCAAGTACATCTTCACATGGCTGGCAGGAGAGAGAGAGCAAAGGGGAAGGTGCCACACACTTTACAACAACCAGATCTCCTGAGACCTCTACCATGAGAATAGCAAGTGAGAAATCCATCCCCATGATTCAATCACCTCCTACCAGGTCCCTCCTCTAACACCAGGAATTACAATTTGACATGAGATTTGTGTGGGGATGCAGAACCAAACCATATCAATCATACAGGTGCCTTGACTCAGAACATCCCAAACTTAAGTCATTTTCTCTTCTATTCTCATCTCTTTCCTCAGATGCTTTCCCCACACTTTTTGCCTGTGGGCGGATGCCATCATCACTAACTTTCTGATATCTTCTAGGCCTCTCAGACAAAACAGACTCTTGTCTTTAAGATACTGTCTTCATCAACTGGTGCCCAAGTTATGCCTACCACCTGAGAAGCCTCGCGGATCTCTCCCGTCCTTGCTGGAATGTTGCAATATCTTCCTAGCAGGCACCCTCACAACTGCTCCTCCCATGTCTTGGGCCACCTTCCAACCTTCCCACAGCACCATGCAAGATACATAAGATTCAGCCTCTTTGTTGTGGCCTGTGAGGCCCTTCACAGGAGGCCTCATAGGATTTGTTTTCCTCTCCTCTGCACAGTAGACCCTGAGCTGCAGCCTGGAAGGACCCTTTGTTTCTTCTGAGCACAGCGCAAGCTGCCAGGACCTGTTCCCTGCACTTGCTGCAGTGTTCATGTTCCTGGAACACTTTCTTCTCATTTCTCTGCCCTGAAAACTCTGACCTAGTATTTAATATCCTGTCAGAATATCTCCCCTCACATTGATGTCTTCTCTGACTTCCCCCATCCAAGTCAGTGCTTTCCTCCTCTAGGTGCCAGGTAACTTGAGCAAATACCTCCGGTGAGAATTTATCACACAGGATTGCAATTTCTCTTGCTGGCTCAGGAGGTGCCTGGAGACAGGGAGTGTGTCTTGCTCACCTAGGTGCTTTTAGTGCCCTGCGCACAGCCTGAAAATCACAGGTACTCAAATATCGGAACTCAAGTGTGGATTAGAAAGATCAGAGCCCTGCGGGGTTGGCGGCTGCAGAGAGAAAGAGGGGCTGGCGGTTAGAAGAGAAAGTGCAAGAACAGATGAGGCAGAACTTGAATAGTGGTGTTTATTTGTTTTTGATACTAACTTTGGGAGAAGGGGTGAAAAAGAAAACATGGTCCTTAACTATTTGCCTCTTTCTAGTATTCCTCTTCCTGGAACAGGAGCCAAGACATATTTAGAGGGGTCTAAAGTTTCTTGGTAAAGTTTACGATTCTAGCACAAATCGAGAAGTTGTGTGTATTGCATGCATTTCTTTTTTCTGGCACATGGCTTAATCGTTACACTCTGTGAGTCCTCAAGGACCCTCGCAGTTTCAACATTTTGCGAAATATTCTCAAGTAAGTCATTGAAATAGGAAAGTCCAGGACAAGATGCCGCTTTTCAAGGTGTAAAGGAATCCATACAAATGCGTCCTGCATCCATTATGCCTGGACCGCTCCCTACGCACCCGCTGCTGGCTGATAAACTCCATTCATGGCACCAGAATCAGGTGGGGAAGGAAGGCAGAGCCAAGTGGGGCAGGCTGTGGGGCTGGAATCAAAGTCAGCAGCAGAAGAAAGATCTGAAAAGAATGACATTCCAGCTCATCATTTCCTTTCCTTTCAGGCTTTATGGCACCTTGGAAGAAACAAAAGCTTTACAGAGAAAAGGCTGGCTTGGCAGAGGGACCGGCTCCCTCCTCAAATTACGGTTCTATGTTCTGGTGCTTTGCTTTTTTTAAGCAGACAAAACACTTAAAGATGCTATATTGAAGCTTCCTCTCTACTTTTCTCTCCTCCTCCATTTCTTTAATAATTCTGGAAAAATGAGTAGTTACAAAATTATAAATGCAATTTGCTTTGCTTGGTGCTTCATTAGGCCCTCCCTCCCTCCTCTTCCTCTTCCTCCCCCCTCACTGGCTCTCTCTCTCTCTCTCTCTCTGTCTCTCTCTCTCTCCCTCTCCACCCACCTTTATCCCTGATGTAATGTCTCTGAGTTTTTCTGGCTCCAGCTGTCCTCTCCTTGAAGCAGAAAGAAAGTGTGTGTGGGGGGGAGTTTGGGAAGATAATCTCGATGTTATTCATAAGGCCACATTTCGTTCCAGAAGCTTTGTTGGATCCACAGTCGTGCAAACCTTCCACTCTTTCCCTCTCTTGGAGGATCAAATTTACAGTTCTCTTCTGGCTGTTCTTCATGGTGAGATATTTGAAATCCACAGGCAGACCCAGCCAAGTGGGCAGAAAGTTTAGAATTCTAAAACACAGAGGAATTAAGTCAGGGACCAGTGTATCTAATTTGCTGATTTACTCAACTTGACCTCAATGAATTTCTGTGTAAACACAATTCATAAAGAAGCCTTTGAATAATTCTATTAAATAAAATGCCGGGGTTTTATTTCCCATTTTATGACATTTTCTGAACACTGTGTATTCCAATCATATTGAAACATTTTGTTTTCAGGCTCTGTAGAAAGTGCTGATGGTTGAACCTCAAAAGAATTGAAGGGTTAGTTCATAAATGAATAAAAAGCCAACGGCATTTATCCAAAGATTGTTTAACTATCCTAACCTCATGGGCCTGTAAAAATTCAACTGAAAATCATTGAGAAGAGCTTCTCCCATGAGATTCCTTGGCACTTTCTGCTTCCGCTTGGATCAGAAATACCATGAGAGTATTTTTTTTTTCCTTGCAACATTTCAACACTCCTAGTTTCATTTGCAGATGGAGAAGAGCAAAGGCAAAGGCAAAGAAATCGGAGAAAAACATGGTTGAACTTTTCTTAACCCAGAAGTTATTGCAGCTTTTACATGAAATTTCAAGCCAGAACTTCCATGGGCGAGGCCGACTGCCTATGCCTAGGAAAGCTCCCCGGACAGGAGTCTCCTCCACTGAGGTTCTGGTGGAAGGTGGCCATTTCAAATGATGTCCAGGAAATCTGACATTGGGGCTCAGGCTCTGGCCTCAGCACCCCATTAATTAGTCTAACGTTCATGGGTGTGACAGAGGCAGAAAATAAATCGTGTCTTTCAGTAGACCAGTGTTCTGCTGCTCTTGGAATAGCATTTTTCATGGCGGTTTTGGGGAAGGAGATGTGTGGGAAGACCCATTGCAAAAATAGCTACAGTCCTTAAACCCATAGAGTTGGAAAGCAGATTAGTGTTTGTCTTGGACTGGGGGTATGGGGGAAATTGGAGGGAAATAGGAAGTGATTGCTAATGGGTATGGAGTTTCTTTCTGGGGTTAAGAAAATATTCTAAAATTGATTGTGGTGATGGATGCACAACTCTGTGAATATACCAAAAACCATTAAATTGTACCCTTTAAATGGGGGAATTCTATGGTATGTGAATTATATCCCAATTTAAGCTGTTACATTGAAAAGAAAATAACCACAATCCTTCAGTCTTTCTGTATCTGTGCCTTTGCATTGTGACTTTGCAGTTCTTCCCATCTCTTTCCCCACCTGTTGACTCTGGGACACCTGATGACTTTTGTTGGCCCATGGGGTATGGCCAAAGTGACCATATGCCAGTTTGGAACCTTAGTTCTTCAGAGGCCTTGCATGCTCCTGCTAGCTCTCTTATTTTGCTGTCTTTACTCTGAAAACTAGCCTGGGCTAGCCTGCTGGAAGATGAGAGACCTGTGTAGCAAAGCTGAGTCATCCCAGCTATGTCCACCATAGCCCACCTGTTAGTTGCCTTCAGATACAAGAGAAAAAATGGTTGCTGTTTTATGCTAAGCACTGGGGCTATTCTTTCTGCAGCAATGGCTGACTGATACATATGGCAATCTCTCTGAGATTCTAGAAATGTAGGAGAAGAGTATGCACAGCTTACTCTGGTTACCCACAAGGCCAATAATTTTGCTCATATTTTCAGTCTCTGACCAGAACTTTCCAATGCTTTCATTTTTCCTATGAAACCTTCTTTCCTCTCCATAGTAGTAGTAGTAAAATTCTTGGTTAGCTAAGAGCCAGTGAATGTTATACATTTGCCTCATAAGGCTTGAGCATTACACTATTTCAGGACCTTCTTGAACATGGTGAGTGGGGAGGAGCACCTGGCCTTCTCTATTAACCTGAGAGGGGCTGTGAAGCAGCTTCATCCTGTGAGTAGGACCAGCTGTTATTTGTCACACATGTGTCACACCTATAGAATCCTGAAGTGTCTGATGAGGCTCACTCTTGGATACAGCGGGGAAACAAGCTTGCTTAAATATAAATAGGGTTAGAGATCCCCACAAGGAAAATGTTTTGCAAAAGGCCCTGGGGAGGCTGGGAGAGTAGAGGAGGAGGCTGCCCTCAGGGATGCTGTGTCCTGGCAGGAGCGGGGCCTTGGAACAGATGGGGATGGGAAAGCCAGCATCTACCCAGAGAAACTGGAGTGTGCTTCCCTGGGCACTAGGGTGTGAGGTGTGCTTCTAAGGAGCTAAATGCCCTTCACATTTTTAGCTTTTGTGGGGAGCAAAGTGGAAATGATGTGAGCCAAGGTCCAGGGACAGGTAACAGAGGAACACACATAAGTATGAGATGTCCCACATCAACAGTGCCCCATGGGACCTTCTGCCATGGTGTCTGGCTACTGAGTCCTGGGAGTGTGGCTGGTGTGACTGAGGAACCGAATTTTCAATGTTATTTACTTTGAACTAATTTGAACTTAAGCTTAAATAGCCACATAAGACCAATGATTGGCAGAAGGGACAGCGCAGCCCTATGCAGTGTGTATAGATGCCCATACTTCTATTGTTACAATGCAAATTGTAAAGCCATTATTTTTTCAGATAAACACTGGGCAACAATTTAGTTATGACAAGCTTTCATATCCTTAACCTCTCAAATTTATTTAATCTGGAATAGATAACCTTCCTCCTTTTCAGTGAGAACCTGCAATCCACATGTTCAACAAATATATATCTTTATTTAATGCCCAATGTGTGTAACGAACCCTGCTTGGTAAAATCAAACTAAAGCAAAAGAAAACAGTCTTGCAGTCTCTTTGACGGAGCTCAGCTGTTCACTGCTTAAACAAATACAAGGGTGGCTTTGACAACATTTTGGAATAAAATTATCTAAATTTGAAAAGTATAAATTTACAACAATGAGTAAATCGTGCATTTAGAGAAGGCTCCTCTTAATTCTATAGGTTGGCAAATTTGATTTCTATTGTTATTGAAGATGATGTAACTGTGGCTTAATAAGAAAAATTATTAAAGGGTTTATGAGCTTTCATTTGTAAAACCCAGGGAGAAAAGGTCAATAAGGATTTCCCCCCTTCTACAAATCTCAAAAGTATTTGAATTTAAAATGAATCTCATTCTACAAGGAAAAATGTAAAATCAGAATGACAGAAATCGCCCCCCCCCCAAAAAAGAGGGAAAAACCTTAATTTATGTTGACTTCATTATTCTCTAGATTAAAAGCAACTTGACATAAAATGAGGACTTTGAGTTCAAACTTTTAAGGAATTCACATATTTGCATCAATTTTTAAAAGGTTTTATAACTAATGAACTTGGATTCCTTTTGGCATGGCATAAAATCCATTTGTACAGTGTTTAATTAAGAATGCAGCCGATGCAATTAAAATTAAGGGTAGAGACTTCATCTGATGTCCTATGAGAACCCCAGTTGAAAAAATTATGGTAATGCTGTGTGTCCTAAAACCTTCTCTGAGTGTCACAAACACGCGGAGAGGAATTACCCCTGCTGCACAATGAGGATTTGTTTAAAGTTGATAATTAGGAACATTTAATTTCGATGTGTTAGGGCCTTGTTTACCACTAATCTCCCTGGCATTTGCTGGGGGCTTGGTAGCCAGCCATAGGATCATGTAAAATTGAGTTCAGAAAGTAGTGACTGGGTCAAACTCACAATCCATAATGCAAATACTGCAGTTTCTACATAGACAGGGGAATTCCTAATGTGGATTTTAATATTTAAAGTTACTAGTGCCATTATTGAGAATATTAAGATGCTTTCATGTTGAACTGATTAAAATTACATTTGGAATAATGAATGACATGCAATGTACAAATACCCACCCGCCCCCACTTTTATTTTTCTTTTTTTAAAGCATGAAAAGTATAAACAACTATAATGGAAAGTCTTCCGAGGTACTGGGGGAGACTCAGAGCCAGGCTGGGAAACCCAGGGCAGCCAAGCCTATGAGGTGTCTGCTAGGAGGCCGTACCCACTGCTTGCCTGGAAGGATCCCCTTGCCCTTGAGAACATTAAAGGGAAGTTCAGCTCTACTGGAACTTTCTTCCTAATCACTGGAAGACTGAAGACGTCTGTGAAAATCAGTCTTTGTTTCTGGCTAGAGAGATCCCCAGGTTGAGTGATTTAGAGCCCTGCTCATTTCTTTAAACATTTAGGGTGAAGTTCCCCAGGTGTGGTGTATGCTGTCCCCCTTGCCAAAGCTGCTTCAGGCCCCTCTCCACACCATCTTAGTTCCATTCTCCCAGGAGAAGGTCACACACGAGGCGGCATTTCTGGCTTTTGTCCTCAGAATACCACGCGCCACCCTCCCCAGGCGGTCCTCACAGGGGGAAGGGTAGTCAAGACCCAAGCCTCGGCAAGGAGCCCAGCCCTTGTACGGGCAGCTCAAGCACCTTCCTTGGGTGTCATGCAAATAGGTTGCCAACTACACCTCAGTTTCCCAGGCCATGCACCGGAAGAGCCTGTGGGCCTCTCCCCTGCCATCCCATGCACCTCTGAGCAGTGGGACAGACTGTGGTCCCTGGGCAAAGGGCTAGGTTAGCCTGGAGGGACTCTGGCATAAGAGATGGAAATGTTGCCTGACGCTCCTTCAGCCTCTCCTTTGCCACCAGAATGACTTTTTCTCCCATATTCACTTTAGATTCAAGGGGTACATGCACAGGTTTGTTACCTAGGTAGACTGCATGATGCTGACGTTTGGGATCCAAGTGATCCCATCACCCAGGTACTGAGCATAGTACCCAGTAGTTAGTTTTTCCTTCCCTTCCACCTCTAGGAGTCCTCAGTGTCTATTGTTCTCAGGTTGATGTCCATGAGTAGCTAAAGTTTAGCTCCCACTTGTAAGTGAGAACATGTGGTATTTGCTTTCCTGTTACTGCACTGACTCACTTAGAATCACGGCCTCCAGCTGCGTGTATGTTACTGCAAAGAACACCGTTTCATTCTTTTTTATGGCTGCATAGTAGAATCATCTTTTAAGAATTATTCATAGATTTGTTTTAGAATAGGTTTAGGTTCACAGAAAAATGATTGGAAAATAAGGAGTTCTCTTACAGTCCCTCAGCCTCCCCCAACCCCCAAGTTTCCCCTGTTATTAACATCTTGCATTAGCATAGGGACATACTTTACAACCAGTGAACCTGTACTGATACATTACCTAAGTCCAAGCTTACTTCTTTGTGTTGTACATTCTGTGGGTTTTGACAAAGGCATAATGGAATGTATCCACCATCACAGCATCATCCAGAATAGTTCCCAGCCCTAAAAATCCCTCGTGCTCCACCTGTGTATTCCTTCCTCCCTTAAAACCAAAAATAAGATCATGTTATTCCCCTGTTTACAGCCATTAAATTCAAATGACCCTCTGGAACCTCCAACCCGCCCCGCTACCACACATGTGCCAATTAATCTGCTCCATTCCTCCTTCATATCTCAGAACTATTAAATAAAGCCCAGACTCCTTAGCTGTGGGCACTAAAAACCTTCATGCTGTGTCTGGGCCCTGCCTCTCTGTCTGGCCCCATCAATCGCCACATCCTTATATCTAATGAAGCGTCCCAGATAAGGGCAGTAACTTCACACTCGGACACACCTGGGCTGGAGCCTACCTCCTCCACTCTGAAGCTGCTTGGCCTTGAAAGAATTAACCCTGTCAACCACACTGAACAAGACGAACCACACTGGGAAAATATTTGCAACAAAAATAGCAAATATATCCTAATGATATGAATAGTTTGTACACGTTTCTTTAATTTGTTTAGCAAGCATTTGTTAAGTGGACTACTAGGTACCAGGACATAACTGCCTAAGCTTTCAGACGTCCTGAGGCAAGATTGTACTCCTTGCCTCAGAAATTCTACATTCCCATTAACACATGGAACTTAATATAGATACACACACACACACACACACACACACACACACACACACACACGCTGCTTTCCAGAAAAGTCATACCAATTTAAGGGCCTACACAGAGAGAACAAAACTACAATGTCATCACAGGAACCAGCACTGGTTTTCATTGTTAAAATATTTGCCAATGTCATAAGCGAGGTAGTGTTTTGTTTTGATTCACATTTATGAGGTTGTATCAGTCTGTTCTCACTCTGCTAATAAAGACATACCCGAGACTGCATAATTTATAAAGAAAAAGAGGTTTAATGGTCTCACAGTTCCACATGGCAGGCGAGGCCTCACAATCATGGCAGAGGGCAAAGGGGAAGCAAAACACATCTTACATGGAGGCAGGCAAGAGAGCATGTGTAGGTGAACTGCCCTTTATAAAACCATCAGATCTCATGAGACTTATTCACTACCATGAGAACAGTATAAGGGAAACTGCCCCCATGATTCGGTTATCTCCACATGGCCCCACCCTTGACACATGGGGATTATTACAATTCAAGGTGAGATTTGGGTGGGGACACAGAGCCAAACCATGTCATAGGTTATAAATGATTTCTCATGATTATTGCCCATTGATATTTCTCCCATGAGTTGCCATTCCGTGTGCATAATACTATCTGCAAATAATGGCCTTTTGACTATTCCTTACATTTAAAAACTCCATTTTATGATCTTATTGCATTGGCTTAGGCCCCAGCACAGTGCTGAAGATCTTGGGGTGTCCTTCCCTTGTTAACTATGAAGAAATGTGTATAATATGTGGCCATTGAGGATCACGCTGGCTCTGCATTTGGGGACGACACACTCTTTCACGAGGTTAAGAAAGTTTCCTTCTATTTCTCTTCAGTTAAGTGTTGTTCATTTTCTTAACATGAGTAGTGATTTTATTCTATGTTTTTCTGAACTCACTGTAATGATCACGTGTAAAATGCCCTTTTCCTGTTAATATGCTAATGTGGTATATGGCATTTATTGACGTGGTGCTGTTTTGGCATTCCTAGAGAAAATCTGAGTTGCATTGATGTTCAATTATTTTCTAGTCTTTTATGACTACATAAAATGAGAATCATCTGTTCTCAGAGATTTGAAAACTTTACCTGTAAGACTATCTTTGCCTCTAATGTTATTTTGAGTATTAAATTCTGACTAACAATTCAATTTATTTAGTGATTATAGGTTTATTTAGACTTTTGGCATTTTATTAATAAGACATTTTTAGTAATATATTGGCAATATTGTCTGGAAACTTGTACATTTTGTTTGACTTTTCAAAGGTACTGACATTAAGCTGTTAAGAATATTTTGGATCTGTAATTAAGCCTCTTTTCATTCTCAATATTCTTATATTGTGCACTTTTCCTATTCTTTTTCTCTTGCTCATACTTGGAGTTTTGTTGTTGTTGTTTTTTCTATTAAATTTTTTTTAAAGAATCATCTTTAGGTCTCTATTTTATTTCAGTTGCTTTTGCCCTTAACATTGCTATTCTTTTCTTCTATTTCCTTTTTATTTACTTCAACATTTTTTTCTTTTAATAAGTGTATTAAAGGCTATAAATTTACCTCCAAATACAGCTTTAGATACACCCTACAAGTATTTGTAGGCACTAATGTCATGGCTTCTCATTTAAAATATTTTATAATTTCATTGCTGCCTTATGATTTCCTCTTTAAACTATGGTTTTTTTAGTAATTCTCTTAGTTTTCAAAATGTGTTATTATTGTTTTTTAATTAAAATGATTGCAATATCTTCTTGAGGGATTGCTCTTGTAATGTAAGGTCTCTTTTAACATCAATATTTATATTTTCTATGTCAATATTACTACAGCAATTTTCTTTCAGTTAATGTTTCTCCAATATGTTTTTCTATCTCTTTTGAAAACATTCTTGATTCATTTGATTCAGGTCTATTTACTAGCAGAAGCATACACTTTTTATTGTTGTTGTTGTTAAACACAGCTGATTTTCTAATTTTAATATATAAGTTCAACTTATTACGTGCACTGCAATAATGGACACATTTAGAACTTTGAACATCTTACATTCTAGACCCTGTTTATCAATATATACCTTTTTGTCTTTTCTCCTATCTTCTCTGAGGGATTTAACAAGTTTTCCATATCCATTGTGTTGTTTTTCTCTGATGGTTTGGAAGTTACAGATTGTATTCCCATTCCAGTGGTTACCTTTTGCTATTTAAATTTTGTTAACAATGATTTTAAATATGTATTGCAGAATCATTCCATATCTATATCTAACCCCCGGACAAGGCTAGCAATTTATCACATTTCAATGCCCAGTTAACTAACTTCCTGCCTCATTCTCATCCTTCTTTTTACTGTTGACTAAGGTTATGTTCACTACAAAACACACATAATTAATTATTATCATTGTCAATAATTAATTAAACTTGCCAATGTATTTTATCAATATTTGTTGCACCCACTTCTTCTTCTGGGTTTGCTTTTATTCTTGCTGAAGTAAGACTCCTAGCAGTTCTTTCAATGAGGGTCTTTGAGTGGTGAATTTTTAACCTCTGTTTATCTGTAAATTTCTTTATTTTTCTTCCACTCCTGAATCATATCTAGCTGGGTACAGAATTCAAGGTTGACAAGTGTTGTGTGGTTTTTTTTTGTTGTTTGTGCAGCACTTTGAGGATAGTCCCCTCTCATATTTAGGCTTGTTTTGTTGCTATTGAGAAGTCTTCTGTCCAATTTTCTTCTCTTGGTGAATAATCTTTCAAAAGATAAACCTTTCTGGAAACTTTTTAGATAATTTGACATCCCTGGTGGTCTGCAGATTTCCTACAGTGTACTGTGTTTTTATGTCCTGATAGATACTAAAACTGTACTTTAAATCACTTTATGCCGTGTGAAGTAATTGAGGATACTGTAGATTCAGTCCTTGCCCTCCCTGAAGGTGAGTTTAGTCCTGGGTACGAGACTATGCCAGATTTTCCTTCCCCTTCAGGCTGTGGCTTCCCAGGAGATGCAGCCACCAACAGTTAGCAGCAGCAGCTTGGCAGCCTCCTTTCATCAGTGGAACCCCTTTCCAGCCCTGGTTCCCAGCAGTGGCCTCTGCAGCCCATGGAGCCTGGTTAGCTGGTCACCAACTGCCTGTCCCCAGCACAGGGGTCTTAAGCCTAAACCCATTTGCCCACTTGCTGTCCCTGTTCCCTTGGGTCCAAGAGGGCATGGGTTATGTTTTTCTGTGTGCCCGTGTCTTTTTGATATTTCCTTCCTTGTATTTTTATCTGTCATTAGCATGTGTTTGTAATGGGGGTGCTGAAATGGTGAAGTAGCAGCATTCTGGTGCAAAATCACAATTTCTAATGACTGCAAAATATTGTTATAATTTAATTCTTATTTACTTAACCATCATTCTCTCAATCTTTTCCATTATAAACAACCATATATTGATTACATTTTATTTAAACTTTTATGTATGCTCTATGATGGTTTCTTACAAGAAGGTATACCACATCAAAAACAACAACATATACATATTTTAAGTAACTTTAGTATACTGTCAGGTTTTTCCTCAAAAAGATACTTGGTGTGAGTTGGGTGTGTGGGTGTGGGTACAAGTGTGGGCACGGATGTGAGTGTGCATATAGGTGTGGGGTGGATGTAGGTATGCATGTGAGTATATGTGTGGGCACAGGTGTGGATTGGGCTACAGGTATAGGCGTGGGTACCGCTGAGGGTTTAGGTACAGGTGGGCACAGATGTGAGTGTACAACTGTGGGTACAGGTGTGGGATGTTGTAGGTGTGGGGTGGATGTAGGTGTGAGTGTGGGTAGAGGTGTGGGGTGGATGTAGGTGTGGGTGTGGGGTGGATGTAGGTGTGAGTGTGGGTAGAGGTGTGGGGTGGATGTAGGTGTGGGTGTGGGGTGGATGTAGGTGTGGGTGTGGGTAGAGGTGTGGGGTGGATGTAGGTGTGGGTGTGGGGTGGATATAGTTGTGGGTGTGGGTAGAGGTGTGGGGTGGATGTAGGTGTGGGTGAGGGTGCAGGTGTGAGCACAGGTGTGGGTCTGGGATACAGTAGGTGTGAGTGTGAACACAGGTATGAGGTGGAGTGCAGGTACAAGTGTGCACACGGTCTTGGGCGTGGGTGGAGGTGTGGGTGTTAGAGGAGCGTGGGTAATCATGAGGGAGTGAGGACACGCTCAATACATCAGCCATGGGAAATTAGAAAGGCATAGCATAGAATTTTCTTAAGTGTTTATTTTCTTTAAAATTTTAATTTTTTCATTAGATCACAAAATAGCACATTATTATAAAATATTTGAAAGGCATAGAAATGCATACAGAAAATACAAAATTGTATTTTGTCCTTTCTTTTGATACTTATGTGCTAGTATCCATGACATACTGTTTTCAGTTCCACATTCATGCCTAGTGATATGTATTTATTGAATTAAAATTTACATTGGAATTTATTTAATAAATGGTAGGCTCTGGGTATTTGGTAATTTGTTTTGCTTTTATTTTTCTCAACATGTTACGATCGTCTTCCCATCATTAAATGTTCTCTGAAAAGAACGTCTACCCACGCTTATTATCCCATTATACGGTGGTTGTCACTTAACCATCGTCTCACTGTTGGATCTTTAAGTCACGTTGTTTTGAGACCCCATACGCTGCACTGACCACACATGGGGTCCCCGTGGGCGCTCTGGCCGTCCTGCGGTGTCTGCCCCATTTATTCACAGCCTGAGCGCCCCTGCATGAGACACTGGGCAGTGCCGGGTGTCGAGCCTGCAGCAAGGCACAGTCAGTCAGGCCTCGGAGTCCGTGGAGAGTGAGGACCGCTGCGGAGCAGTCGGCAGCCACCAAGTGAAGGCACCAAGGGCTGCAAGGTCATATTTGAGAGGAGCTCCAGAAACCAAAGACCGGGTGCCTTAAGCAAGGATGGGGAGCTCAAGCTGGTTGACAGAGCCTGGAGGCTTCACTGTCCACTCCTGGAGCTGCTCATCAGCAGAGCAGAGAAAAGATTAGCAGGAAAAAGGAGGGATGAGTGTGGGCCCGTGTGTGCATGTGTGAATATGTATGTGTGTGCACATCTGTGCACATGTGTGAACATGTGTGTGCCTGTGTGAACATGTGTTCGCCTGTGTGACTATGTGTGTACCTGTGTGAATATGCATGTGTGTGCCTGTGTGTGCCTGTGTGAATATGTGTGTGCCTGTGTGAATATGCATGTGTGTGCCTGTGTGAATATGTATGAATATGTGTGCACCTGTGTGAATGTGTGTGTGACTGTGTGAATATATGTGTGTGTGCCTGTGTGAATGTGTGTGCCTGTGTGCATATGCATGCATGTGCCTGTGTGAATGTGTGTCTGAGTGACTATACCTGTGTGTGCCTGTGTAAATATGTGTGTGTGCCTGTGTAAATATGTGTGTGTGCCTGTGTGCATATGTGTGCGTGCCTGCATGTCCCCGTGTCCATATGTGTGTGCCTGTGTGAACATGTGTCTGCATGTGTGTGCCTGTGTGAATATGTGTGTGCGCATGTGTGTGCCTGTGTGTGCTTGTGTGAATATGTGTGTGTGCATGTGTGTGCCTGTGTGAATGTGTCTGTGTGCATGTGTGTGCCTGTGTGAATGTGTGTCTGTGTGCATATATGTGTGTTCCCGTGCATGCATGTATGAATATGTGTGTCTGTGTGCATATGCGTGTGTGTGCCTGTGTGTGCATATGTGAATGTGTGTCTGCATGTGTATGCCTGTGTGAATGTGTGTGCCTGTCTGTGAATGTATGTGCATATGTGTGCCTTTGTGAATACACCTGTGTGTGCCTGTTTGAATATGCATGTGTGCCTGTATCAATATGTGTGTGAATATGCATGTGTGCCTGTGTGAATATGTGTGTCTGTGTGAATATGCATGTGTGCCTGTGTGAATGTGTGAATATGTGTGCATGTGTGAATGAGTGTGTGCCTGTATGTGCCTGTGTGAATTTGTGTGTGCCTGTATGAATATGCATGTGTGAATACGCATGTGTGCCTGTGTGTGCATGTGTGAATACGTGTGTGTGCATATGTATGCGTGTGTGTGCCTGTGTTCATGTGCATGTGTGCATGTGGGTTCTCCAGGTTGAAAAAGTCACTGGCAAGAAGGGATCAGGCATGAGGAAGGAACCCACAGAGCCCCCGTATGGCTGGGGCTGTGTGGGAAGAAGTGCTCATGGCTTGGGAAAAGCAATACATCATTTATTGGTTCAATGGGGTAAGAGGCATCTGATGGGAGATGAGTCAGACACACAGACCGGGGTGGCACTGCAGGACATTGCAAGTTAAACTAAGTGTAACATGCAGAGGAAGGGTGTGTCCTGGAAGGGTTTAAAGGTGCAGCAGGACAGGCTCCTTTCTGCATTTTTGAAACCTAATTTGAGGTGCTCTGTGGAGGCAGGGCCGGAAGGAGGGAGGATGGACCATGGAGGTCCTGGGAGAGGGAGGTGGGAGGCCCCGGCGGCTGCTAGGTGCTGCATGCTAGGTGGAGAGAGGAGAAGACATTCAGAGACTTTGGGGAGCCAATTTTCCAGGATGTGTTTGCTTGAGTGAAGGCAGCAGAGAAGAGGGGGATGGTGAGGATGAGGAGAGTGTCTGAGGGATGATCTGCAGGGGCAGGGGTGTGGGGAGAGAGACAGGTTCTGGTGGGGATGATGAGTTCTGTTTGGGACATTTGAGTCTTGAGATGAAGGGAAATACTGAGTAGTGTTGAATCCCATGAGTTCAGAAGAGCAGACTGGGTTGGGGTCATCTGTGGCTTCTAAGACCACATGCCCAAAGTCTGCAGACTGGAGAGTTGTGATGAGGGAGGAGGAAGGAGTCCAGGCCGAGCCCTGAGGAACCCATGGTGAGGAGGACGGGCCGCCCAGCAAGGAGGTGTGACCAGGCCACATTGTGTTGGGAGTTCAGCGGCATCAGGCTGAAGGAGTGTGCACTGGCCATCAGGGCCCAAAGGTTGGCGGTGACCTCAGCAATATCAGCCTCGGAAGAGTGGACACCAGAAGGGAGTGGGCCAGAAGGAGTAAGAATGTGAAGAGGCAGAGAAAGGGGGGTCGAAAAGTCTCCTGAAACCCATCTGTGAAGGGCAAAATAGGAGGTGAGATCAAATGAAGAGCCCCTGGCCTCTGGGTCCACATGTCTTCCCGCCCTAAGCACTCCTCATTTCCCACAGCTGCAGCCACAGAAACCACCGCATGGAACAAGGCAGCAGCTGGGAATGCCTGTGTGGCCCAGGCCTCAGGGGCTTCCAGGTGCAGGAGAGAAGAGGTCAGCTCAACAAAATCATGTGCTCATTGCACGCCTTCATCCCAACAGACGCCAAGGACAGTGACATTGACTCCATCCAGTTTGTCCCTTATTAGTGAAGCAGGAAGAAGGACTGAGTTATAGCAGCTCTTATCCTTCGAGAGCCTGCATACCTCTCAGAGGTAGATCACAGTGGAGCCAGGAGGAACTGCTTGCAGGCAGTGAGGCCAGCTGGCAGCGGGCAGTGTGTGCCACCCGTGCTGGGCGGCAGGCAGCTGGAGGGCAGGACCCAGGCTTCCCGCTGTGCCTTCGTGCTGGGAGCCCTGGACATGGATACAAAGGAATGCAAATTAGTGGCAGAGTAAAAACGATGGGGACCCAGCACATGCCTGGTGTGCCTGTGAGCAGGACGAGGTTCCTCTGCTGGGGCTGCCATTTCCCTCATGGACTTCCTTGCACTGCAGAAAATGATGTGAGCACGGGGCTCTGCAGCCAAGAAATAGATGTAAACTGTAAATCAAAGGCATCAGATATATGAATGGAGAGAAAATGCACTTTGGCTGTAAGATGAGACATCTGTTGGGCTCCATATAATATGATTAACAACTGGAACCAAGCTGGAGGGAAGGACGGTTGGAGCCCCTTTGGGAAAATGCCCCGTGTGTATCAGGCTGACCTCAGGACGCCTTGGGAAGGTATTTACAGGGTCACCTGAGACCACCGGGAGGGAAGAGGCTCATGCCTGTGGGAGGTGATGTGCAGTATTCAAAAATGTTCAGTTTGTCACAGATAAATGAGAAAGGGCGGGGGTTAGTTTCCTACACAGAGGAGTAGATCTTTTCTATTCAGTTATCCTCCTTCCATGATGGAATTCTGCATGGACCCTTCCTCATTGTGCTTTCCAGATACCTTCAGTTTCCTGATTTATTTGTCCTTTCACCAAAGGTTTGCTGCTCTGAGCTGGGTATGCTGTGGGTCCTTTCCTTCCATCAGGTCAGACCAGGGTCCCCCAGGTGGGCTGCAATGGGTCCTTTGCCCACACCAGCGACCAAGCCCAGAGCCCATCACCTTCCCAGTGCAGCCCTCAAGTAGAAGGCCCCTCAGTCCATCCGGGGGTCCTTCTTGGAGATGAGAGGTTCATACTGCTGTCTTAAGGAAGCCTACTGATTTCAGACTTAGGGCTAATTTCGAGTCAAAGGACCAGACCTTACGGGTAATGTTACAGAGTTAATGTGAGTTTTATGGCAATCCGGGGAAATGACCTTCATTTAATTGAAATTGCCATAGTGTGCTCTTAAAAAATAAACACAAACATGCAAACAAATTTAATTTATATATTTGTTTGTGTGTTTTGGAGGAATATCTCTAGTGGGGAAAAGGAGGTTTTGTGAGCAATGGCCCACCAGTCTCCATGTTCCTTTTCTCCCATCAAACGTTTTACTGACCCGCCCACATGGTGAGCCGGAAGCCAGCGTTTCTGGTGTATTTCTCACATTTCATTCTCCAGTCTCCTTGAGAGGCTTTCATAATATTTGCACATACTTGTGTATTCCTGACTTAATGATTGGCCCATATCAGGGTGGCACTGGATGTTAAAGGACAAATATATGGACATAGAAGCATGGAAAACATATAGGAAATTTTCATTATTTTTATAATCTCAGCCTTTTATACCTGTAGCTTGAATGCAATTGTAGACTGACATAATTGGCTGACAATATTTTAAATGTCCTTTGGTTTCATGACATGGTTCCTTGAATTTCTATAGTGCCGGGCTATCACTTGACCATCAACAGACATTTCTTCCACCCCCAAAATTTAGGGCAGGTTATGCTCCTTCCGTCTTCCCATTGGCGAGCTAGTCTTTTCCCTTGGCTTCAACGATTCCTTGCTGGAGCCTTAAAAGTCTCTACTTCCCAAGCTCCGGATTCTGGCCTTTGGTGGTCAGACAGACATCTCCAGCTGAGGGCACTGTGCATACCTCACTTGCTCCTGCTCGCATTCCAAGCTGGACCTGTGCTTCCCACTCCATAGCTACGTCTCCTCTTCTGCACGTTTGGTTCTTGGCACCATTTTCTACCTAGTCCCTAACTCAGAAGCTTGGGTGACACTCTAGCCTCCATCGTCTTCTTTTCACTCTCTCTATTTTACTGGTCAACAAATATCCACTTGAGCGGTACCTTCTAGGTAGGTCATTTATCTAAGTGTTGGGCCCGTCACCCTCCTTCATAGCCCTGCTCCCTTGACTAGAATCACCATGCACCCATCCCCCAAGTTAGGAATCTGAGAAGCCTTCTTGACCTCTATCTTTCCTTATGTCCCAACTTCAGTTACCTCCACGTTTACTTCCAAAACTACAACTACCAACTGCACTGGCCCCTGCCTGGCCACTGCAGCATCTCCAAAATGTTCTCCTTGTTCCCAGCCGTATCACCTTTAAAGGTCACCTCTGAACAGCTGCCAGCTACCTGGGTGAAATGAGATCCTGACATGCCATAGCTTTCTTTGAAACCTTTGAATGACACCTTGCTATCTGCGGGGAAATGTGTTCAGTTCCTTGGCCTGACTTACTGCCCTTCCCAATCTGCCATTTGGCTGCCTCTCCATCCTCACCTCTTTCCACACACTGCCTTCAACCACACCCAACAGCTCCCAGAGATCTGAACACACCTTGCCACCTTTCCTGCTGCCGCCTAGGCTTGAGATATCTTAGCTACACACCCCTCCTGGCCAACTCCAAGTCATTATTTATTGCAGTTACAATGCCACCCTCATACCCAGCCTGCCTTCGTGACCTGTATGGTCCCTGTCTCAATCATTCTACCCACTGTATAGGATTGCAACTGTTTCCTCATATTCCTGTCTCCCCAGTGGTATTGGGAAGCACTTGTGGACAACATCTTAATAATTTTAGTATATCGAGACCCAAATCAGTGCTTGGCATATAGTAAACATCAATACATATTTATTGAATAAATGAGTGAATACAGGACATTTCCCAGACATGTTTCAATCCAGACACCTTGCCATGGGAACAAAGCCATACCGACTTGGTCTTTGCTAACAGTTTCGGCTCATCTTACATAACTTTCGCGTGTTTGTCCTGCACTGCCAGCCATGGAATGGTCACTCCTCCTACATTTTCTCCCTCAGTAATCTCATCCACATTCTTGGCTTCCATTTCCACCTATTTTTGGATGAGTCTCAAAGGTGTATCTGTAGCCCACACTTTTCTGAGCTCCACATCTGTTTAGCCAGCTGCCTGCCTCGAGTTCTCACTGTGTCTACAAGTCACCGTACCTCACCCCTGAACTGTCCTTCTTGCAGGCTCCTGTTCCCGGTAAGTGGTAGCACCATCTGTTCCAGGGAGCAAGGAGAAGCAGGAGTCATTCTGGGCACCCTCCTCCAAGTTCCCCCTCACCCATTTCCAATCCATCACAACTCTGGAAAAATTTGCCTTTCATTTATTCATCCAACAAATATTTATTAGACAGCAATTATGTGCTGGGCTCTTCTCTGGGTCCTGGGAATTCAATGATGAACAAGACAAGCACACTGCCCGAGCCCCTGGAGTTCACATGAGGGAGAAAACAGCCAGCAAATATGTACATAACTAGGCAGCAACACACACTGTGTATACAGCAAAACATGGTGCATTAAAAACTGTTAATCACCCACCAAATATCCATACTCCTTATCTCCTTTACTAACAAAATCTAAGTGTATTGAGGCAACAGTGTGCCCAGCCAAAAAGCTAGAGATAAAATAGGTGATAGATGTCCCTTCCTAGCCGCCTCGCTTCTGGGGATGGTGTGGGGACATGATCCTGCTTGATAGCCCTACTGGGGGGTCTGAGAGATGTGTGCTAGCCAGGACTGCTTCAGTCCTTCAGTTGCTTCTGTTTTTCTTCCTGGAACGTGAACAAGAGGCAAAAAGTGGAGCAGCCTCAGGTGGTTGTGAGTGACACACAGGATGGAGTCCTGGCCAGAAGGGTGTTGTGCGATTCTAGAGCCACTGTTCCCATCCTGCACAGCAGCTTCCAACCTTCCAGCTTGATGAGAAAAACATGTCCCCACCTGGTTTGGTGAAGCCTCTATAATGTGGCTCATGCAGCCAAGTGCCACCCACAGTGGGGCTGGCAGAGGGCCTTCTGCTTCTCCAGAAAGTCCACCTTCATCTTTCCTGCTACATGCCCCCCATGGACCCCTAGAGTGTCCTCCTGGCTGGTGACCAGCATCCATGCTGGCCTCTTGCAGTATCTCTGCCACACTGCTATAAGGTGGAGCTTCTGACCACCAGCCTTCCAGCCTCACCTTCCTCTTTGCTTTCTCTCAGCCTCCATGGCCTCTTCCCAGCCCTCATACCTGCTGTGTTTTTTAACCTGGTTTCTTCTTTCCTCTCCCCTCTCCATCAGATCTTAACTTCACCTCCAGGCGCCCATGGAAGTCTTTCCTGGTCTCCCTATCCAGGTTAAATATCCCTAAAATAGTCTCTGGTAGAGAATACAATGTCCCATTCAAGCAGAGTCTTTGGACTGGGTGTTTTGCATTTGTTTGAGTGACTCCTTGTTCATCTGAGTGCAGGGACTCAGTTTTTCTCTCTTAGTATAATCTCAGTACCTGGCACAATGCCAAGCTCCCAGAATATTTGTGATATAAATGGACGAATGAGTAAATGCATGCTTTGGTTCTTCTCCATATGTTCTTTTCTTTGCAGTTAGTGTCCTTCTCCTTCTGGGCATCTAAAACTCTTCCTTCAAGATTTATGGAATTAATCCACCATGTTTCAACAAATTAAACGAGATAAAGTCAGTACACTTTCAGTTCAGGGTCTGACATAGTAAACACTTAATACGTGTCAGCTATGGATGGAAACCATTGTTTTCCCTTTGAGTCCATTCTCTCTGGGCAGAATTAGGTCTTTCAGCTCTTGTGTTTCTATAATCCAAGGTCTCTACACATATTAGTAGACTATATACATCACAAGAAATGTTTCCCGAAACAAGCTCGCCCTCCCTCTGTGGACTGAGAGCACCTCTAAGAGCTGAAATCACCTTTTGTTTGTGTCTTCCCACATCATTATGCCCAGCAAACCACAAATGTTTACAAATGAGTGGAGTCAATGAATTTAACTGAAAAGAAACTTGCAGCTGGGAAACGCTGACGAACCTATCCCAGGTCCTCCACAGCTGGTGGGGAGCTATGGAGCCAAACTCAATGCAGCAGCACTGACCCCAGGGCGCTGGTCTTTGTCCAGTCTCTATGATGTAGATCTTTCTAAGGAGTACAATGACTAATGTATAGGCATTGTAGCTGTTTACACAAAAATCTTTATCTTTGTAAGATCTCCCAGAGAGATAATGAATTTTTTGTCTCTTAGTGAACTCAATCTTTTGCCATTATATAAAGAATTTAAATTACTGGTTTCACTGACAACATACCTTTTCCCAGTGGTATCCATTCTTCAATTAGTTGCAATCCTTTTAAAGCAATCCCAGCATGTAGGACAAAAGTAGATGTGAAATCCAAACATACCGTTGTTTCTTTAATTTCTATCAACTTGGTTTGAGTACCTCTCACTCAACAGAAATCCAGTTAACAGCATGCAGAGCGGAGGGAGCTGAGGAGTCAGGCCACCTGGTGGAACAGCCTTCCTTGGCCTGCAGGCACCATGGAGACTCGTGCTGCCATCTTGAGCCCACCTCCGTGTCCCTGCTGACGGTGCCAGTTTGAACAGCTCACTCCTGTTTCCGAATGAGTTCTGACTAAACGCCATCAACCATATGACAGGGTCTAACAAATATCAGCACTCTGCCAGGTTCAATAAACACCCTTTTCAGGGTAATGGTCCTTAATGAGGACACCAGCCATCAGCTAGGTTGGGAACACACTATAATTATTACTGGGCAAAGATGTCTGGAAAGAGACCTGCAAGAATAAGGATTGGAACAACGTGGGGGAGGGGAGCTCATAAAAAAATCACCTTAACTCTAAACTTTGTGCTGGCGGGAGAAAGAAAAAATAAATAACTCGTTTTGGAGATTATTTTCAAAACAACGTCAACAATTTATCTAGGTATCTAGGGGTTAAATAGTCACTCATGTAATCTGTGCCAAATGTTGTGTATCTAAAATTAAGTCAATCAGGGAATCAGAAGCTTGCTTGATGGAGCACTTGGCTAAATTGGATCTATTACATGGAGCAAGGAACACCTTCCATCAAAATAACCCTTTAGGGTCTGCCATGAACGTCATGGATGCTTCTGTCATAGCAGCTGAGACAGCCTTTGCCCCCAAGGAGTTCAATCTATTGTGGCTGTGTTTGTGTGTGGCTCAACTCCCCAATTATAAGATGGAAGTATGAGACGCCACCTTAGAGATACAGAGAGATGTTCTATACGAGCTTGGAGGCGGGTGAGATCCCTTTTGGATGGGAGGGGTAGCAACGGTTCCTGGGAGGAGGTTACATTACATTTCATTTCATTTATTTGTTGAGCACTAATTTGTGAAGCACACGCTCTGCGTGGGCATGCTGCTGGCCCTGGGGATTCACAGGTGACGGAGACAGGGTCCTGCCCAGAAAACAACAAAGTGGAGTATGGGAGACTTAATAGATAGGTCCAGAGGACGGTAAGGATTTTGACAGGTAAGTGAGGGCAGGGAAGAGCACGCTATAAATTGACACGGTAGGAATGACTGAGATGAGGATGGCACAAACACCCAGGAGACGGTCAGTATTAGGAGCTTTTACTGAGCACCTATTCCATGTACCAAGCTCTATGCCAGGAGCCTGGCACACTTCACCTTCATCACTGCTCACAGTAATCCCTCTGGCTGGGATCCATTTTTATCACAATTTTACAGAGACTGACATGGAAGATGAGGGAATCTAAGCAACTCTTCCAAATTCAGTAAAGGGCAGGTGGGTGATTCATGCCCAGGTCTTTCAGGCTGGACTTAATCATAGCACTCATCTACAGTACAAGTTGCCTAGAATACAGTGTATATGGAAAGAAAGACCATCGGCTGGGTGAGACACACTCTGGGCTATGGTGGGCCTTGAGTGCCAGCTTAGGAAACCGTCCTCTATAACTATGCATTGAGGTCTCATCAGAGGAATGACATGTTTTGTGGAAACATTAATCAGGCAAAAAAATACAATGGTGATGGACTGTGGAGGGGGTTGGAAATGGAGTCAGGGAAGGGAGGCAAGGACAGCAGGGGAGGTGGATTAGGAACATCGATGGTGGTCCCAGATTAGTGGCTACAGCTGCCTGGGGAAATTGGAAGGAAGGCCTGGATGTACGGGGCACGGTGAGGATAATTCAGAAGATGTCACATCTGGGATCTTGCTCTTTTCCGGAGTTCCATCCCAAGCTGCCTCTTGGGTTAAGAGAGTGAATTGGTCCTCTGGGGAGAGGAGTGCTCTCTTCCTTCACTTGCCTTCAAGTAGAATAAAAGGCTGTTTTTAATTCAAACTTTTATGGGCCACATAAAATGAAAATTAAAAAACAAATCTGTACTCTTCACAATAGACAGAATGAGTCCGTTTTCTCAGAGAGTTGAAAGCATATGTGATTTTTGAGGCTCTTCAAATAACAAATACACTCTGCTATGGAAACTCCCAAGGTTTTGCAAGGGGACCCTGTGAGTCAGAGCCCCGACGCTGCAGATTTCATAGCTTGACTGTGAGTCTCCCTCTGAGTGTGGGGAGAGCCTACCAAAGCTGATGCACAGAGCCCAGTGGAGGCTACCCCTGTTTGACAGATTATACCAGGCTTCTTCTAGAGCCTGTTTCCAGAACTGTGATTCTCAAACAGAATGGATTCCAGATAGCCCCTGCTTCTGTACTTGAATTTTCCTCAGTAAAATATCTGCCTGGCTTCCCTTTGACTCCCAGAGTGCTTCTGGGCCTCCTTCCAACACAATGCAGGCTCAGGAGATGGCAACTGAGTTTAATATTAATCAAAGCCAATCATAATTAGAAAAATAAATCTCATACAAAAAATGTCCTGTAACGTAGTCTAAACTCCAGTGGAAACCACAGACAAGCTCTTCTTTGGATATGAATTGAAAGTGAAAAACAGACTTGTCCAACAACAGAATAGTTACAGGATTTAGGCTTACGACCTGAGCGAAATTATCTTTTTTTGGACACTGGCCAGTAACTAATACTTTGGATATAGAACAATAGTTTTATCTTGATATTTTTTAAACACAGACATTTTTAATCAGGATAAACATCAACAATAAAATTTTGCAGAAGTAAGCAGGGATATTAGTCATTGATTGCAACAGCCTTTATAATACGGGTGACTGCATCATACAGAAAATAGTTACTGGACTGGCTCCACTGCAACACATCAACAATGGACATCTAGTTAGAGGTAGTAAAGAAGTCTCCCTTTCCAGCAACATGTTAATTTGACCTTGAAATCAGCACATTTCCTAGGAGTGCGTGTTGGTACTTCTAAAAACGAGGGAGATTGTCTTTTAGGAGAATCTTAGCATGGAGCCTAGCGAGAAATTGGTTTTTGACAAAACGTTTCCACCGATCTTGTCCATGATGCTATGAAATCTTTAACTTATTGACTTTTTTTTTTTTAGTGAGCTGATTTTTATTGATGACATGTCAATTTTCAACTTTTTTCTTTTACTGGGGATTCTGCAGATGATTTTAATTAGAGTAACTCTGGGAAATTAATTTTCTTTCATTCTTCTACAGGAAGAATTCTCCTATGGAGGAAATCTTGCTATTTCTCTTAATTATTTTTGATGTCACACTGATTATTACTATTTTTCACTGCATTAAAGTGCAAAATGAACTTCTGCCAGAAATGAATTAAATTAATGTAAACAGAGATACTAAGTGTACTGTTATGCTCTAAACTGCTAAAGAAATCAGATAGAAAGAAAAATGTTTAAGTAATTCAAGAAAAAATGATTTAATTATCAAGATTTTTTAAAAAGATGATGATGTGCTCAGTATGGCACCTAAAAGACGGAGATTGATTTCTCTCTGAAGCAGACATCCAGTACTAAACACGAGGAGCAATTAAAAAAGGGTGGTCTTTTGTAAATTACTCCCAGAAGAAATCTTGGAAATCTTTCATTTTAGTCATTTCGGTCCAGTGAACCATGAAGCCATTACGAAGGAACAAAAATACTAGGGAGAAAATTGAAATACAACAGTAATTAACAATATGAATATATCAAGATAAAAATGAATTGGAAAGATAATGGTCATCACATCTTCAACAAAAGTGAAAACATTAAAACATTCCCAAAATCAAATCTAAAACTAAAAGACACTCAAGGCAAACATAGATTAAATCTGGCACTGTTCCCGAGTTTGAAATTGAAGGACTCTCGGTAGTATTTCTCTAAATGTGTAATGAAAGTGTCTTCAAAGGTTTACTTTTCTTATTTCTAAAAATTATTCTTATTTTTTTCTAAAGTGCTTTAACTAGCATTAAGGCACATTTTCTATTTACTTTAGAATCACAGTTAATAACCCCCATCTTAGATTTTCACTTTTTACTTCCATATGCTAAATGCCAACAAAGAATAATAGAGAAAAACCATGGGAAACGTGCCCCTATCACAAACACAGATTTCCCTATGGGTTCTCTAATACTTTACAGACAAATGTTAAAGATTTATTACACATGAACATCAAACATGGTTTTACTACAGTTCTCATTTGGATCAAATTGACACATTTTACATTCATTTTAGCCTAATGAGATTCTTTCACTACACATTATATTCCGAGTGACCCTGTACATTAAATTTGTGGAATGGAACAAACCCATTGATATAACAAAGCCTTATAGTTACTGGTTTCTTAATTTACAAAAGAGAGAAAACAGTTTAGCAAAATCATAAATCTTGAACAAATGAATATATTAATCAGTACTCAACAGAGAATATAAATACTATGTAGATAGGTCATGTTATGCATGAAGTTCAAATGCTGCATTGGTAGCTAAACTCTTCTCTACTTGGATTATAATCTGAATATTCAACAGTTCAGACATATTTCATAATTCAAATCGAGGGACTTAGTAAAGACAAAGTTACAATCATAACAAGAATGGAAAATTAGATTTGCAATTCATTTTTAAATCGTTGCTAACGGGCTGCCATGATTCAATATTTACTTTTGTGCACAATTACTTCTTCTTAAAAATCAGTCTTATAAAACATTCTTGTTGCTTAATCCTGGGGATAAGGAATGCCGCGGAAGTTTGCAACATAGCAGCTGTAATGCTATTCCTTGAAGAGGGAGTAGGTGACCTTGAAACGAGGAGAAAGGAAACTAGAAAATGTTAATTAAAATTATTAGTGCTGTTTGAGGTGCTTATCTTGTTTACTGCTAAGGTGTTGCTCCCTTCTGCATAATTAGGGGTAATTTTACTTACTTTCAAGTCTGTAATTTTAAATATCACAAAGTTTTATCTTCCAGCATGAAGTAATTCATTACTGGTTTGTATGTAACTGCTTGATGTTTTAATCAATATGTGCAACTTCCACAAGTCTGTTGTAATTTATCAAGAGGTTTTTATATATTTTTATAGTGGCAGATTGTGAGTGGTACATGAATTAAAACCTTTTTTTGATTTTTGCCGGAATTTCAACATTATTCTAGGTTTTTGATGTGGGGAAAGGCTTACTTGATCTGTTCTTTTATACTTACATGCAAGATTTTACAGGCCAGCAATATGAACAAAACGAGCCTGTCTGAAGTCTATTTCATTTGGAAACAAAGTATTCCTGTTATTTAATCCAAATCAAAACAAAATGCATATTTTTACACTCTGTAAAGAATGAATGTATATTGCAAATTATTGATTATTTTAAATCTAGTCTGTGCTTTTTGCCATTGGTAAAAATTTACATATGCAGCTTAATTTCATGTTAAAATTAATTATCAAAGGGCTCAATGTTTAGGAAGGGCCCAGATAACATAATCATCCTTTTATGCATAATAATTGCACTTTTAAAATAAATCTTTCTATAAAATCTTTCATTTTGGAGAAATTTTTCTCAGTGGAAAGCAGAGAAATGTCTAGGCTCGATTTTTTTTTTCATTTAGTACAATGTGATTTTTTTTTCTTAAGTAAACTGATAAAAGATGTAAATGTTAATTTTTTTCAGTGTAGATCTGTAAAAATGGTGATTAGGTTCAAGCACGCTACTGGTATGTGATTTTAATTAAATTGTAAAAGCAACATGTTCAGTATAATACCAGTGAAAAATGTCCATTGTTTATTTTTTAGCTCAGTGATTTGCCTGAAGATCTGGCTGTTCGGAAACTATCCTAAGAAATAACAAGTGGCATTTTAAAGGGGTGTCACCAGTTCCTGAACGTGCCATCCCACCTCTGTGTAGAATAGCCTGATAGTGACATTCAAAGTGGAATATACTAGAACAGGTTAGAGTTTAACATTCACTGACTCGTAAAGGAATCAAGTATATTAATATTACCCCTCCAGGATAAATGAGAAAGAGAAGGAGTTCATGCCCTCAGCCAGAGCTGGGTTGGGTGGATTATTCCCCCTGGAAACCGAAGAGTCCCTCGTGGTTCAGTAGAGTTAAGGACCCTCCGGAAGAACCGTCTGAACCTGGCACAGCACTGTCCTAGATTAAGATCCTGCACACAGGGTTCCCATGGCACATGCTGAGTAATTAGTAGGCTCTGAATAACCCATCAGCCCCACCGGAGGAGCTCCTCCAAACGTGCTGAGGAAACAATCACAGTGACTTCTCAAAGGACGTGCA
Organism: Homo sapiens; assembly: GCF_000001405.40. Lineage (NCBI taxonomy): Eukaryota > Metazoa > Chordata > Mammalia > Primates > Hominidae > Homo > Homo sapiens. Next base: position 128,872,075 of record NC_000010.11, on the reverse strand, counting down.
GGAAGCCACTCAGGTGCGGGAGGGAGCTACAGGCCTCAGTTACATTTCTGCACATACGTGCAACACAGGCATGGCCCTGGCCGGGTCTTTGGGAGCGCTCATTATTCGCATTTTGTCCATGAAGCCGCCAGTCCCAGGAGGCTCTCTCAAGATCAACCTCCACGTCTTCCTAACCAGAGCCCAACTGTGGCTCCTCCGCTGCCCACTCTCCAAGGGGAAGTTGAGATCCCTTCTTCCAAATGTTAATCAGGTCCTGTTGTGCCAAAGCTTAAAACTCTCCCTGGCTTCCACTCCACTTCCAGTAAAAGCAAACTCCTGCTCAGCCTCCCCCGTCATCTCATTTGGACCCCGAGCCCTCTCATGCCCCCATACAGCGGTTTCCTTGGTTCTTTTTGTTCCTGAAACAAGTCGAGTTGTCCCTGCTGCTCCTTTCCCCATCCCACAGAGCCCCTGGACTTTCCTGGACACTCGAGTCTGCAGAGAGGCCTCCCTGACCCCCGAGTGGCACTCTCAAAGTCCACATCACATTCCTTGACTTTATGGCTATCTCAAAACTCGAGTCTAAGAGACATGTTGTTGACTTGTTTCTTACTTTGGTGTTTGTCTCCAGCCTTCCCCCACCTACCTAATCCATCCCGAGGGGGTGTTGTCTGTCTTGCTCTGCACTGTAGTCCTGACACCCGGAGCGGTGCATTGGAGGCACTCTCTGAGTCCGTGAATTCAATAGGACCCTTCCGCACAGGGGAGGCATCTGTGTGTGCCTCCCTGCAGGTGCTGGGGAGCTGGGGTTCTGTCCAGCTGAAGCTAACTCCTTGTCAGTCACCCTTTTTCTCTCTTCCAAGATCCTTTTCCATAGCTGCCTGTTGGAGCCTGCAGGGCCAATGCAAATCTCCCTGGTTTAAGAACATCCTGCCATTCCTCACTAACATATCTCATCTGAAGAACGGTGTGTACCTTTGCCACAGCACAGCTGGCCTGTGGCACTGGGAACAATGTTTGGCACATGGTGACTGCTCATCGCCTGGCCTATGGCTGGGCCAGCTTTCCATCAGACTCCGCCCACAGAGCTGAAGCCCAGGGCCTGCATGGGGTAGGGGAGAACAGTGCTGAGGGACCACTGGGAGGAAGGGCTCTGAATACTCATCCCAGGGTCTGGGATGAGTGTGGTCCTGTATGCCCTCCCCTGGTCTTGCTCACCACAGAATGAGAGCTGTGCCCTTGGGCCACGTGATGTCAGATTCTGATTTGTGTACTATCCTTTTCTGCTAATATCAGCCCCATCTCCAGGACCAAACGTTGTTCTTGAAACGATATTCATTGTAAGGAAACTTTTGAAAAATCAGTGATTCTATTTCATGAGCAAATGAATCTCCTACATTCAGTTTGGGAGACCGGGAAATTCTGAGGATTGTAGCTACTGTTAGCAATACTGCTGCAAATAATAATAATTATTGGCTGGGAGCAGTGGCTCATGCCTGTAATTCCAGCACTTTGGGAGGCCAAGGTGGGTGCAGCACTTGAGCCCAGCAGTTCGAGACCAGCCTGGCCAACATAAGGAGACACCATCTCTACAAAAAACACAAAAAATTAGCCAAGTATGGTGGTGCTCACCTGTAGTCCCAGATACTGAGGTGGGAGGATCCCTTGAGTCCAGAAGGTCGAGGCTGCAGTAAGCCATGATCATGCTACTGCACTCCAGCCTGGGCAACAGGGTGAGACCCTGTCTCAAAAAATAATAATAAGGCCAGGCGCAGTGGCTCATGCCTGTAAAATCCCAGCACTTTGGGAGGCCGAGGCTGGCAGATCACTTGAGGTCAGAAGTTCAAGACCAGCCTAGCCAACATACTGAAACCTTGTCTCTACTAAAAATACAAAAATTAGCTGGGCATGGTGGCGGGAGCCTGTAATCCCAGCTACTCGGGAGGCTGAGGCAGAAGAATTGCTTGAACCTGGGTGGTGGAGGTTGCAGTGAGCGGAGCTCACACCACTGCACTACAGCCTGAGAGACAGAGCGAGACTCCTTCTCAAAATAAATAATAATACTGACTCTGAGAGTAACAGAAATACTCATAATCACAAGAACACAGAGAGATTGTCTTCATTTTATAGATAAGCATTTAGGCTCAGAGAGGCCAATGGGCTTGCTGAAGGCCACGCTGTTGGAAGGTGCATCTGTTTGACCCCATCCTATTCCTTCCTTCCAGCTCAGGGACTATCTCATCAATTAGAAAGATATCAGTCAATACCAAAAGAAATAATATGAAAAACAGAAACAAAAAAACTTAGGTGAAAACTGTTTTCCACTTTTCTAAACCTTCTTTCGATTGAACACGTATCAATGTGGTAGTAATGGATGGGACGCACGAAAGCCCAGCCAGCTTAAACGCAAGTTCATTTTTGAATCTGCGGTATGTTTGCTCAGAGCCAAAGGCCAAGGGGATTTATATGGTTGTTGGAAGTATTTTCCCGGAGGAGTTAAAAAATATTCTGCAATAGCCAGTTTTTTAATAAACTCTGAGATTGATTTGCTTCCAACTCGCTCCCTGCTTATCTTACTGGCTCACTGTTAATAGTCCCCGGGGAACCAAGAGAGATTGGAGAACACGCTGGATGGAGGAGGCAGAGGGAAGTTTTAGAGGAAGACAGTGATGACCCAGACCTCAAGCCACTGAAAACATTTTTGAGAAGTAATACTTTCTGACCCGGTCTTGTCAGCTTCCCCCTCCCCACCCCTAAGCCCCCCTGCTGCTGTCGCCCACAATCACAATATTCTTCAAGAACAAGACAGAAAAATTGTTTTCCTACAAGAACACTGGCCTCTTTCTCTTCCCAGGGACGCACTCTGTCAGTGGGAAGTTTCAAGAGCAATGGTGGCCTTCTAGATGACCGCCTCCCGCCGGAGCACCATCCAGATGGCACAGAGACATCCTTGTGCATGAAGGATGAGGCTCTGGGAAGGAGATTTACAAAGAGACTTTGAGGCTGGGCATGGTGGTGGGTATCTATAGTCCCAGCTACTCGGGAAGCTGAGGAAGGAGGGTACCCTGAGCCCGGGAGTTGAGGCTGCAGTGAGCTGTGATCATGCTACAGCACTCTAGCCTGAGCAACAGAGTGAGACCCTGTCTCTTAGAAGAAAAAGAAATTAACAGCCCTTGAATGCTGTAGCTGACAAAGAGCATGGCATGGCCTGAAGATGCCCTTCCTGCTCTGTAGATGGGAAACAGAGTAGGGACTTATCTAGGGCCACAAGCCAGGATGTCCTGATTCTGGGCCCTTTACAAAGGCACTGGTGGTTCTCCTAGGCAATGCTGTATGTCCTGTGGTTTTGAACACTCTCTATAGTCCAGTGATTGTGTAGAACCATCCCTGCTTCCCCATCCAGCACTGGAATCTCAGGGCCACCTGCTGGCCCAATGTCTCCAGCGGAATGTTGACAAGCCCGGCAAATTCTGCCTGCCCCAAACTTCTTGATTTTTGCTTCCCTCTCCATAAAAATATTTCCCTCCTTCACTCTTCTCCCCTCCCTACCCCTTACACTCAGTAAACGGCACTGCCATTTATTCTGTTGTTGAGGCCTAAAACCCAGGAGGCATCTGTCGCGTCTCTCTTTCTGTCTTGCTTCATTCCAATCCAACAGCAAGTCCTGTTCTGACTTTATGCACATTTCTACTTCTACCTCCACCAGACTGATTCCAGCCACTCCATTCTCCTCTGGACGCCTGGAAGAGCTTCTGAGACACACACACTCTCCTTTTACTCTGAGCCCCTTCTTCTCCCACAGAGGCCAGAGTGATCTTAGCAACACATAAAGCAGGTCATATAAGCGGCTGCTAATACCCCCTTGCCCTTGGCTGTTCCAACAGTGGCCGCTGGACGTAATTCCTCTAGACCCTGGCAAGGCTGGTTTCTCCTCTTTTGTGTCCCAGGCAAATGGCCGCTCCCGAGAGGGATCCTCCCCAACCACCTTCCCTCTTGCCCTCTGCTTCTCTTCTTAATACCATTCAGAAACCAGCATTCCTAGGTCTAAGCCCTATCTACTCGCGAGAAGACCAAGGTGTGGACTGAGTCCTTGCTCTATTGTCAGCCTGCCCCAGGGCCAGGCTCAGTGTGGAGTTGATGGTGGACATAGTTGACACTGAATCACAACGATGTGGATGTACTTAATGCCACTGAATAATATACTTCGCAATGGTTCAAATGCTAAATGCTATGTTATCCATGTAGAACCTCAATAAAAATAAATAATAAATAAATAAATAACCATAAATTAAAACCTATTTGGTTCCTTCCTGGGAAGCCTCAGGAAGACAAGAAGGAGGCCGAAACTGGCGGTCTGGGAATGTCCTGGTCACTGTAAGGATTTGATTCAAGAAACTCGAGCATCTGTCGCTAAGGTGATGATGAAATAACACATCACTACAGCTGTGTGGTGTCCTAAACATAAAATATTTTCCAAAGGAAAAAACAGGCACACAGAAAGACATTGTGTGTTAACATAGGGATACATATTCCGCGTAGTCATACGTACTTACATTTCAGACCCTTTCCATGTCATTGAGGGATTTATAGAGTTGGGTTGCATTGAAATAACTAAGACAAAGTGCTTAACAATAAGCTTCCCAGGAAGGCAGCAGGATGTGTGTTGCCTTACACATTACGGCATCTCGTCTTCTGCATCTTAGGAGAGTGGGAGAACGAGAACAAAGATGTCCTGCCAGCTGAGGAAGTCATAATAAGGGATGTGCAGCCTGCAGCTGAGGCCTACGGCTGGGAGGAGCCTCCTCCTCCTGCCATCTGCTCCTGCCTTCCCCCAGTGCGCCTCTGCCCTGAAGTTCCTATAGGTATCTTTGAAATTCTGGGAGTAGGGGAGGTGAGGGAGGGAATCGAGAGCTTGTAAGTCACCCTTATTTGTTTTTTATGTACTTAAAAAATTCCAAGAGTTGTACAGATTGCAATTTTAGAGAGTTCTACATGGTCCCAGAGGGCATAGGATTAAAACCGGCAGTTGGTCCCTGTACCAAGTAGCAAAGAGAAGACTTTCTGAAGGAAATGTTCCATATTCACGGCAGCTTTCCCATTTAGAAACACTGAATGCAAACTTAACACAGCAATCTGGATATATGCAAAGTTACAGGTGATAGAGAAGGCTGGGAAATTCATGGGTTTCATTAAGAGCCACAATGACGATTTCCTTCCCCCATCCCAGACACATCTCTGGGTCCACAGAGATGAGAAGTCGGAAGATCTGCAGCCTATCATCAGCATGAGATTCTTTCTTTCCAAATCAGGGTAAGGGAGGGGGACATCTCCTTAGATGTCCGGTAGAAATACTTTAGGAATGAAACACTCTTTTAGTCATGTTTGAGCTTGGAATATGCCTGTGCCTGGCACCGGATATGCCTGAAAATGGTTGGTCTTTGCAGAAATTGTTGAGAAGCTCTAAAAAGAATGGCGGACTTTGATGCAAATATGAAATCATAGCTCAGTGTGCATTTATGATGCTCAAATGATTGTCTTTCCTTTAAATTGGATGTAGAAATAATTACATTTTTGTCATCACATTCTCTTTCTTCTTTCTTTTTCCTTTTTCCATTGAGTTCTAAGGGAGGTATTCAGGGCTCTGACAATCTCTGCACCGTCTTTGTCTTTCCATTATTTGTGGAAGGCACGGGTGTTCCTGTTTATTTACCCCCCCAGCCCTTGAAATACGAGTTGAAATGCCAAGACTTCTGTATGCAAATATGAGCCCATAACTCCAATTGTTTTCACTGAGCTTTGTGGAGAGGATGTGTTGGAGTTTTCTGTGTGCTAGTTGTCACATATGCTTTGCTAATGAAGGAGCTTTTCATTTAGGAAAAAATATTGCTGCAGAAGGAATGAGAAGGGTTAAGATCAAAGGGCAGATGCACTCATTTACAGCATATTTTCATGGGCTGAAACAGCCTCACACGATCTGTGACATTTGGCCACAATGGAGAGAATCTGGAGAGCGAGTGAGGTCAGGTGGGCGTCTTGGGAGAAAAACACAGAGAAATACTATAAAATATGTGCAGTTAAGCGGAAAAATCAGCATCTGCCAGCTTTTTGTTTTCTTTCTTGTTTTTTGGATTCACAGGAAATTGTGTGTGCACACGTGTGTGTGTGTGTGTGTGTGTGTGTGTGTGTGTCTGCATGTGTGCCTGTGCCTAGGACTTCAGCTTTGGAAATGAGAGAGGAGGCAGAGAAGCAGCAGGCTACTCGGGTGCTGAGGTGAGGGACTCAAGCCTTTAAACCGAGTGCCTCCTTTGCCTATGCAGACGCAAACAACACAAGCTGTTGCCTCAAGGTGAAAAGTTTTGTGTCTATTTTCCCCTTTGAGTTTGTATGCTAAAGGAGGGCCAGCCCCGGGGTAGACGCCACCAGACAGAGAAGTCACCCTTTCACAGCATGCTGCTTCCTGCACGGAGGCTCCAGAAACGACCCTTAGGAGCCACCAATGGCCTGACATCGGCTGTGAGCAGGGGCTCTGTCCTCCACCACAGAAACCTTCCATGTGTGGACATGGAGTATATGAATCTAGACCCTGGAGTGTATGAGATGTCTCTCTTGTCTTTGGGTCTTTGTTTTCCCAATAACATCACCATACCGGAGTTTACCACTGTGTTTGGCATGAACACTGCTGCCTCCACCCTGCTTTGAGACTCATTTCCTCCTTCCATGGGCAGCCTGGCTTTCCTGGAAGCCCATCCTGCGATGGAGTTGGGTGGATGGGGTATTCATTAGGAACCAACTCTTCCAGAAGGACTGAGAGGAGAGGGAACAGTGACTGCTACAGGGGACAAAGCCCCGGTCATGGGGGCCTTGAGCGTGGGGCCTGAGACAGGTGTTTTGTGTCAGACTGAAATGGCCAAGCCTTCCTTCCCAGCCCGGCACCACCCAGTGTTGCCTGCGGACTGCCTGGGCAAGGGTGTACCCTGGGCAGGGCTGCTCCCTGCAGCTGAGGCAAACCCTGGGCAGATGACATCTGGAACATGGAGTCCTCCGGTGGTCTGGGGGCCTTGGGGGGATCTGAGCTGTGCAATCCCGTATCCCCACGTGTGACTCAGATCCACTTCATGCCCAGTCAAGGAGCAGCCCCTGCAGAATTCTGCAGGCCTCTCTTCCTGGGGATGACTTGGAGCAAAAGGGCTGTGGGGCACACTCCAACCCCCAGAACTGCAGTTGTACCAGGGCCACCATCAGTTCCACCCATATCCATCCCAGGTCCCCCTGTCCTCAGCTAGCACAACTCTGGCCTTGTGGCCTGCCCGGTTGTGTGACTGTCTCCGCCCAGGGTCAAGCCCTCGGTCTCCATGCCCTTTTTAGGCAAGGCCGTTGCACCCCTCCTTTCACCCTCACGGTTGGCCAGGGGAGCACCATGAGGCACCCATGTGGACACTTCTCCTTCCTCCCTAGTTGTGTCGCAGCAGCTTGACCTCCTCCTGAGGACCAGGCTCAATCTTTCTGCCAGGATGGTGACTGTCTCTGTGCCTGCTGGCATCCAGGTGGTGGCCACAGCTTAGAGTTCCATGGGACTCTTATGGTGTTTCTTGGGGAAATTATGTCTCCTTTGGGGACCAGGACCGTAACCCTGCAGAACGAAGAGGTAATGGGTTAAAACACCAGGTGCCCCAGGAGGTCTCTGCGAGTTGACAGTCAGTGGCGCCATTCTTGCCACTGCACAGTCACTGCTCCATGAATTCTTCCCATCGGGACAGAGCACCTTGTGGAGGTTTGGCCTCCAAGTGTATCCTGCCTCCTAGAAGAGGGCACCCTGTACTAGTGGACTGCTATCAATAGGGGAGCCTCAGTAGAGCCTCTTTCCACCCCTTCACCAGGTAGCCGCTCCTGGGTGTGCGGCATGTGGCGCCATCATTGCCTCCCGGGGTTCCAGGCACACTCCTGCAATTCCCTTGCTGTACAGTCAGCCCTGTGACATTTTGTGGCATCCCACAGTGCTGGGTCAAACATTTCCTGGGCCTTCAGATAGTGGTGCCAGCTGAGGCCCAGTGGACAGGAGAGGCAAACCCATACCCAGAGGATGTGCCTGTTCCGATGGTAACAAATGCATCTCTAGCCCTTCCACGTGAAGGGACCTGATGAAGTCCACCTCCCACCAAGCAACCAGTGAGACTTCTCCAGGCTCTGTTGCTGGCAGATTGGACATTCAGGGGCAGCAGCAGTTAAACCACCCTTGGTAAGAAGAGCTCATGCTCTTGGGCCAGGGAGCCTCTGTCTCTCCCACGGTGGTCATTCCATCCACAGACCTGCCATGCCACCACTGGGGTGGCTCATGGCAGGTGCTGGCTGATGACAATTGGCCGCATCATCTGTGTTCTTTACCTGATGTAAAGTTTGTTGAATCCAGTTTGAGCAGGAATCCTGCTAAGTCAGTTTAGTGAAAATCCCCCACCCTTGGCGTCTGACCATCCAGGATATCTTGTCACCCTGGCCTGGCTTCAAGCAATAATTCTATCAAGTCAGTTTCGCCAGAACCCTCTGATCCCTAATATTTCCTCTTTGTAATTTTCCATTAATTCACTTGCCAACCTTGCTCTTTGGGTAGAAATTCCTGCTTGTCCTTGTTGCAGTCAAAGTTGAGTGCAGGCCGGGTGCGGTAGCTCACGCCTGTAATCCCAGCACTTTGGGAGGCTGAGGCAGGCAGATTGCTTGAGGTCAGGAGTTTGAAACCAGCCTGGCCAACATGATGAAATCCCATATCTACTAAAAATATAAAATTAGCCAGCTGTGGTGGTGGGTGCCTGTAATCCCGGCTACTCGAGAGGCTGAGGCAGGAGAATCACTTGAACCCAGGAGGTGGAGTTTGCAGTGAGCTGAGATGGCACCACTGTACTCCAGCCTGGGCAAGAGAGCAAGACACTGTCCACCCCCACCACAAAAAAAGACCTGAGTGGAGTCACTCATGCTCATGTGCTGCAAGACCTCCTTCCCATGGTCCTTGTACCCCTCAACATGGCCCCATGAATAAAGTTGGCCTTACCAATTGAACAAGTGTCTCAGTTAATTTTTTCTTCAACAGTGTCTGTGTCCAGATTTCCTCTTCTCCTCAGGACACCAGCCATATTGGATCCGGGCCCACCTTAATGTCCTCATTTTAATCTAATTATCCTTTGAAAGACCATATTTCCAAATGCAATCACACTTGGTGGTACTGGGCATTAGGACCTCAACACATGAATTTAGGGAGGACACAGTTCAGCTCACAACAGCCTAGAAGCCCCTTTGAGGTCCCATTGGTTTCTCTCCTGCCTTCTCTGCAGCGTTTTGGGGTTCAGATGCTCACTTCCCTTCCTCCATTTCTTCACCACCCATGTTGCCCCCCTTAATAGTCTGATGCCTGTCCTCCAGCTCCCAACCCACACGGAGCCACTCTCTTGCGGGGCAAGGCTTTGCAGACAGATCTGGGCACACATTTATTGGCATACAGTAGCAGTCAGCCAGCTGAGTTTTCTATGCCCCACTAGCAGAACTGGAATTAATGGACAGACCGTAGAAGGAGAAGGCAGATCTTGGCACAGAGAAGGGCAGAAGATGCTCAGCATTTTAATAAACCAGCAACATAATTAAGGAACACTCGGGAAGCCAGGCTCACCTCACCATCGAAGAGCCTCAGCAGGCCCTGGATCACTGCTTCTTGCTTGGAGAAACTAGACAAGCAATCTTAAAATTGGGTGAGGTGCTGAACTCAAGGGCCAGGAGGCAACTCCAGGCCCCCATGACCTCCTGCCTTTGTCCTTTTTGGTCGTCCATCTCCACTTCGTGCCAGATCCTGCACACCAGGGCTCTCTCTTCACCTACATGTTGGCTGCCTTGCAATTTCTGGGTCCACACTCAAGCCTAAGGCTCATTCAACCTCAATTCAAACTGGTTGCCTCCTCAGTCAAGGACAACCCTCCAGGCAGCCTCTGCTCCATCATCCTTGCTGCTGCCTGCCCTTGGAATGTTCCAGTTATCTTTGAATGAGAATAAAGAACAGAAGGGCTGGCCTAGGATGGCTCCCACCTCCAGCTTTCTCTTTCTAGCCTCTCCACCAACCGCCTACTCTGGGCTTACTTACATTCTCTGTGAATTTTTGAGATAATTTCCGAAATGGTTTTTCTCTCTCCAGTTTCTTATTCTATTACCAATCATGAATATTACTGATTAGAATTTCTAATTTTAATTAAAAAAGAAACTAATACGTGCACATGTAAAGAAGTTCAAACTATGCCATAGGGCATGTTAACTATGCCCAATTCTGCCCAGCCCTCTCCCAGACACAGCTCCTGCTCACCATTCCTTCTGCAACCTGCCTTCATTCCCTGCCAAAAACACTCCTGCTGAGATGTTAGCTTGTAACGAAGGCCCTTGAGGTCGATCTGGGGTGCCTTGGTTCATGGGCAGCGAGCGTTCCACCCAATTGTCTGCCTCTCTGGCTGCTGCATCCTTCCACCTCTTTGCAACAAGTGGAGGGGCGCAGTGTGTGTGGTGCCTGGCCTGGTCATCCTGTCCCACCTCTCCTCCCTCTGCTTGGACCCCCTTCATCTTGTGTTGCATCACTTTGTGCAAGGGGCTCTTGCTGTCCCCACTTGGTGCACGTGGCAGTGGCAGCTCTTCTATTCTGCTTCCAATGATGCCTCACACAATAAGTGCCCAGGAAATGCTTCCTGAACAAGTGAATGGATGTGTGGTACCTCCTCTATGTGTATAGCACCTGCCCCAGCGCGTTCACACCTCATCACCATCCCATCCAGTCCCCACTGACTCCTTCAGGTTATGGACAGGAAATGGAAGCTTGGGTCATGCACTTGACAGCTAGAGGGACCGGTGAGGATTCTGGTGTGGGCCTGCGCCCTGGTGTTGTGTGCAGGTGAGGAAGTGGGTCTCTTGCAGCGTTAGGATGCAAACTGCTCATGCCCCGTCGGTGGCCTGGCAGCTCCTGCTGGGAACTGAGTTGGATGGTATTTTGGGAAGAAAGAAGCAGGAGCTGGGGACCGAAGTCTTATCACCCACAGGTCACAGTGGAGCCATTCACTTCACTGAGTCCTGAAGCCAGCAGAGCATGTATGGAAGCTCGTGTGCTCTCTGGGACTCAGACCCTGTGGTCGCGGGACCTGGAAGGCTTTGAGTGCAAGAGCCCAAGGTGCGGAGCATTGGGAACTGGCATCCCCGTGGCAGGAAGCAGGAATGCAGGGACGAGGTGACAGCCAGGCAGATAGGTGTGAGGGGAGCCTGAAGGCCCAGGCTGTCAGACACCCACAGCGTCAGCCAGGCAGGTGGGCAGGGACAGCTTAGGGATTCTCTCTCCAGCCCTCAGCAGCAGGAGCTGGTGCTAGGAGGAAAGCCCAGGCAGGAGGCTGGCATTCATAGCAAGGCCGGGCAGATGCTTCCCATGCTGTGGCTTGTCTGCCCTCCACCACGCTTCCATGACACACAAAGTGGCATGAACAGCCCTGCAGAGCTGAAATCGTAGGAAAGGATGCCTTTGCCTGGGGAACACTCATATCGGGGCTAAAACAGGCAAAACTGGGGCACAGGGTAAACTGGCATGTTTCAGGAAACAGCTTTACAGGGCACCCGTGCAAAAATCAGGAGAGTTTTATCTCAACAATCTCAATAATCCCTTCATCTCTGCAGCGCTTTTCAGATTCCAGGCCTTTCCCTGAACGTCTCATTTGAGTTTGCAGGGCCCCGTGACTCACAGCAGGCAGGAGCCCGTGTTTCCTCCTGGGGGAGTCTCAGGGCCCAGCTTATGTAAAGGACAGGAAGCCACCTGTTCAAGGTCCCAAGGCAATGAAAGAAAGTGTCGGGGCTGGAACCCTGGCTCTTAGCTGCCACCTCAACAAAATACTCACTCACAAATATTACAGGGTTCCTGGCAAAAGAGGCCACTGGGGAGGGTGGTGAATGAGCTCAGAAGTCACTTTTATTTTCTACAGGTGGAAAGCTGTGGGTGATAGCTTTCTGCTTGTGGATTTTCTATGTATCTAATTTTATTCTCATGGTGCCTCAAGGTAGATCACTATAATTGAATAATAAAACAGAAGGAAACTCTATACCAGGCCAGCCACTAGGGGGCAGTTTGTATATGTTGTTTCTAATCCGGATCATAGCACTGCAATTGGGATGGAAATTACTCCCATTTAACAGGGGAGAAGACTGATACAGGCTTAAGTCAGTTGTCTCAACTCACATGACTTCACAAATGTCAGAGCTAGAATACAAACGGAGACCTCTTTAACCTCGATGTCTGAGGTCTTTCTGCCGTGGTGTACTGCTTCGTAAAAACTCTGATAAGTAACAAACTGAGTATGACTTTCAAATGACATCTTAATATCAACAAGCATAAAATGAGAGTTAGGAAAGGTGCTTCTGACGGGGAAAAAGATGCTAACTATTTTAAGAAATGATGTTCAAGCTTGCACTGGCATTCATTTTTGCTGTTTGAAAATTGCTAAAAGAAAGGCTTCCATCCCTCAAAATAATACAAATTGCTTTCATATTTAGTTAGGGATACAAAATAGTGTTGTGGTGGCAACCTTGGACTTTAACTCCACTTCAAGAAAGTAAAAGTGAACTTGTGAAGTTCAGCCAACTGCTTGACCTCTTTTTGTCTCAGTCTCCTCATCTGTAGCATGAAGAGAATTATAGTTCCCATCTCATAGGGCCATTGCAGCACTTCAGTAACATAGCACTTGCCATAATATTTGCATTATTAGCAAATGTTAGAAACAGTTTCCTATTTTTATTATGTAATTTCATATGCTAAAGAGTTTCTGCTTCAAATATCTGATAGTTAAGAATTTTGAAACCCTTTAAATAAAAGACACTACTTCAACCCTTAATTACCTTCCTTGAAATTTAGAAATTATTAGAAATATAATTAAAACATCTATTATTTAAAAATACTTTAAAACATGGTGGCAATCTGACAGCCCATGTATTGGAGAAACTAGAAAAGCAATCTTAAAATTGGGTGAGGTGCTGAACTCAAGGGCCAGGAGGCAACTCCCGGCCCCGGTGACCTCCTGCCTTTGTCCTGTTTGGCCTTCCATCTCCACTTCGTGCCAGATCCTGCACACCAGGGCTCTCTCTTCACCTACGTGTTGGCTGCCTTGCAATTTCTAAAACCAGCAAATGTTTTTTGTTCATCCCAAAACATTCTACAGTTTTAGAACTGGCATTCTAAAATTAAGAGCTTTTACTTATAAATGTAGGTTTCTGGTTTCTCCCGAAAGCTGGGAAATCCTAGAAACCTTGGGCCCACATTGCCACACTGCAACACCAGTGGGAAGGACCCTGGGCTTGGAGCATTTGGCCTCTGCCGTCCAGGGCCCAGAACCGCTTCCTCTCCCACCTCACATACCCGCTGGGCTGCATTAACCTTCCTACCCCTACATCTGCCTCTTTGGACATTTGAGTTTATGATCTCTGCACTAAAATAATTAAGCAGACTTTATTTTTAAATTGGCTTAATACAGCATAATAAAGTATATATTTGAACATAGTTTTTCATTATCAGACTGAGAACCTGTCACATCAATAATTAACTCAACTTGTACAGTGGTTTAACCCTTTGGCATCCACTGGGTGCACTACCTTGGTTTTTTTCAAGTTTGGAAGTCCTGCCTTTGGGATTCTAATTCCTTCCTGATATTCTGGAAAACAGCAGAACTAATGTCATTTGGGTGGAGTGAGAAGGGGCTGGTGCGATTGTTCCCGTGTCCCCTGATGTCTCCTTGCTCTCGCCTCTTTCCCTGACCCTGGCTTCTTCAGCAGCACCTTGGCAACCCTGTCCATCCCATAGAACATTCCAGATGGGTCGGTTTTCGTTTTGCTGTCCTTGAGGCTTACCAGCAGATTAGTTATGCTTTCCAAATTGCAGTGGGGAGCCGGTTCTTTACCACTGTTTATTCTTTCCCCACACTGTGCTCAGCCATTTTTATACAATCCTTGGGTTCTTACCTCTCCTCTGGCCATTGGGCTCCCTGACCTTCCAGGTACCTGGCATAGAGCAGAGCTCAGCAAAGATGGCTGAATAGAATGAACGAACAAGCGAACGATTTCCCTTTCAATGACCTTCGGGATGGGTGGACAAAGAGTAATATTAAAAATGATGTGGAAAATGATTTCTTTTCCCAGCAACCCAACTGGAACAAACAGGTTAATGCTCTTCATCTACTTGCAATTCTGTATTGTTTTACCAAACCATGATTGAAGGCTTTCTCTGGTCTGAATTTCTTGACTAGTCCTTGGATGAGGGTGAAGAGGAAGAAAGAAAGAGGAGGTGATGAAGAAATGGGCCCTGTCCTCAAGGAGCCCACCATCCAAGGAGGTGGGTATGGAGGGTGAGCACAGTCATGTCACTTAATGACGAGAACACATTCTGAGAACTGCATCATTAGCTGATTTTGCTCTTGTGCAAACACCACAGAGTGTATTTACACACACCTCCATGGCACAGCGTACTGCACATCTATGCTATATTGTAGAGCCTAGTGCTCCTAGGCTACCAATCTGTACTGCATGTTACCATACTGAACACTGCAGGCAAATGATGAGTATGTGTATGTGTCTAAACATAGAAAAGATACAGAAAATACACAGTATAAAAAATAAAAACTGGTGCACCTGCATAGGCGCTTACCATGAGTGTAGCTTGCAGAACTGGAAGTTGCTCTAGGTGAGTCAGTCAGTGAGTGGAGAGTGTGAATTGGTGAATGTGAAGGCTTAGGACATTACTGTATACTATTGTAGACTTTATAAGCACTCTTAAGCTACATTAAATATCTAAAAAACATATTTTTCTTCAAGAAGAAGTTAACCTTAACTTACTGTAACTTTTTACTTTATAAAAGTTTTAATATTTTTAACTTTTTGACATCTTTTAGTATTTTTAACTTTTAATATTGAATTTTTTAATATTTTTAACTTATTTTTTGTAATAATCCTTCGCTTAAAACACAAACACCTTGTACAGCTGTTCAAAAATGTTTTCTTTCTTTACATTCTTGAATAAGAATATAAGAATAAGAATATAAGCTTTTTTCTATTTTTGAAATTTATACTTTTTTTTGTTAACTTTTAAAGCTTTTTTGGTGAAAAAGCAAGACAAAAATACACACATTAGCCTAGACCTACGCAGGGTCAGAATCGTCAAGATGTCACTAGGTGAAAGGAATTTTTCAACTCCATTACAATCTTATGGGGCCACTCTCATACACATGGGCTGTAGTTGACAGAAACAGTGTTATGCAGTGCGTGATTGTATAGATCTATAATGCACAGGTGAGGGACGCAGCCCAGGAGTGTGCAGCACTAGGGCATCGTTCACTCTACTGGGGGCCATTCCGGGCCTTCCAACATCATGGCGAATGAGCTGCATCTTGAAGAATGGCCACCAGCTCGGCAAGTGACACTGGTTACACTGCTCTCATCTACCTGGGCAGGAGCAGGGCAGCATCAGAAAGGCAGTGAAAAAGCAGTTCTGGGAGAAAAGTCAGAGGCGGTGTTGTGGTCATTTTCCTAAAGCTGTGGTTTTCAAAAGAATGGGAGAAAATCATCATGAGGGTGATTGCCCCCTAACAAAGGACTCTTTTCCTTTTTCAGTTTGTGACAAGTGAGAATAAGAAGACTGTCTTTGCTTACCCTTTGAGCTCCAGAAAAACACGGAGGTAGCAGAAGAGAGGATGTGGTGGCAGTGGCCATGGACAGAGGAAGGAAGGCAGGAGGAGAGAACTCTCCTGCCCAGAGCTGGGCCAGGAAATCCATGGTTGATGGTCTCAAAGGGCATGCAGGGTCAGCCAGGCTGTCCTCCAAGTCGGTGGAGGGCAGTGCTCTGCCTGCACGTCTATTTCAGGCAGCCTAACCCTTTGGCACCTGGGATCCTAGGGCAGCATCCTCAGTAGACGTTGGGCTCATGGGCTTTCTGAGCCCTTCGCCAGCACCCCACTTCCCACTTCCCAGCAGTGTTTGTGCTGAAGCCCTGGATAATGATGGTCCTTAGGGTGGGAGAAAGGAAGGTCTACAGCCTCAGCCACCTTGGGCCCAGGTATGGCTCCTGGTGCTTTGGTGAGGAAAGGGGGGTGAGCCCTCCCTTCACAGGCTCCACTGGAAAGACCCACGTACTAAGAGACCTCTGCCACTGCCCTCCGGAGAAGCACTTGGCTGCGCTGGGAGGGTCAGAAGCTCACGTCCCCTGGGTTTGGGCATGAAATCCTGTGCAAAACTGCATGAAATGTTGGTCCCAATCGCAGGCCCGTGAGTTGTGGCCATCTTGGCAGAGCGTTCCAGGACCACGGCCAAGATGCTGTGTGCGGCCCCTGTGCTCTGAAAATCCCAACCTTTAAAATCCATTCTGAAGATGTGATTTAATTAAATGCTATGTGCTTGAAACTGGTTCAAATTAGTTTATCTATTTCTGATGGCTGTTTCCCATGTGAGTACATGTATTAACCATGCAGAATGTATGAACTGTTCACAGTCTAGCATAAAATACTTTTATGCTATTTAGGATTTTAAAAAATAAATAAATAAATGAAATGACTGCCCTTAAATTGGTAAACCAATTCCAGCCACCATAAAGTCTTAAAAAAAAAAAGCCAGACGTCTTCTAAAACTCTTTTATGAGCACACATGGTGAAACTGCTGCAAATATTATTGTTTGTGAATAAAATGTAAATTAGTGCTTTTGTGTTCACCTGTAAGTTTTTCTTTAAAGCCAGAGATTGCATTTGAAACCTGCAATTCTCAACAAAAAGAGAAAAGTTCAGTGCTGATTGCTGGATATTTGGACCTCCCAGTGCAAACATTAACTGGCTGAGAGGCCCTCTGGAATGCAATGAGGGGAACAATACCGGGACAGGAGCCAAGCCCAGCAACACTGGCGCCGGGAACCGAGGGATCTGCCTCCTGGTAGTAAGAGCTGAGCACGGCCCAACACTTCTGCTAGACTGGAAATGACACACTGTGATCCTTGACTTAGCCAAAGGGATTTTAAATGGAGGGAAGAGTTGGCAAGACAAAATCTCCTGTACTTTCACAGTGTTTTCTAAAACAAGCAGAGGAAATCAGAAGAAAAGACTGAAGTCTATTACATTTGATCCAGTTAAGTCAAGAGTGGAAGCTTTTTACTGCTGTTATTATTTTTTTTGTACTTTCTCATCATGTCCCACCACCCAGAAAGCACAGACATAAAGCAGAAACTTGAAACTGCTTTCATTCCAGCAGAGGGACACCCCAACATTGCATTATTGACAGGAGGTTGGAAAACCCTGACAGCTGCAGAAATTGTACAGTTGAAGTTCAATTCCCCGGAGTGGGAACGATATACTGATGGTATTAATTCTGTTTGGAATTGTTAAAATAAGAAAAGGTTATGGGGCTGAGGAAGGGACCTGCCATTTCTTCCTGCGAACAAAGGCATACGTTGTATCTTCCCTGGTGTCCTTGGAGTGTCATTTCCAACCTTTTGAAACTGTATCTGATTATCCATGTGGCAATTAATCATAATTAAGCAGGCCTGAGGTTTGGAGAGGTACAAAGAAGGTGGTTAAGAGCTGGCTTGGGTCCTGAGAAACCCCTTTCCCCATTTTGAGCTGCAGAGCCTCTTGTTCTGGAATGATGAGAAAATGCTAAAAGGCAGAGGGAGGCCAGGCAAGGAGGGCTGGTGTAGAAATTTGCAGGGGTGGGGGCCAGGCACAAGTTTCCTTCTGGTACCCTTTCCTTTCTCTGGTGATTGCAGCTCTTCACCAAGATCCAGTACATTGGAAGCCAGGTAACGAATTACCTTTCTAATGCCAAGTGATTTGGATCCATTCTTACAAACCAGATTTTTTCAATTTATTACAGGAAAACATTCAATCATTATACACTGGCGCTGGGTCTGGGGCACATGGAATTCTCCTCTCTCTTCTCCACCCCCAATGAGCATTTTAAAGGCTTAGAAAGCCCAGAATGCCGTCTTATTAAAATTTTTTTATATATTTATAATTAAAATACGGGGCTGGCATTCAAATCGTTTTAGCAGATGTAATCGGACACGCAAGGCTTCCCCCAGCCCAGGTCAGGCGAGAAACAATGGTTGCTTTAACTCCGGACTTCGGCTCGGGTTTCTGTTTGCACATGGGCCCAATTTGTACCATTTATGATTAGGTTTAAGTAAGTTGATGTGCTATTTATTTAGGAGAACTGCCGTTTCAGAATATTGCCATATTCCCCCAACTACCACATTGCCATGTGGCTGTGGCCTGTCCTGCCGGTGATGGGGCTGTTACCATACAGACCGTAGCCCTGGCTCCTCACTGCCAACACTGCCCAAGTACGTGGCTTTCTGGGTGACCTTCCAAGGTTGCTAGGTGGGTGGTTGGTGTGTTGTGTTTACAGAGGGAACTACAGCATGAATGCTAGACACTAAGACTGTATGTGCAGCTGGCGGACAAAAAGGAAGAGCGGAAGTCACTCGGAAACGCACATCATCCACTCCTACACCATCCACTGGCATCCCTGAGGTGCAGTTCCAGGTGGACCCAGCAGCCAGAGAGCCTTGTGCCTATAGGGCCCCCAGGATGCTAACTTCTACCCTGAAAGGCAGGGGAAAGTTGGTCCCAGAGGGCAAGGGCTTCACTCAATGGTTCCTTGCTTTTTCATGCCATATTAAACTTGGAAGTTTGATGGTATCAAGTAGTGCAAACCAAGATGACCCATTTCCTTTACTACCCTCCTGATAAGTGATACACTGTATTCAACTTAACTTCAAAGGGTGATGAGCCAGCAGCTCCTTAGCAGCCTGCCACCTGCCAAGAGGAGTTAGCATTCCCACACCTGGCGTCCTTTCCTGGAGAGAGTCCCTTCCCTGTGTTCTAAGTTGGCCCCTCAGGCATTTCCAGCCACCAGTTCTTGCTCCTGGACTGGATGCTGGTCTGTCCTGACTCCCTGCCCCACGAATGTCCTTCCTGTGTTCGTGCCTGGACTCAAGCTCTTCCCGGGGGGGTGCACCTCCTTCCTTGCTACAGGCCCACCTCCAAATCCAGACATCTTTCCTTGAAAGGTTTCCCAAATGCATCTGACCTTGACCTCTAGAGGGTGGCTGATCTCAGCCTACTTTTCCCTGAAGCTGCGGAGATGACCTCTGGCGACAGTGGATGTTGCAGAGAGGACATCCACACACCTGCTCATTTACCCCATGAGTGAGGTCATCATCATGATTCCCAATCATGAAAGACTCTGCAATTTGATTTTGTCAAGAGATTTTCCCAGGCAGCAACCATGGGAGGTGGGAGCGAGATGCGAAGTGTGGTCCTGTGTCCCCAGACGGAGGCTCTCGCTGTGTCACCCTAAGGTCACCTGCCCTTCCTGATTAAAGTACTTAAGGGGCTCTAATGATTTCACATCACATTCGGCTTCCTGTGGTCCTCAGCCTCAAGCGGAGTGCGGCATCCCAGGGAGTGGCTCCCACCAGGGTCCTCTGGCGATGGCTTCTGCTCCTCCACCATCGGCTTCACAGCTGACCCCATGGCAATCCACTTCCCAGGCTTGTCTCCCCATGTATGGACAAATTCCATTTTCCAGCTGACTACCCTTCGTGTCTTGTTGGGTTAGGCGCCTAGGAGAAATGGCAGTGTATTGCCAAGGGACGTGGGTACTAGGGCTGGGGATTGTAAAAACCTGCTTTTCACTTTGAGAAAAGCCCTGGTCCCCAGGCACCTCTTTTTTCCCCTTCATATCTGGTTTAACACGTGATCAGCAGCTGGAAATCACATAAAGATAAATTAATAACCACAATTCAGGTATCTTCCAAAAGAAACAGTTATGGAAGGAAAAAGAGAAAACAGACGCATGATTCATTCTCTCAGGCTCTTGCTACTTCCCATTTTTCTAAAGATAATTACAGCATTGTTTGCCTTTTTATGTCTAAAAAACAGATAAAATAAACATTTCGGGGGAAGGAGGAGGCATTGCAGTTTTTAAAAAAGGGACTTGGGGCTCTGTTTGGTTGCCGTGGGCCTCTGGAAACCCCATTCCATTTCTGGAGTGGATTTTTATTAACACTGTTATGCACACGATCGCTTTGGCACTGCCACGGCTGCTGGGATGCGAGGTACAGGCACAGGAAACACAAGGTACTCTGTGTCCAGCTCCCCGAAGAAAAACAATCAGGTGTGGCTGAGGAGCTGCAATGAATTAAAAGCCAGGAATAAATGTGTGCCAGAAGAATGTGCTTCTTGTCACAGGGACCATGCTGTGAATTTAGCATGTGAGCCAAGCTTCAGCAACTGGATCAAAATGCCTTTCTCCCTTCAGAAATGAGGGGGTCTCATTCATCTCAGTAAGATCCATGATCGGAGCAACGGCCCCTATTTTAAGCAGCAAGTCACCCCCAAAATACTAGACCAAGATGTCATCCAGAAAACTGTCTCTGAGCCACGCCTCTCACATCTGCCCTCCCTTCCTGTCTCTTTAGGGGGTGCAGGTAGGCTCATGTCTGGAGGCTGCCTTCCAATCATCCCGAAGATCCTTTCTGGTGTCCACAGCTGGGCTGAGGGCTTCTCCCTGCCAACTAAGACCTGCAGTTCACAAGAGGGAAGTTGTTTTTAGGAGATGAGTTCTGGATGCTCCCACTCCCCCCCTCACCACTCCTGTCCCCCTGGCATTGGTCTTTCTGCCTTCACTTTCTTGGGGTGCTGTGGTAGCTGGCAGATGACACTCTCTGCAAACAGCAAGGACAGCAGTCAAGACCATGCACAGGTGAATTCAGGTCTGCAGCTCTGGGAATTCTGTGCAAGGAAGATGGTGGGGTGGAGGGGCAGAAATGTTGGTGTTAGAATGGCAGAGGAGGAGAGGAGAATTCTAGAATCTCTGCAGTATCATATGCACAGAAAAATAAATCAATGGCTGGATTGTCTCTAAAACTTCCGTAGGCCTCTCTCCATCTTGGGGGCTGGCCACACTGTTTACCTGACTTGGCTCTTGTGTTCTCAGAAATTCATCTGAGTTTGTAACAGGTGGAAGGGTTGGTTAGCAGAACATCTCTCCTCTTCATAACCCAGTGTCGCTGGAACACAGCTATCTGTCAACGCCAACTGCCACCTTTTCTCTGCTCCGTTACTCCAATGGGAGGCCACCCTCCAGCATGTATGGAACAGCCTTACACGGCCTTTCATGCACTGGCTTCTGTGGTCTCCACAGCCCATGACCCGAGATTCCCAGTGGAGGAGATGGAGGCACAGAGCGGTTGACCAGGAGCCCAGACTGCGAGAGGAGTCCCATTCCAGACCCAAAGAGTATCTTCTGTACTGGGCTGCTCGGCAGAATGAAGAAAATTCTGCTCATTCCTGTGGTGACTTTTATGAGTTTTGCCTACAAGTTTTTTTATATCAGCTGGAAAATGTTGGATTATCTGTATTAAATTTAAATCAAATAAATCTACCACTATTGCTGAAAAGGAATTAATTACCAGTGGGATTAGAGTGAATAAAAATGACTGGGGTGGGTGGAAATAAGATGGGTTTGCTTGGAAGGCAAATTTGTTGATATTTGGATTCCAATCCTTCTCTTTCTTTCTCTTTGCTTTTCTCACCCTCCTTCCAATTGAAGCTTAAAGTTCTGGTTTCCATTTTCTTTTCTGCCCCAAGGTTTGAGAGCAGCAGATACAGTAAAGGCTGGAGGAGGAATGGCAAAATCAAGTGTGTCCGTGAGACTCCCTTTCTACCAGGAGAACCCTCCAGTAAAACCTATGAGGCTCCTGGACAGTAATGAGGTGACACAGACACTAAAGAAGTCACCGAGATTCCGAGAAGTTGGGGGGGCATTACGGCAGGCAGAGGGGAGAGGCACGAGAAAGAGAGGAAGGGGCTCCCTGAAAAGTCTTGCAGTCTTGGCGGTGACAAGGAGAACAGTGAACTCTGGGCCAAGCACCCCACCCATTTACAGAAGAAGGAGTTTCATAGAGTAAATTTGGGCATCTTTGGGAACAAATGCGACCCCATTGCTCTGCACTCCTGCCTTTGAATTGAGGCCTCTGAGATGTTCTGTGGCTTCTCCCAGCACAGACCCTGGTGCCTGTGTCTGGGAGGGTGTGGAGTGGGAAAGCAGGTGCCCAGGCCAGCCCAGGGTCCCACACCCAGCCTGTGTACTCAGCAGGAGCCCACAGCCAGGACCTGCCTTTTAGCTCCTGTGGCTTCCCTCTACCAACTGCACTTAAAAAAAAAAAAAAAACTTCATGAATATCTCCTCCTGTCAGACGTGACATTTAACCACTTGAGAGAAATTTTGAACATTTGGCTTTTGTAGATTTTGAATCAGAATATCACAAACCCAACATTCAGATCTTCCCTTTTCTCCCTAAAGCCTTTCTAGTGTGGATCAACATGAACCTTGTGTGGATTGAAACAGAGACGCAGTTTCTTGGACTTTCATTAAACTTTGGACAAGTATAACTTTTTGTCTCTGAAAGGGAAAAAAAAAGAAGAAAACTTCACTGATCTGTATAAAAGGCTCAAAAACCTTCTGGAAATTCACAGAAGTATTACCATCACCATTTGATGTCATCATTATTCAGAACCCAGAAAACCTAAGACGACATTTTTCCACATTTATTGTAATAGATGGGAACATTTTGGGCTGGTGTGTTTGTTTTTTTTTTCAGGAAACAATTTTTAAAGAAATCTCAATATGGTACCAAGCACAAGTATACATACTGTTACATATTCTGGATTTACCACCCTTCCATAAAGCATGGTGTTATTCTTGGTTTTTTCCCCCTTAAAAATGTGAAACTCATTGCTATTTTGAAAGCCCCAGATGAAGCACAGGTGCACCTTCATTGTTAAGGCTCTGTGCCCTCGTAATGATTGTGTGAGCCTTGTCTTTGCAAGTAGTTTATGTTTCAAGTAAAACATGGGGTGGGCTGGCTAAGTCTTAAGGGATGAGGAGGAGTTCCAGAACTGTTCACGCCTTAGCAATAATCCTGTAATATATTAGGAAGAGAGTACAAAAACATATGCCGGGAGGAGGCAGAGCTTCTCGGCCGGCTCATTCATCATGTTTCCAACTCTCACACCCTGGGGATGCTCTACCATTGGGCCTTCTCCAAGGCTTCCATGTAACCAAGGCATTTTCCCACACTGTTTCCCTTCTTCAATTTGTAGTGTCAAGTCAGCAAGGAAAGTTCCCTCGTTTTAGTTTTCTAGATCAGAAGAGAGGGAGAGGAAATTGACTTGAGCTGGATGGATTTGGGGTTCTTTTGTTTTTAAACAATCGGCTAACACAATAGAAGGAAAATTTCCAAAATCACAAAACATGTACATTTTGCTCTGGGGGAGTTTAAATATCAAGGCTTAAACTCAATCCAGAGATCGGGGAAAGGGGAGGATGTACCACTGTTCCAAGAAAACCAAGATTCCCAGATTTTGTCCCTGTAGAAAATCACTGAACACTGGCAGCTATGTCTGACTACAAGCTGAGTCTATGAGGGATAAGCCCCTTTCATCTGTTTGTTTGGGATGATGTGCTGAGACACATAATATTTGTACCAATAAGAGTAACACCTTTTTTTTTCCCTCTTGACTAATTGAAGGCCTTAAAATGAATCACTGTTATGGGGAAAATATGGCAACAATTCCACAGAAATGTAAAATCACACTTTACGTTCATTCTATGACTAATTTAAAATTCTTTGGGGAGTAGAAATGGAAGTGTGATGTGCCTAGAACCTTCTTTGGAAGTGAAAACACTAATTTCCTCAATGGATAGATGGTAACTGACAGAGCCAACATCACACTGTCCCGGGACCAAAGGAGTCTTGGACCTGTTTCCTCCCTAAATGTACTGTGTGACCTCTGGGGACCAGTTCTCCTGGGGACCTTTGCCCATTCACGTCAAGCTTTGGGGAGATATTAGGTTAGCATTGACCTAAACTTAATGTGCGGATTACTGGCTTCCTGCCATGTTATCAAGCATTCTATTTTAAAAAGGGAAAGCAGAACAGAACAAAACAAAATAAGAAGCCAACAGAGCAAGCTCTGAGATTGATTAGTGTCAATATGTGCTGGTTAAAAGACAACAGATAAGTTACGCTCAAAATGTATGCACTTGTCTTGTGCTCAGTGGTTATGCTCTTATTGTGACCACTGCTAACTCTGCTATAAATGATGACAAAGAAAGAATAGGATAACTAGTGCATTCTTTTCTAAATCCGTACTTTCCACAGATATTTAGTTTCCAAAATAAAGAATTATTCGAGAAAGGCTGGAGAATGAGAACATCAAATTCATTTAAGCGTACAACTGAGTTCTTTATTTGAATTCACATCCTGCTTGGCTGAATTTAGTTGTCAAGTAGTCCTTTTGTTTAATTTTGACTTGGTTTGCCTTAAAAATGAATAACAAATGCTGTGTTCCATGTGTTCTTACATGCTTCAAAATGTCCACCTCGGACAACGTTAGAGGCAAACTTCACGGCTATAATTCTGTCTTTCTCTAGCATTGCGTAGTGTAAATAAGAAAAATGTGAAATCCAACTTCTCCCTGGATGCTGTTTTAACCAGGACTCTTTTGGCTGCAAGTAAAAGAAGTCAAAATATCTCAAACACAAGAGGGAATATATTGACTTGATCATTGATGACAGTCCCATCTGGATCCAGAGGCTCAATAATAATAAATGAATCCATACTTTTTTTTCTTTCATTCTGCTTTTATCTGTGCTTTTTTCCCCCAGTACTTTCATGTTGAAGTACTAAGTGGTCAGTACATCATTGGCTTCATGCTTAATCTGACTTCCCAGTGGGGATCAAGATACTGTTCAGAAGGGTGGCAGTTGACATAGAAAGAGAACCTCAGTTCCAGGGAAAGCCCTGGTGCCGACCTCCACTAGGCCCATGTGACCCCAAGGCTGCTCTTCAACTGGTCACTGTGGGTGGATGGATGTGCTGCACTGATTGGCCAAGCTTGGGCCACCTCCCCACCCAGGACTGGGAGGAGAGTTGAGCTCCACCGGAAATGTGAACTGAAGGTGGGAAGGGAGGGATCTCCAGAAGATCCCTGTGATGCTACCGGCAGCTTGATTGAAGCCTGGTGTTTCAGAGAGCTTTTTGTTTGGTCATTTGTTTCATTGAAGATGCAGATTTTTAATTGTATACACATACACCCCCCGCCAACACACACACACATTTTTTTCCATAGATATGAGTAAGTAAAAATGTTTTTACTCTTCAGTCTTCTTGTGAAACTTCTAATACCTATGCCTATTTATTGAGGAACTGTTTAGCGATTCAAGTCAGCATGCCAGGAAGTGTGAGCGAGACCTGCCTTGTGACACTGGTATCCAGCAATGAACATTAAGATGAAGGCCACTTGGCAATGGCAGAACCACCAGGACTTCCTCTGAAAAGGCCTACGAAGTTGGTGTTTGTGCTAAGCATTTTTAGGTCATTTTCTGGGAATCAGAATACTGATTTATTACTATGCAATGAAACAGCTGTGTAACCTTTAACCTTTGTTTGAGAAATGGTGTATTTCCAGAGTATACCTTGATTCATAGATGTTTTAGAGCAAATTCTACAATGCTCACTAAGCAAAGGGGCCTTCAAGGATGCACCCCCCACACCCTGATGAGCGGGACTGAAAAGAGTCAGGAAGTGATCTTTAAGAGAAGGTGCCATCATATTTTAATCTGTAATATGCAAATTTAAAAGGCTGTCTTATTAGTGCTGACTTTAAAGACTGTCCATGTCACACACTGGAGCAAAAAATAGAATAAATAGTAAAATAATTCACATCGCATGATTGCTTTTTTGGTTAAAACTGAACCAAATCTCTTTCTTGCATTCTCTCTTTCTCCCTCTGTCATCACAGTGTTAAAAAAAAAAGAAAAGAAAACAAGATTAAACATAAATTTCTGACTATATGGATGCTTCCTTAACATGTCAAAACATAGAAAAATATATGTAAGTATCAGACTGGCAAAATAATCATAACAGAAGGATATCCAATATTTTAAAGTAAAATCTGAACTTGCTGAATGCACGGTATTTCAGCATTAATTTGGATGAGTTTAGACAAAGGTGCATATACCAGTGTAACCAAAACCTCAATCTTGACAGAATTTTTCCATCACCAGATTTCCTCATGCCTCCTTAGAGTTAACTCCCACTCCTATGGACAACTACTATTTAATTTCTATCACCATCAATTACTTTTATCTAAACTTCATATAAATGCAGTCATTCAGAATGTACACATTTGTGTTTAGCTTCCGTCCCTCGACATGATGTTTTCAAGATTCATCCATGTTGCTATATGCATCAGTATATTTGTAATCCTGAGTATTATTCCATTATAGGAATATACCACCATGGAGTTGTTATTTCTCTGTTGATGAACGTTTCTGTTGTTTCCAGTTTGGGGGTATTATGAATACAGTTGCTATAACCATTCACATGCAAGTTTTTTTTTGTGGCCATACATTTTCATTTGTCTTTGGTAAATACTAAGGACTAGAACTTCTAGATCATAAGGTAAGGGTATTTTTAACTTTATAAGATATTGCCTGTTTCCCAAAGCAATTACGTCATTTAAAAAAGTATACCACTTTAGGCTCCCATCAGCAATGTCTAACTCTGTTCAGTTGGTCCACATCTTCACCAACGTTTAGTGTTTAGTCTTTTTAATTTTAGCTGTTCCGTTAAGTTCAAAGTGGCATATAATGTGGATTTAATTGTTAGTATCCTGATGACTGGTGACATAAAGCATCTTTTCATGTGCTTATTGGCCATTCATATTTCTTCTCCTGTGAAGGCTCTACCTCAAGTCTTTTGCCTCTTTTAAAATATGTTTTTTTTTCATTTTTATTAGTGGATTTTAGGACTTCTCTATATAATCTGGGTGCAAAGCCTTTATATATATATATACATATATGTGAGTGTATATATGTGTGTGTATATATATCTATAACTATCTATATATGTGTATATAGTTTTATAGATATATATAATTGCAAATACTTCTTTTTTCCAAGTCTGTGGCTTGACTTTTCATTTTCTTAATAGATACCTTCGATGAACAGAAGTTGCTAATTTTGATGCTGTCCAATTGATAAATTATTATTGTTTTTTGCTTAGTGCTTTTTGCATTCTCTCTAGTAAATCTTCCTAATTCAAGTTAGCAAAAACATCCTTTTATATTTTCTTCCAAAAGTTGTCTAGTTTTAGCTTTTATGTTTAGGGCTATGATACATTTCAAGTTATTATTATTATTATTATTTGGTATGTAAAGCAGAGATTAAAGTGCATTTTCTTCTGTTATGCTTATCCAATTGTTCCAACACTATTAGATGAAAAGATAATACTTCCCTGTTGAATTCCATTTGGCCCTTATCAAAAATCATTTGACCATATATAGGTGGATCTATCTTGGAATTTCTTAATCTGCTCCATCTCTTTGATCTATTTGTAATACCATAAGCTAAAATCACATAGCCTTAGTAACTATAGTATATAGTGAGTCTTAATATCAGGTAGTAAAAATTCTGTAAATTGTTTTTAAGATTGTTTTGGCTGTCCTAGATTTTTTTTTTTTACTACCATATGTTTTAGAATCAGCTTTTTTTTTTTTTTTTTTCAAAAATGTTTGCTAAGATTTTGATTGGCATTATGTTGAATCTATAGAAATCAATTTGGGGGAAAACTGACATCTTGATAATGCTGAGTTTTCTAATCCATGAATTTTGTTTATCTCTTCATTTATTTAGTTTTTAAAAAATTTCTCTCAGAAATTGTCTTTTCAGTTTTCAGTGTAGTTGTCTACCTATTATGGCATGGCTTCTATTAAATTTATTCTTAAACAAGATCTTTTTTTTTTTTATGTTACTGTAGATGGCGCCGTTTCTTAAAGTGGGCTTTCTGTAATGAGTATGTATAAGTCCAGTTGAATTTTTATATTTATCTATGCTGTGATCACGCTCCGTTCACTCACTAGTTCTAGCAGTGTTTTTGAAGATTCCCTAGAATTTCCTATAATGCAATCATGTCATCTGAAAATAAAAATAATTTTACTCCTTCCTTTCCAACTTTATGGCATTTTTTTTTGCTTTATTATTCTGCTGAATTGAAGTGATAACAATATGCCATTGTCTTATATCATTCTTAGAAGAAAAACATTGAACATTTCACCATTAAACGTCATGTTAGATGTAGATATTTTTTACAGATTCCCTTTATCAGAACGAGCAAGTTCTCTTATTTTGTAATTTAATGAGAGTTGCTTTTTTCTTGTCATGAGTTGGTGTTGAATTTCAACAGATGCTTTTTCTGCATCTGTTGAAATGATCACATTTTTGTTTCCTTAATTTTGGAGATTTGGCGAGAATTATATTGACCAATTTTCAAATATTAAGTTGACCTTGAATACTTAGGATAAAACTCACTTGCCAAGAATGTATTAGCCTTTTTGCATATTGCTGAATTTGATTTCCTAATATTTTATTAACCATTTTATTTGTACCTTCATAAGGAATATTAGTTTCTTCTTTACATTTGTTTGTAATATGCTTTTTGGTATCAGAGTTATACTGGCATCAAAAAATGACTGAGAAGTGGTCTCTCCCACTTTACTTTCTGAGAGGGTTCGTGTACGACTGGATTTATGTTGTCCTTAAGCGTTTGATACAAGGTAGCCTGTGGGTGTCTATGCACACACGTGTGCATGTGCCCAGGCTTTTCATGGTAAGTTTAATTGCTTTAACCAATATCATACTATTCAGATTTTTTAAATTTCTCATTTCAAAAGAGATTAAATTTCAAGTGTTCTCACCACAAAAAAATGACAAATGTGAGGGAATTCATAAGTTAATCAGCCCTGTTAAGCCATTACACAATGTATAGATATTTGCAAACATCATGCTGCACACCATAGACACAATTTTCCTTTGTCAATTAGAAATATAATTTTCAAACTTCTTCTTGTGTCAGTTTTGATAAGTTATGTTTCTCAGGGAATTTTTCCATTTACTCTCATTTGTAAGATATACTGGCATAAAGTTGTTAGCAGTATTTTCATAATATTTTTCAATGGCTAGGGTATGAGTAACAGGTGACATCCTCTTCATTCATGGTGTAGGTAAGTGTATTTTTCTTTCTTCTTTTTCCCTGATTAGTCATGGGCAGGGTTAATAAAATGTGATTTTGTTAATATTTTCAAAGACCTAAATTTATCTTTGTTAATTTTCTTTATTGTTTGTTTTTTATTTCATTGATTTATCTGATCTTTATTTTTTTTTACTCCCTTATTAGTTTTTGTGTTTTATTTGCTGTGCATGTTCTATCTTCTTAGAAGAAATCTACTACCAGTGACTTTATAGTTTTTTCTGGAAATATCTTCATTTAAAGCTACAAATTTTTCTTATCTACTGCTTTTTGTTGATTGCCACAAGTAGTTTCGGTGCATGTAAAATAAGGGATTGGCAGTGTTTACTTTTTATCACTTTAAAGATGTTATTCCTTCATCTTTGGCCTTGATTGGTTGATTGCTGAGAAGCCAGCTGTCTTTGTTTTTTTCTGTGTATTTAATGTGTTATTTGTCTATGGCTCTTTTCAGGGTGTTCTGTATCATTGATTTTCAACCGGTTTCCCGTGAGGTGTGCGCAGGCATGGTTCTCTTTGCGTTTTCCCAGTTCAGGATTGTTGTGCTTCTTCAACCTGTAGATGGACGCTTTTCCTGAAACTTGAAAATAGTTCAGCATTATTTATTTGTTATATATAACTATATGTTTTTCTGACCTATTCCGTCCTTTCTCTCCTTCTGGAAATCCTGTCGCAAACTTACTCCATTGCTAATTTTTCTCCTCCAGGTTATTGAGGCTCTGTTCGTAAAAAAACAAAAACAAAACAAAAACAAAAACAAAAAACTTTCTTCTCTATGTTTTTCTTTCTCTGTGTTTGTAGAGTTTCTACTGGTCAGTTTTTAGTTATGGGCCCTTTCTTTGCTCTCTAACCTGCTGAGTAGCTCATCTGGATGAATATTTTACTTCGGATATTTTGCTCTTCTGGAATAGAACTTACCTTTGGGTCTTCCTTTTCTGCTAAGATTCCTGCTCCCTTCACATTTTATCTACCTCTTTGCCTTTAAATTCTCCAGCATATGTATATTTCCATGGAATGCTTCTTCTTATGATTATGAATAACATTTTCCTGCTTTGTGTAATAATTTTTTATTGTATGCTGAACATTTATAACATGTTGTAGGGTGTATTGTTATGTTGCCTTTAATGGATGTTAAGCTCTGTTCTGGTAGGTAATTAAACTATTGGCAGATCTCCTGATCCTGTCAGCTTGCCTTTAGCTTTTGTTAGAGTGGATCTATTTCAG
The DNA here is from genome assembly GCF_000001405.40 of Homo sapiens. Classification (NCBI taxonomy): domain Eukaryota; kingdom Metazoa; phylum Chordata; class Mammalia; order Primates; family Hominidae; genus Homo; species Homo sapiens. The sequence goes on along the minus strand of NC_000010.11, from coordinate 128,841,699 downwards.
TTTTGGTCTTAGTGCTAGAATATGAATCTTAATCTACGGAGATACATACATACATATATGTATGTGTGTGTGCATGCTTGCGCATGTTTGCATTTCTTTCCTAGTAGGAAAAAAGTTCTCACTTACAATTTCAACAATGACCAAAATAATTAGAATAAGCCAAGCCAACAATGTAAAACATCCATATGAAAAAAAAAATTAAAATCCTGCTGAAAGACTTACAAGGAAAAAAATGCCCTGTTCTTAGAATGAATAAATATTTCAGCAATGTAAACTAAATGTAATCCCAATAGACATCTCAACACAATTTTTTTTACATTATCAAATTCTAAATTTCATAAGAATATTATTCTTGCATAAATAGAAAGAAAAAATCTGAAGATGAAAAATAAATGAGGTAAAAAAATCCAGATATTACATGTGTTATGAAACTAGAGTAAATTAAACAATTGGGGGTTGACGGAGTAGACAAGAACAAGGTAAAAAAATAGAGACAAAGATAAACTCTAACACATATATACATTTAGAATACAATAACTATAGTATTTAAGATCAGTGGAAAACTCATGGATTATATAAGAAGCATTGTTGAAACATTAACTAGCCATTTGACAAACAAATCCAATCTATACCCCCAGCTAATTCCCTAGATACCAATGTAAATGACAGATGTATCAAAGACTTAAAGGTGCCAAATTCAACTTAAAAATACTAGAAAAGAAAACGGGATAATCTTATTTATATAAGTTCAGGCTGGGAAAAACTTAACAGGAAAAATATCCACATGCCACAATTTTAAAAAATTATGCAAACTTACCATTTGTCAAGGAAAATTGCTCAAAGTGAAAAGACAAACAACAAATCGGAGAAACAAGTCAGAGTTTGGCCACCTACATGATAAATAGAGATCTTCATTTCTTGGCATGTAAAGAGCTCTTTCAGGTCAATTAGAAAAAGTCAGGATGCAATATAAAATTCTGAGAAAGAGGAGTGAAATTACACGCACAAAGAAATATAAATGACTTTTGAATTTAGGGTAAAAAGCTCAACTTTACTCTTTACTAAAGAAGTTAATTAAATACATTTAAATGAGATACTATGATCTATGAGATTGATAAAAAACTTAAAAAATCTTAATATACTGTATTCATCATGTTGAGTGAAAAGAGGCATTTTGTGCATGTTTAATGTAGGTGTAACTTTGTGCATCCTCTTTGGAAGCAATTTGATAATTATCTACGTACCTTTTTAACCAGGAATTCTCCTTAGGCACCCGTTAAAAAAAGATATACAGCATGTTTTTTTTAATGGTGACAAAAAAACTTAAAAATATTGTTCAATGATAGGTAACTCATTGAATAATTTCTGTTATATCCATAAAATATAATACATTATATTTTATGTATATAACAAACATTAAAAACATGAGTTATTTACTGATATGGAAAAAATCTCCAAGTTATATATTTATTTTTAAAAAATCAAGATGTATTACAATATGCATCACACACGCCACTTGTATACATAAAGATCACACACACACACATGCACACACACACACATTTGTATATGTATGAGGATACAAGAAACTAGTTATGATGTCTACATCTGACAGTGAAGTTTGATGGCTGGGGTGGAGAGAGACTTCCCTTCCTTCTGCACCCCATGGATCCTATTCTCCAGTTTAATTTTTGTAAATGGGCATAGGTTACTTTTTTAAGAACATTAAAATTATTTTTTAAATATTTACTGAATATTTAAATAAAATACTTAAATTATTTTATTAAATAAAGGAGTATTTAAATATTTATTACTTAAATAATTTTAAGTATTTTATTTAAATATTTTAAAAATATTTTTTAAAATTAAAATTATTAAATATAAAAGAATTATTTATGGATCTCTTTCATAGTTTGTCATTCTAAGAAGCTGTGGTTATGAGATGCTGATGAGGTAGTAAGATTGGGTTGAATGTCTGTAAGAGTTTAGGTTAGTAAGTATATCAAAACCTGGAAGTTTAGATGACTTGCCTAATATGATTTAATTTGTAAAATAAGTTACTAATCCTCACCTCACGGAATTTCTCAATGTGTTAATACATGCAGGACATCATTATAAATCATGTCTTCCTATTTATGTGCTAGTTAGTCACACTGATAATACCATGACTGTGATAATACAGCAGCAGCAGGTGAGGAGGGAAGCTAAGGGGCACTCCTGCTTGTTTCTTCCCTTTGCAAATGTGACGAAGCGTGTGCTGTGAGCCAGGCGATGTTGAGTATGAGCATGAGTGCTTCCACATGAAGGCTGGGACCACAGAGCCCTGGCCTGCTTCTGACAGGGCCGGAGGGGATGAGAGGCCACAGCCAGCTCACACTGCGCGGCGTTGCCCTCCCAGCCCAGGAGGCAGAGCTGAGATCCAAGATGGAACTTGCCTCGAGTTCCCCTTCTCTGTTTTTGTTTTCCTCTCTTGTTGCCCCTGAGTGGAGCTGGGACTTTGCAGACCTCCATCCCTCTTCGCTTAGTAGTTCTTCCAGGTCATTTGGAATTCATTCCTGGTACTTGCTCCCGGTAGATTCCCATATTGCGGAGTGCTGCAGACAGAGAGAAGCTGGTGGAAAGCTCTCTGCTTTTTCTGTTTAAACAATTCTCTGCAAACTTTATGTTCCCTAAGTTTGCCAAGCCCCAGAGCTTCATCCATGTCTGATTTGAAAAGTGGTGAGTTTTACAGAGAAGGGAAAGCAGAACAAAAGGAAACATGTCGCTTTTGTATTCAGCTGTGGACTTGCTCTCCACTCACTTGGAATATGGCACCTAGAGGGTAATCTGTTTGCAAATGGCCCTGAAGCAGCCTGGCCTCACCGTGATGTTACCAGCCCACAGATGCATGAGGGAACACTTGCCAGCCACTTGGGCCCTGGTGGTAGAGGTGGCACTGGCTCCCACCAGGCTGCCCTGAAGAGCGATGGCAAACTGATACTCATTCACTCCTCCCACTACTGGCCAGGTGTTAAGTGCTCATTGTGGCTTTGTTTTTCCCAAGATGGCTTCATCTTGGATGCTTCCAAGTAAGCTTGGCTATGCTGCCTTGGCTGTGCTGATGTGGGCCTATCATCAACGTCACCAGCACCATCCGGGGATACTTCCTGTGTGCCTGTTGCCAACTGTTGCCCATTCAACAAATGGTCCTTTACTGTCTGCCGTGTGCCAGGCCCTGTGCTAAATACTGGGTGGATGGCCACGCACAGCCTCCTGGCTCAAGGAGCATGTGCTGCAAGGAAGCAGAGAAGCACAGTGTTTCCAAATAAGACAAACTGAGCTATGCTGGAGGGAAGGACTAGGTGTTATGGGGCCAGGAAGGGGAGCACAGAGGTCCAGCCTGGCAGAGGCATCCAGGAAGACTTCTCAAAGCAAAAGGGAGGAGTCAAGATGAGCCAGGTGGGAGGAGACAGTGAGTTCAGGGAATTCTCCAAATGTGGGTCCAAGGTTAAGGTCAGATGTTAGGAAGGAATCTTCCTCTGTCTTTCCCTGACTGGGACCCAGCTGAGGTTTTGGATTCCCTCCTGTGGAACCAGTGGAGAGTGGGACAGATAATGTTCTCCTTGCAATGATCCTCTGTAGGTTCACCTTAACTAGCCCCTCAGAGGATGTCCTGCTTGCCCTGCATTCCACCCTGTGCTGCCAGGAGCCCCTAGAATCAAGGCCCAGGAAATCAGCCTGGTTCAATCTGGGGCACCGTGGATCCAGAACAGGACCCTCCTGGATTTGATTCGGCTTGGCATCACTACACAGTCGGGGCCTTTGAATATTCTTTTATCTAATATTATTCTATTTATTCATTTACCTGACATTTACTGAATACTGATTAATGATGACGATGATGCAATAGAGAGATAGATAGGTAGATGGATAGATGAATGGATAGATAGATAAACATTAATTGAGTCCTTATATGTAAATGTATTAGCCCAAAGCCAGACACATGGTATTTATCTCTTTTAATCCTTACAACCATTTTGTGAAGTCAGCATTAAGCTAATTATGCAGAAGGGAAAACTGAGGCTTAAAGAGGTTGAAGTGACTTCCCTATACAGCCAATCAATGGTGAAACTTGGATTCCGTCCCAGGCAGCTTTAACTCCAGAGAGATGGAGATGGGAGTGCTTTCTTGGTGGAATAAACCTGCAAAGGTTCAGAAACAGAAGCTGAATTTAGAAGAATGGCAAGCGGCCCAGCATGGCTGATCACAGGCCCAGTAAGGAACTAAAGCAAAGAAGGCTAGAAAGGTGGTTTGGGGAGATCAGGGAGGGCCCACAACGCTACACTAAATAGTTTGTTTTCCTCAGTAGGCAATGGAGAGCCACTGATACTTTTGAACACAGAACAAAGTTATCCTCTAGGAAGGTTAATGCTGGGGTATATCAGTGTGTGTAATTTTGTTTAAAGCACTTTCATACAAAGATCAAATGCGAAACTAAGTAAGATGCTTCATCTCACACTGAATATGCTAATAAGAAATGCATGGTTCTGGGAGGTCTGCTGTGTTCTCCTGGGGAAACCCACACTCCAGAGCCAGCTCCCACTGGCATTTCTATTACCTTGATCTTGATCAATATAACCAATGATCTCACAGCTAACACAATCTGTCCATCAAGCTAGGCTCAGCAACCCCAAGATCTTTGGCATGTACTGTTGTAAAACTCATTTTTCACCTGTGTGAAGCCTGCTGTCCGACAGCGGCTTCCTTTGTCCTGCCATTCTGACGTGGGCTTTGCATGGCTTAGACCCTTAGTTCCCACCAGACAGCCAGGCACGCCTTCATATTTCCAAGCTGCCTTGGACTTCTGTAATCATAGGGAAAGACGGAAAGAGTAGCACAGTGATCATCCATGCACTTGTCTCATGCATCTGATCGTTGTTCGTATTTCCCACATTTGCTTATCTCAAGTTATTGCTCCAGCTGAATCTTTTAAAAGTGAGTGCAGGCATCATGCCACACTTCCCGAAACACATCAGCATGCAGCTTCCAAACACAAGGACTTTCTCTTACATAAAACACCGTTATCATAGGTAGGAATGGTAGTAATAATTCCCTAAATTCATCTACTATTTAGCCCATACTTAAATTTCTCCAGTTTTCCTCAAAATGTCTTTGATGGTTTTCTCTTTCAGACAGAATCCAGTGAAGGACCATGAACGGCTTCTGGCTGTTGTCACTTCTGAGTGTCTTTTGTCTAGAGCATGTCTCTCCTATTTTTTGTGTGATGTTGTTTTGAAAAGACCAGGTGCCTTGTCTTATGCAAAGTCCCACTGCAGAGTTTCTCTGATGGTTTCCATGTGGTGGGGTTTAACATTTTCTTCTAGCCTCTGAATCTCCTGTAAACAGAGGTTAGGTATAAAGGCTTGACCCAAGGTAAATATGTTTGGCAAAAATAGCTGGACTTCGTGTGGTCGAACTTCATGGGCACAGGACAGGTTTCCCCATCACTACTGAGGCTGCTTAAGATAAGAACTGCTATATTTTTTCATGATAAGTGTGCATCTTTCCATTAGCAATATATGAGTGATGGTTTTAGTCTCTATTGATGGTCCTTTCCTGAGTCGATCATATTTTGGGTGAATGTAAAATCATGACTTTTTCAAAAAAGGAATGAGTTTATATTGCAAACTCATTTTGCTACATAAAAGCCTACACTGTCATTTTACTTATGATCTTGTACTTTATTTATTATTTTGGTGTTTTACAGGGAAGTTTCAATACCCCCTCCTCCTGTTCTCTGAGATGTGTCCAGTTGTGTCCCTATGCACTTCAAGAGTGACTTAGGCTATATAGCAAAAAACCTTTCTGAGCTAATCGTGGATATTTTCTTGTCCCTGAATTGTTGGTTAATTGTTTTGCAAGTAGCTTCAGTTCCTTTGATTCGAAGTGCAGGGCAGAAAGCAAAAGAAGTTTCAGAAAAACTGCCTGCCAGTCTTTAGTGCACCAGCAGCTAGCTTGCCTGTGAGCAGCAGGAGATGCTGGGCAGATGGGAACATCTCCATGACTGGAGGAGCTGGAACTCTGCAGTTCTTCTCAATTCATGGGGCTCCACACTCGCTTGGCTCCTGCCCTGACCCTGGGAGACAGAAAGACCTCGCTGGAGGACAGCGGGTGGGGCTACTAGGGAGGCTGGACTCTTGGCATCAACCACAGGTCCTGGCGTGGGGGGTGATTCCTGTGCCCAAACTCCTTGGAAGCAGCAGAGCCACTTGCCTCCAGGACCTTTCAGCTGGGCCTTTCTCTGACTTCTGGCGTCACCAAGCTCACAGGATTCTGGTGCTGCCCCAAGAACAGAGGAAGGGCTCTTCGATGGCTGAGATTGAGCACCCTGCAGTAGGCAAATTTGGAGCTTGGAGTGGGGCCTGTGATGAAAAGGATGCAAAATGTGCTGTCAATTTCATATCTCCCCCTAAAGAATCATATACACACAGACCTTGAACGGAACTTGAGGAATGAACTACCCCAAGCCCCAGTCTTGGATACACTGTTGAGTGACACATCAGGTTGATTGACCTGCCCTGGTGCTGCCCTGGGCTGAAGGGGCATAGCCCCCACTTGTCATCATTGGGTGCCAAAAGTCGGCGTGTCCAAGCTGTAAGGCATGAGAGAGATGATGCATGCCGCCCCCTTCCTCTTCCAGGGTAAAATGGAGGCTGCAGAAATGGCACAACTTGGCTAGGAGAACTCAGCGAACTCTGGAGAGGATTGGCATGGACCTGGCATCTCGCTTCTAAGCCCAGAGCTCTTTAGGCTACACCACACATGGATCAGTCTGGCCAAAGATGGGGAAGAAGAGCAAGAGACCACCCATCTCCCTGATGAAGGGTCCCCGAAGCCTTGGGTCCATCAGGGAATATAGAAAGAGCAGGCTGATTTGTTTGGAGATGTGCCTCCAAGCTCTTAAGTTACAGAGTTCTAAATTCCAGTCATTACCACTAAACAATTGTTATTGGGGTTTAACCATATAGCCCTCTAATCAGGGTATTTCTGCTTTTATTTAATGGAAATCATTTCCCTGTGGCCCTGAGGGAGCAGGTTTCCACGTGCCCTGTCAAGGTGAGTGTGCTGGTGCCATCTGCCACTCAGAGGCCCAACAGTCCAATATTTTTTTGCCCAGCTGTGCTATAGTGAGTACAATAGATTTAAGGAGGGTTAGAAACCTATTTCATTTGCAATAAAATGCCTGGGAGGTAGACCTGGGAAAGTGTAGCCAGAGGCCCCTGGGGCCCACCCTCATGGAGTAATGTTTGGACCAGGCTGGAAGAACTTGGGAACACATCAATAGCTCTTGTCCTCCCCTCTACCCCTGCCACCTCCTCTTCTTGTTTGAGAATTCGACACTGATCTGTAGTCAGGACTCAAAATTAAATTCTTCTGCATTATTAAATTGAGTATTTGGCTTAATATTTAAAAATCTGAGACCAGTTGAGACCCAAAAGCACTCCATCAGTGCCTTGTGTTCCTATTGAAATTAAAAGCTTGGTGAAAAAAAAAAATGCAGCTGAAGGCTGACTGCCCCATGTTCCCTGATGGCCACAGTCTGTTTATGGGTCTCTGAGCATCTCTTTCCAAGCTCGTGTTCTAAGCTCCCTCAAGCCTCCTGAGTGTATTCACCAAAATGGAACTGGAAAGTGCCAAAACTGGAATCCAATTTTTTACTTCTTTTTCTCTCGGTTCCTCTAACATTGCCTGACTCTTTCGATTGTATCATGCGCTTTGCTGAACTCCCTGGAAAAGTCTGTATGCAATCAAACCGCAGTGAACACATTTTGAACTCTTACTATGTATTTCAGCAGCTCATTTGGCTCTCAAATATGAAAAAGTGCAAATTTCCTGTTGGCTTGGCTTTAGTTTAAATTTTTTTTTCCCCTTCACTCCAAGACAAATCATAGGAGGACTTTCAGGATATCCTAGACATTGAAGCTTGAGCTCATAGATCAAAACGCCTCATTTGCCTTTCCTAGAGATGTTTTTGCTCCATGTAAATTTATAGCAGAACTTGGCAACCCAGCCCATGTATAGAGTTCCTGGGAAATATGTCAATTTTATGTCTAATTTGTATTACTAGGATCTAGGTGCTCCATAGATCCCAATGCAGCATGCGATCACAGTAGTTCCGTTTGTCTACTTGCTTGGTGTATTTACTTCTGTCTTTTTCCTTTTTCCACAAAGTTTCTTGATTTTTCATTTCTGTTCTAACAGTCTATGTTTAGGTTTCTAAATAAAACTGACAATGCTTGGTACTACTCATTGTGAATAAGAAAAAAGTGCTTTCTTCTCAAGCTGGGCAATAAAGGATCTGATACCTTCAGCACTATCTATCCAGCCCTTCAAAGACACTTCTTACTGAGCAGATGCAGACGCATCACCATCCTCCTGGCAAGACATGGCAACGTGGAGGGGACGCCGCTGCAATTGCAAACATCTTGCACCTGTATTTGCTCCAAGCTCTATGTACCCTTTGGTACATTGTAAAGTGGTAAACCCTGAGTGGAGCTTGAGTTGGAAAGACAGCAAACTTACAAAGCCAATTTGTCATCCGAATGGGGTTTCTCACGGTGTGGTTAATAGATCACTGACCATCCAGGGTGGGCTAACTGGTGGTCCCCAGGCAGTTTATCACTTTAGGAGGAAAAACTAATGAATTCATACATCTTATTTTGAAATTGTGAATGCGTCTAAACTAAATGAATATTCTAATTAATTGCTATAGCTTAAAGGCTGTTCGCCATGTATAAGGTTCGAGAGATGAGGCGAGTTGCCCAGATTCACAGAAAGGAGTGGCACAGGACTGGAACGTGGGTTGCCATTACTAAAGCCCACGTACTAGTTTTGAACTGTGGTCCTTGCACGGTTGTTGGGGCTGCTCACTGTAGTGCTCTGATGCGTTAATAGGTGGTGTCATTAATCATGTTTATTTGTCTAAAACATTTAACTTATTTAGATTTCTGGCAAAAGCAGTAATCCATGTTATTTGTTCAAAACTGGGAAAGCTCAAGAGAGAATGAAGAAAAACAAACACATACCTGGAAGTGCTTGCCTGTCTCCCTCCCCTCCCCTCCCCTTCCCTCCCCTCCGCTCCCCTTCCCTCCCCTCCCCTTCCCTTTCCCTTCCCTTCCTCTTTCTTTCTTTCCTTCTTTCTTTCTTTCTCTCTCCCTTTCTTTCTTTCTTTCTTTCTTTCTTTCTTTCTTTCTTTCTTTCTTTCTTTCTTTCTTTCTTTCTTTTTCTCTTTCTTTCTTTCCTTCCTTCCTTCCTTCCTTCCTTCCTTCCTTTCTTTCTTTCTCTTTCCTTTTTTGTGAGACAGAGTTTCACTGTGTTCCCCCCAGGCTGGAATTCAGTGGTGTTATCTCCGCTCACTGCAACCTGTGCCTCCCGAGTTCAAGCGATCCTCCTGCCTCAGCCTCCCAAGTAGCTGGGACTACAGGTGCCCACCACCACGCCCAGCTGATTTTTGTATTTTTAGTAGAGATGGGGTTTCATCATGTTAACCAGGCTGGTCTTGAACTCCTGACCTCAGGTGACCCACCCACCTCGGCCTCCCAAAGTGTTGGGATTACAGGCGTGAGCCACTGTGCCTGGCTGGGAATGCTTTGTTTTGCATGTACAGAAGTACCCCCTTCTATGCAGTTTCACTTCATTTGGTTTTAGTTGCCCAAGATCAACTGTGGTTGGAAAATATTAAGATACTTTGAGAGAGAGAGAAAGAGAGACTACATTCACATAACTTTGATTACAGTGTGTTAGAATTATTCAATTTTATTATGAGTTATTGTTGTTAATTTCTTACTGTGTCTAATTTATAATTAAACTTTATCATAGGTGTGTGTTACAGTCAGCTGTCCATATCCACAGGTTCCGCATCTGCAGATTCAATCAACCATGAGTTGAAAATATTCTGAAAAGGAAAAACAATAAAAATAACAATAAAACAATAAAAAATAACAGAGGCTTAAATGCAGTATAACAGCCTTGTATATAGCAGTTTCATTGTATTAGGTATTATAAGTAATCTAGAGATGAATTAAGGCAAGTTTGTCCAACCCGCCCACGGGCTACATGTGGCCCAGGATAGCTTTGAATGCAGCCCAACACAAATTAATAAACTTTTTAAAAACATTATGAGATTTTTTGCAACTTTTTTAAGCTCATCAACTATGATTAGTGTTAGTGTATTTTTTGTGTGGCCCAAGACAATCCTTCTTCTTCCAGTGTGGCCTAGGGAAGCCAAAATATTGGACACCCCTGATTTAAAGTATAAGGGAGGTTATATGCAAATACGACACCATTTTATATGAGACTTGAGCATCCACAAATTTTGATATGTGCAGGGGGTCCTGGAACTAATCCCCTGTGGATATCAAGGGATGACTGTACAGGTGACAAAAAAAAAAAAAAAAGCACAGTACATCCAGAGTTAAGTACTCTCTGGGATTTCAGACATCCACTCACAGTACATCCAGAGTTAAGTACTCTCTGGGATTTCAGACATCCACTGGAGGCCTTAGAACATATTCCCTGAGGATAAGGGGGGAATACAATATTGATCAAATTGGGCATAAGATTTTGTATACCTCTTCTTGTTTTTTGTTTTATTTTGTTTTGTTTTGTTTTTTGAGACGGAGTCTTGTTCTGCAGCCCAGGTTGTAGTGCAGTGGCGTGATCTCGGCTCACTGCAACCTCTGTTGCCCAGGTTCAAGCAATTCTCCTGCCTCAGCCTCCCGAGTAGCTGGGATTACAGGCACTTACTACAACACCCGGCTACTTTTTTTTTTGTATTTTTAGTAGAGATGGGGTTTCGGCCTCTTGGCCAGGTTGGTCTTGAAGTCTTGACCTCGTGATCCACCCGTTTCGGCCTCCCAAAGTGCTGGGATTATAGTAGTGAGCCACCGCACCTGGCCTGTATACCCCTTCTAATAGGCTTATTTTCCTTATTCACTACAGGTGGTCTGGGAAGATAATTTTCAGCTAAATAGCATTCTACCCTTTGAATGTACCATTACCAATTTAACTAGCTCACTCTTATGGGTCATTCAGGCTGTTTCCCGTTTATGACTGGTATAGATAAAACTTCATTGAATATCCTACACAGAAGTCCTGAGCGCAATATTAGCTGAAAGCCTGAGAGTCGCTACTTTATTAGATGGCGTGTACATTTCTTTCATATATTATTATCAAATTGCCCTCAAAATTATTCTATCAACAAGACTTTGGCAAGAGTGTGCAAGGAAGCCTCCTTTCACAGAATCTTCAAAGAAACTAAGTATGTTCATTACAAGTTTTCAAAAATAATAACCATTGTTTTAGCAAAACATGATAGATCTTATTTTAATCTCCATTTTCTTCGCTAACAGTGAAACTAAACATTTGTCATGTTTTATTAAACACCTGTACCTCTTATCTTGTGAATTGTTTCCTTTTTCATCGAGTTATTTGTCTTTTTCTTACTGGTTTGCAAGGCATCTTTATACCATAAATAGATTAACTCTTTGAAATGTGATCCAAATAACTTTCTCAGAATATCATGGGCTTTTTGAATTTGTTTATGATGTTTCCTTTTAATGCTTCATTAATGTAGTTACATAATTAGATCTGTCTCTTTCTTTATAGTTTCTTTGTGTCATGCTGAGAAAGACTTCCCTCTTCTAAGATCAGATACACATTAATCCATGTTGTCTTCCAGTTCTTTCATGATTTATGATTCATATTTCATCTTTTCATCTAGCAGATATTATGGTGTATGTCAGGAGGTAAGACACTGCTTTTTTTCTCCTTTAATAATTAAGAAATTGTACAAAACATTTAAAAATTATCAGTCTTTTGGTTATGATTTTAAAATGCCACCTTCATCATATCTTATGTTCATGCATGCACAGACCACACACGTCACACACACACACATTTATGAACTTTATTATGTGATCTCCTCTGAAGAGAGTTTATTATTATTTGCTGTTGGTACAGATACTACAACAGACATAATGGGCTTTTTCTTTTTTATTGTATTTTCAATTGGATAGAGATAACTCAATATTTTTATACATCTATTTAGTTACCAATTACTTTATAGAACTCTTATGCATTTTCTTATCAAGGAATTTTCCAGGTGGGCACATGTATCAGCTGCATGTAATAACATTTATTTCACATTTTCCAACACACCATTTTGACACGATTTATGGTTGTTTGTCACAATACATTTTCTTACTTCTTCCATATTATAATTTAGTTATTTCAGGAAGGGACTTCAAAAAGTTTGTGGAAAAATAGAATTAAAAGATAAAGATAAAAATTTAAACTTTATTTCTCAACATGAACTCCATCAAGTTCAAGACACTTTTGTAAAGATGATACCAGCCATTTAGTTCATCCCTAGCAAACTGAGGGTCCTGGGAATTTAACCATGTGAATGGAATCTTTTTTACCTTATTAACTGAAGAAAAATGGGTGCTCCAAAGATTAGGAAATTAAAGGAAGTCAGATGGAACCAAAATCAGGACTGTAAGGTGAATGCCTAAGGATTTCCCATCAAAACTCTGAAAAAATCACCCCTGTTTGATGAGAGGAATAAGCAGGAGCATTGTCGTGGTGGAGAAGGACTCTCTGGTGAAGCTTTCCTGGGCATTTTTCTGCAAATGTTTTGGCCAAATTTCTAAAAACACTCTCATAATATACAGTTATTACCATTCTTTGGCCCTTCAGAAAGTCAGCAAGTAAAAATGCCTTGAGCATCCCCAAACCTGTTGCCATGACCTTTACTCTTGACTGGTCCACTGCTGCTTTGGCCGGACCTCTTCCATCTCTTGGTAGCCATTGCTCTGACTGTGCTTTGTCTTCAGGATGGTACTGGCAAAGCCATGTTTCATCTCCTGTTACAATTCTTCCAAGAAATGCTTCAGGATCTTCATCTCATTTGTTTATAATTCACATTGAAAGCTCCGCTCTTGTTTGCAGCTGATCTGGGTGCAAATGTTTTGGTACCCATTAGGTAAAAGTTTGCTTAACTTTAATTTTTCAGACAGAATTGTGTTAGTTGAACCAACTGAGATGTCTATGGTGTTGGCTATTGTTTCCTCTGTTAATCATTGGTCCTTTTCAACTAGGGTATGAACAAGATTATTTTTTTCTTTGAAAATTGATGTCTGTGGTCTGCTTCTGTGGGCTTCATCTTCAACATGGTCTTATCCCTTCTTAAAGCAAGTTATCCATTTGTAAACTGCTGATTTCCTTGAAGAATTGTCTCCATAAACTTTTCGTAAAGCATCAGTGATTTCACCATTCTTCCTCCCAAGTTTCAGCATACATTTGATGTTTGTTCTTGCTTCAATTTTAGCAGAATTCATGTTGCTCTGACAGGGACTCTTTTTAAAAACTAATGTCTTATCGTTCTTAGTGCCTCAAACTAGATCCTGGTCAGATATGTTATATGACAAGTTAATGCAAGCTTATTTTGATACAAAAAATGTGAAATTCATGCATAGTTGTTCATAATATTGATTGTCTATGGTTTTTTTGAAGACTTCTCATATTTTCTTGCTTTACTCTTAAATTTTCTGTTTTATTCCTGGGTTGCACTTTCTGTAATAAACATTTTTCAGAAGTATTTTTCTCTCCAGCGTCTTGAGTACAATGTTATCTTATTCTGAGGGACCTCTGCATTAGGCTCACACAGTTTTTACTCCTCTCCAGACAAGAAGAAGCCTCTGTTGGCCTCACATTTCCACAAGCCAGGAATCACAGAGTCCCCTGACTCTCTCCCTCATCCTTCTTGGCATGCTTTTAGATCATGTTCTAGGATCTCAGCTCCAGGATTGGTTGATAACATTCATTCTACAGATTAAGGGGCACAGAGGGCTGGAAGTCAGGAGGGACCTGGAATGATTCATGGCTCCAGGAGGAGAGCATCTTCCCTCACTGTGTCTTTGTGTCTGGGGAAGTGGCTTGCGGAATCTGGGTTTGTATGTGATCAAGCTTCCAGATTAGCCATCAGTGAGGGCAAGGACTTTGCCTAGCCTCTTCCTGTGCTGCTGTTTGACAGTCAGAGATAAGCCCATCTACCAAGCTGGATTTTGCTGTGGGTGACCCCCATGTAATCTCAAGGGCCACTAATTCCAGCTGTGACCTGCTGACACCTTGCACATTAGGCACTTCTAATGGAGCCCTGCAATGATCTCCCTCCTGCATTGTAACGGAAGGCTTTTGGGTCTACCATCCTAAGAAGCAGCTGTATTAACACAGCCTGTTACCACTGGCAGTGCATTTTGCAGACATTCTCCACATCAGGGTATGAGAATAGGCACTCCTGATTCCAGTCTTGTTACAGATTTATGCATATTACATGTACACTGTATTTATATGTTTTTATATATACACTAGAAATATATTAATACATAACATTCATTGTGCACTGCAGATGTTGTGCATTACAACTGGGATTTTGGAAGGGCAGAATTAGATGTCAGTCTCCTGTGGACAATAATAGGCTAATCACGTTTACTTTAATTTAGAAATGGGGCATATTATTCTTCACAAGTAGTTTGCAGAAAAGCCATAGTAAACCAACATCGTTAGGCTGTTAATCTCTGGACTAGTGAGAAGCTGTATTGCCTTTGGAGAAGCACTCTCTAAAGACCTAATGACACTGTGTCCTGTAAAGGACATACGACTACCTACTCCTTTCTGTGGTCATTTGTGTGCATGGACTGCACATTTTGAGATGGAGGAAGGGAGGCATCACCACCTGAGCAGGGCCATAATAATAAGTATAGGTGAAGTGAATGTCCACTTACTTGAAGAAAACTTACTCCCTGATAAAGTTGGACTTTTGTGAACCACTGAGCAGGTAAATAAACTTATCTAGGTCCTCTTGAACTTTCTCAAAAGACAGATATTAGCTGCAGCTTCCCTCCTCAATCAACTAGGAACAGCGAAACACCCATCCACTAAGATATTTTAAATCCATTTAAATAAATTTACTCTGTTGATCATCAAAGACCCTCTGGCTTTGATTCACTATTAAAAATACTGTGACAAGATAAGATGAACATTTTATTGACACAAATATATTTCCCATGGAAGTCGAGGACAGAGCATTTAAACTGTTCAAAGTGCCCTCATTTGCTCTTCTTCTCCAAGCTCCTTCAAGGAGTCCATGAATCTGATGCCTTGTTGCTGTTACTAGAATCACGAGATCCTTAGTTCTAGGGAACCACCCTCAAACATAAGGATGTGTCCCCATGTTGATTCAAATTTATCAAAATAATTTATCACGGCATGTTATCTGAGGATTTATTTATAGTTTTAGCTTATGTCATTTCTTCCCCACTGAAGGTAAGAGACAGACAAAACACACAGGTGTGTATGCAAGCTGGGCACACACAATCGTTTTTGTATTTTATCCATCTATTTTTCAGCTTCGAGGGTGACCGTTGGTCCCAATCCTTAGACCAGGATTTCTTTGTCTTCCACCCAGGCACTTTGTGATTTCACAGCTGTGTTGGGCTCCAGCCTGGCTGGCTTTGCCCTGCACACTGGATCCCCAAGCTATGAAGCCTCCCAGTTGCAGCTATTCAGGCTCCTTGATCATTTTGCTGTCCTTCTCTGAAGGTTCGGTTCAATAGTAGAATGCTGTTCTTTGTTTTGTTTCCTGCACCGTTTCCTCCAGGCAAAACTTGGCATTCAGCAAATCTGTTTTGGCCTCCATCCAGGTAATTTAGTAGCACAAGTTTCTCATTATAAAATGGGTTCACCTGTAGGATGGTCCCATGGTCTGGACACCGAGCTGGCATTATTATTATTAAGACGCTGCTTCTGTACAACATATGTTTTCAGCATAGATTGTTAATTTTCCCATATCCATGCCTAGAGAGGTTCCTTTAGGGTTGGCACTTCTTTGTTCTTGTTGGGAATTGAGAGAACAGCCAGCTAAATTTCCAGCTGTCCTCTTCACATTACTATTTAAAATTAGAGATGACGAAGACCGCAATTATAAAAGCAAATTGCCAGCATGTCTGTTCCTACACTCGAGGAAGGGTTTTCCGAATGCTCTGAACATTGGAGCAAGCATTTTAATTTCGGGTCACTGTGAAACCGCGATTATGGTACCTTTAACTCTCCCTTTGTTTTAAAGAAGGTACGGGTTACCTCAGCCCATTTGTGTCTTACTACTCTAAGGCTGATCTTTTCTCGGGTTAAAAGAGAAAGATTACACACTGGGGTCACTCTACAAATGTTTTGCATTAGTGCAGAAATTGCCTTCATGTACTAAGATGTTTAAGCACCTACAAAGTTGTCGCCAGCCATCTGGGCTGCTGGGAACACTAAATCAATCTGTTGTATGCACAAAGCCAAGTAATTTATCTGTCAGGTAGTATTTCATTTAAAACATATTTCTGTGCAAAAGGAAATACGTAAAACCGTCCATTTCTATACTTGAGTCTGGCCGTTCCCATTACTTCGCAGATAAATTTGTCTTTTTAACGGAGCAAGAAGGTCCTTGGGCAGGCATATTGGCCTTTCATTTTAGGAAAAGCCTTCTATTTACATTATGCAAATATCCAAGAACTGTTGGGAAACGCATCGGGATCTTGTTTGATTATTGTGTTTCTCCGAACCTAGCTTTGGAATTACTCAGATGAGTACTGGAATCAGAAGGTCAGTTGAGGTTTTCCATGATGACTTCATGACATAGTATCCGTCCATTATCCGATCTGATGCAGTTAGAAGCCAGAGCTCGATTTCATCTCCTTATACTGAGGGCTGAGCAAGCTTCATGAAGCTTGAGTTTAATCTCCCTCTCAGATTTATGCTCCTCATCTCTCCAAATGCAGACGTGCCTTCTGGCATTCCTTCCTTTCTCCACTGTCAGACACCAATTTGCATTACGGGAAGTGTGCGTGCACTGTACCTATTGTATGTACCTGTTCTGTTAAATTATTCCATTTTTCAATCGTAAAAACCAAAGAGGAATTGGATGAAAAATAGCTGGCTCCCCTCCACCATTTTTGTATTTTTCCTTTCCTATAAGTAAATGATTCATTTCTAAGTTGATGCAGTTAGTATGGGGATCCCAGTCTGGTATCATTTCTCCAGCCCTGCGAACTGATTAATGAGACACCATCTCGGCTGAATTTATGCTCCTGTTCACCTGGCAAAATGCAGTTTATTCTTCCTTCACAAACAGAAAGGAAAAGTGCAGGAATCAGATTTCTCATATCTGTGTGCCAGAGGCCAACAGAGAAAGGCTGCAGAATACGTTTCAGAAAAGCTGCTTGGGAAGAGAAAGGTGCTTTTGTAGATTTCAAAATATTATTTAGTCCAAGAGTCTGTATCCTACTGGGTTAGCTTTCACAGGAGCTGTTAACGCCTTGGAAATGTATCTGTTTCCACTCAAAGAAGCTCTGGGTGCTACGATGTTCTAGCATCTCCCTGCGAAGGTGCCTGGTTGTCTCTTCTCCCCATCTTATGTCCTCCCCCACCCCTCCGAGGGCCAGTGAAGGCCACTGGAGCCTCCTTGTTGAGAATCTGCAGGTGATCATAGATTTTACTACCTGACTGTAGAATTAAAGGTGAGTTCCACACAGTCTGGCACTAAATTTCCATTCCTTGAGTGTTTCTAAATGTCAAAAAGAGATACTGTAAGAATATGGGTGTCTTATCCAGACATGTAAGGTTGGCTAACTCTGGGGTGAGATTTTAGGACCAGAGAATAGAGCCTCACTAAAAATGATGTGATCGTTCCGGTTCCCCATTAGATGAATTTCATGACAGGATGTTCAAAACCTGCTCACCGTCATAAGAGCCTTGGGAGGGCCCAGGAGCACAGCCCAGAGCAGTGATGGATCCAAGCGCACAGCCGGGTCCCTGGCTCTTCCCGACGCCATGCTGCCCTTGCTGGGAGGATGGAAAAGGGACTTTTTGTTTCCTTCTCTCAGCTTTTCCTGCCAGGTTTTCTGCAAATCTTTATTCCAAGGTTTTCTCATCGATTTTTCTCCACAGCAGCCAGAGTCTCCATCCCCCTCACGCAGCGACTGTAGCTCACGCTCCCCTGATGACAAGACTTTCGTGGCTTTCCTGCCCTTCAGCAGCGAGCTGTTTGTCCTCAACCCCTCCCCGCCGGACCCTGGCCTTCCCCCCTTCCCCACCATGGATACTTCCAGTGCTGCCTCTTCTGTCGAAATGATTCCTCTCTTTGGTCGCTCCGCGCGGGAAACACCTCCAGTGTTGGCACATTTGCAGAACATTTGCCTCTGTGGGGAACATTCCTGTCTGTCTCCAAGCCTGACACACTTTTACACGCACGCTGATCTCAGCTTCCCATTCCCCAGACCTCAGACCTCCTGCAGCAGCCCGGGGCTCAGTGGTCCAGGAGTCCGACTTCTTGTGACCCACAGCATCCGCGAGGGTAGACGGCCCAACAGCTGGTCTGCACTGACTCCCTAGGGGCACACGCTCCATTTTTGCACAGATACGTCGGTGCTTCTGTCCCATTTCTTTTAGTCCCAGGAGACAACCTGGCAGGCTCTTGTTCATTTAATTTTTCAGCAAACATGTGCTGAGTGGCGGGATATGGCATGAGCAGACAGAGAAACTCCAAGCTCTACTGTCAGGGGGCTGTGGTCTCTGACACTCCAGCTACTGTTTTGAGAAGAGCACCCAAGGCTACACTTGCTTTTGCTTCACCTCCTGAAGCCAGGTCCCAGCCTGCCATCTTGAACCTAAGTCCCAGTGGTGAGGTGGATTTGTAGAGTCTTGGTTAGTTGTGTTGTTAGCTGTGTGCAAGCCCGTCCTTGTGTTGCCAGGGTCTAGGAATGGGGATGGGTGGTTTGGGGGCAGTAATCAGGGTGTAGAGTGGAGCATGCCATGGGGATGAAACACAGATTTTCCCTGGGCAAAACTTTTGCATGAGTTTTAGAGCCATCTCCAGGGCTTGGCCAGAGATTGGCTTTTACAGCTTCTGTGAGTCTGGTTTGACTGTTCCCCGGTAACTGCCACCTGCCTCTCTGGCTCCTGAGTGGAAGTGTGTGAGTGTCCTGAGGCCTGATGAGATCCTGGGCCATGGAGCTGATCAACATACACTCTTCTGAGAGTAGAGGAACCCTGGTGGATTGATGAAAGCCACCTGTGGCTGCTCTCTGTGAGAGGACATGGGGATTGTCCTCATTCCCTTTTATTAGAGTGACATTTCCCCAGTGGATGCCAGAGGTTGTGATTTCTCCAAGGAACTCGGGATCTCATTATCTGACTCCTTCTGGTGTGGAGCAACATGGCAGGAGGACTAAGTCGGGGGAACTGTGCTCTTCCACAGTGTTAGAAGAATTTAGGCCAGGAAGCTGACTCGGAGGTCAGTGAGGGCTAAGAGTGTTTATAATATTAACTAGCGTGCTTTTCCTATTTCCCAAATGACCTCTTTTTGTAGGAGGAGCAGGGCTTCAGTGTAAACATGAGACACATCCATGTGGACTGGACCACGTTGCGTCCACGTTTAGTCAAATTATCCAGATAGTTAAGAAAAGTGAAAACTGTATTGATGTAATTTGTAGAACCTGATCAAGTCAGTAATCATTGTGTCTTTCAAGTTTTCAGATGGTATCAAGTGGATTAAGGATGTATCGGCTGGACACGTGGGCTTACGCCTATAATCCCAGCCCTTTGGGAGGCTGAGGCGGGTGGATCACCTGAGGTAAGCAGTTCGAGACCAGCCTGACCAACATGGAGAAACCCTGTCTCTACTAAAAATACAAAAAAAAAAAAAAGTTGGCTGGGTGTTGTGGTGGGTGCCTGTAAATCTCAGCTACTTGGGAGGGTGAGGCAGGGAGAATTGCTTGAACCCAGGAGGTGGAGGTTACAGGGAGCCAAGACTGCACCATTGCACTCCAGCCTGGCAACAGAGCAAGATTTTATCTCAAAAAAAAAAAAAAAAAATAGTATGTCTGCCACAGGTGCCACCAGGTGCCATGTTGGTGTGTCCTTGTGACTCCTCCTCCAACATTCTTCTGCAGATGGCACAAGGTTTTCTGCAGTTCAAGGAGGAGAATCTGTGAGTGGCTGCAGGGGGCATTTCCTGGAGGTCTTCTTCATTTCTGTTTTCCCCCATGAATCCTCTACACTGTGCATATGTTGCTTTAAGCCAAAGTGTAGAGCTGAGACTGAGGCAGAGAGAGAAAGCAGAATGACGTGGCCTCAGAAATGTGGCATGTTCCTGCTCCACGGGTTGGGGATGGGAAACTCTTCCTCTCCAGCAAACACAAAACACAGCTCTGAACCACCTGCGTGTCAGGTGCCCCATCAACCAGACGATCCCCCAAGGCCCGTTTAGTGGGAAACAGCAGGATCAGGCGGGCTCTGCCCACCCCAGGAACACAGGCTTGGAGGTTTACTCTCCTTGGTTTGTACTCCCAGGTAATGTCATCTAAACAGTGGCATGGCCACTCATTGGAACTGACACTCTGTGATGGGCTCAGACAAACACAGGGGCCTGGCTGGCCTCCTGCAGCCCTGGGATGGGGTGACCCAGTGTGGTTATCCTTTGACTGAAATGATCAACTCATTTCCCTTAGGTTACAGGATATCAGCGGGCTCCAAATCGGAAAAGACTGGGCCTCATTGCCTGATTACTGATGGCTGCCCCAGCTGAATTCAAGAATGGGCATCTGAAAGTGCTGTTTCCTACTGGCCGTGGCTGGAACACAGAAGTCGAGGTGATGCCTCCAGGAAGTTCCCTCTCTTGTGTCTGCACATTGTAGAACCAGTAGTTGGTGACACTCCCCAGAAGGCCACAGTCCCTGCACAGGTGTGGTGGGGGGCAGGACACAGGAGCTCCTGGCCTATGGCCCTGCCTTCTGCAGAGCTGGGAGGGCCCAGTGTGCACATGGTGTCAGGTGTGCACGCGATATCAGGGAAGAGGAAGTATGTTTGTGTCCTAGGACTAGAGTAGCAAAGCACGACATGCTGTAGTGCGTAACCAACAGAAATTTAATGTCCCACAGTTCTGGAGGCCGAAAGTCCCAAATCAAGATGTCATTGGGGCCTCACTCCCTCCGAAAGCGCCAGGGAGGTATCTCTCTCCTGCCTCCCTCCCAGCTCTGGTGGCGTCAGGCCTCCCTCAGGGTGGATGCATCCCTCCAACCCTCCTCCTTTATGTGAGTTTTGTCTGTGTCTCCACATCATCTTTATTTTCTGTGTGTCCGTCTCTGCATCCAACTATCCCCCTTTTATAAGGATACCGATCACACTGGATTAAGGTCCTGATATAGTTAGGCTTTGTGTCTCAATGTTTTTCTGTTTTTGAGATGGAGTCTCACTCTGTCTCCCAGGCTGGAGTGCAATGGCACGATCTTGGCTCACTGCAACTTCTGCCTCCTGGGCTCAAGTGATTCTGCTGCCTCAGCCTTCCGAGCAGCTGGGATTACAGGCACATGCCATCATGCCCAGCTAATTTTTGTATTTTTAGTAGAGACGGGGTTTCATCATGTTGGCCAGGCTGGTCTCAAACTCCTGACCTCAAGTGATCCTCCTGCCTCAGCTTCCCAAAGTGCTGGGATTACAGGCACCAAATCTCATCTTGAATTGTAATCCCCATAATCTCCGCATGTCAAGGGAGGAACCTGGTGGGAGGTGATTGGATCATGGGTGTGATTTTCCCCATGCTGTTCTTGTGAGAGTGAGTGAGTTCTCATGAGATCTGATTGTTTTATAAGGGGCTCTTGCCCCTTCCCCCTTCGCTCTTGCTTCTCCCACCTACCACCATGTGAGAAAGTCCAAACTTGCTTCCCCTTCTCCTTCCACCATGATTGTAAATTTCCTGAGGACTCTCTAGCCATGCGGGACTGTGAGTCAATTAAACCTCTTTCTTTTATAAATCACTCAGTCTCAGGTAGTATATCTTTACAGCAGTATGAGAACAGATTAATACAGGTCCACACTAGTGACCTCATTTTAATTTGATTATTTCTGTAAAGAACCTACTTCCAAATAAAGTCACATTTCGTGGTACTGGGGGTTGGGCTTTCACGTATATTTGTCAGGGGACAAAACTCAAAATGTAAGAGAAACTAGAAAAACTATGATGACTCCATGTTGTTTCTGGAAGGCCCATCTCTTGGGACAAAAACGCTAGTCCCACGGTACTTGACCGGTCCCGTTCACACCTGCTATACCTCTGCTCGGTGTTCCCCCAGAGGCTGGAGATGAGAATAACTTCCCAAATGTCTAGACCTGCATGCCCTCAAGCAGGAATTCATTCTACATGCAACAAACTGTCCTTAGAACCTTCCGACTGATGCTGGTGCCAAGAAGGAGAAGCTGCCTTAGCATCTATTTCACGCACTGTTGTTCTAGGTATTGGCTTCTTAGAGACCTCTTCAGTGGCTGTGAGAAGTGGCACTGACCTTGGGGAATGTGGCAGACATGACCTAGGATATATCTTAAGGAGAAAGGAAGCGGCACCCAGAGTGGAGTCTGCAGAGCCAGGATCTCTCTGGAGCAGCCCTGATGAAGTCTCCAGGGTGCTATCCAATGCCATCCAATGTGCCAGGTGTGACAATCTATGCCTTGTCACAGCTGCATACATCCCTGACTCAGAGGCCCCACCTGACTCCCACCTCCTGCTTTAGCAGGAACAGGAACAACCCCAGATTGCTGCTCAAAGACTTTGCCAGCAGCGTGTCAGAAGTTTCTAGTGAGAGATAAAAGCTGGCCCATCATGAAGCCTGGAGAAGATGGTGAGAGAGTGGACTCTCAACAGTGGTGTGCAGGAGCCACGCAGCTCGCAACTTGCACCTTTCATCTTGTACCACCTCTGTGTTCTGTGAAGCATTACTTAGAAATGACCTGATGCTCCTTCATCCTCTCCTTTCTCTCCTTATTTTCCTTCATGCCCATTGCCAGAGGATCAAGAATCCACTAGTCTACTGGATCACCATTGCGAGTCTATTGTCACCCTAGGTGGGAGGGCCAGGTACAGACTCCTTGGCAAGGCAGCAAGCAAAGCCAGTTCTGAGTATTTTTTTAAAAAACTCAGGTTTTTGACCTGCCAAGTCTCCTCAGCATGTAAATACTTTAAATGATGGCAGAAATCTGAATGAAATTAGTCACAATTATAACCAAATGGATTTACATTCAAGGGCAGTAACATTGCTGCTTAGACAAGATTCACACATTGGTTTCAGAGAGGAACACATTAATGTCCAGATCACCAAGTGGAGGGAAGGAGGTGCAAGTAAAAGGCATTGGGCAATTTGTCCTTTTTCATGAGTTTCAGGTTCAGTTTTGTCTTCAGGCATAGATATGGGTCAGCATATTAGGTGCACAGCTGTGTTCTGCCATGAAATAATGAGAATGTCACTTACCAGGGCCACTCAGCCTTCCCAGGCAGGACCTCGAAAGCATCAGGCTCCTTGGGTCTTAGGACTACAGGATTGTCTCAGACAGGTGCCTCCTGGAAGTGCCTGGCTCTGGTGAAGGTCAGTGGTCTGGGTTGCTTGCCTAGATTCTGGAGATTTGGAGAGGAGATGGGCTCAAACTATTGCCAAGATTTTGTCACAAGGTTTTAAAAATCCTCAGTGCTCGTGCGATTCTGGAACAAACCTCATTAATGCACAAAGCAGACCTGAGGCCCTGGTTCCCAGGCCAATGGGCCGGGGGAATGAGGAGTGGAGGCTGGGCAGGCCTGCTTGTGAGGGTGAAGTGCCCTAGACAGCCATAGGTGGAGCACAGGGGAGGCAGAAAAGATCAGTGGACAGATTTTAGCTGAGCTCTCCTGAACCAGCACCAGGAGGTGGGGAAGTCACCTGTGAAAGTGGTGTTTTTTTCCTGGGAGCTGTGCCTGGTGTGAGCTGTCTCTCCCTCCTCACAGTGCCATGCCGAGGGGCTCCCTCCAGCCTTTGACTCCATGCCTTTTGCTCCCCTCCAAGGCCACTGTCCTCTACACAGTCTCCAGATGGTGGTCATTTTGAGTGGCTTCTTTTAGTAGAAGTTCCCAAGCAAGTGACCTCCTCTGTAGAGAACTGATTGCTGAAGTCACAGTGCCTGCTTCTTGGCTGATCTGTAATATGGCCCCAGCTTGGGACACCTTACATCCTTCCCCCTGACCTCGTCGGCATCCACAGATTTCCTGAAGCTCCGTGTGCTGCTCTAGAAAACCCTTTCAGACCAGGATGGGCGCGGTGGCTCATGCCGGTAATCCCAGCACTTTGGGAGGCTGAGGCAGGTAGGTCACGAGGTCAGGAGATTGAGACCATCCTGGCTAACACGGTGAAACCCCGTCTCTACTAAAAATACAAAAAATTAGCCGGGTGTGGTGGTGGGTGCCTGTAGTCCCAGCTACTCTGGAGGCTGAGGCAGGAGAATGGTGTGAACCAGGGAGGTGGAGGTGGCAGTGAGCCAAGATTGCACCACTGCACTCCAGCCTGGGTGACAGAGCAAGACTCCATCTCAAAATTGCTTTGGGATTCTTTCTCAATGTCATATCAATATTCTCTCCCATACCTCTCTCACCCCAACCCAGCCCTTGGGGAGACCATAGATGCCTCAAGTCAGAGGCCTTTCCTGCCTCCTTCTCACCCAGACCTTGCAGGCTTAGGGGGCTGCTGAGGGCTGTGGGTGGCTGTGAGACACACCCTTGAAAGCAAGTCTCTGATGAGGCTTGTGGAAGCGCTCTATGAACCAACATGCTATGGAACACACATATGTGTGTGCACGCACCCACAAGTCCACAGAGGTGGAAGACCAGGGTGCAGATGCCCCCCAAATCCTCTCTGTGCTGCCCCAGCTGCAGTCACCTTTGTTCCTCCTTAGTACCCCATTGGCTCCAAAACTCAACCACAGGCCCCAGCTCCCTCTCTTCATCCTCTGTGCATCCTTCCTCAGCTGAGTCAGGCCCTGCACTGGTTCTAATGACATGTTCTTATTACTTCTACAACAAAGACCATCACTTTGTATTAAAATAATCATAATAGTGTCTTGCCCTCTAGCTTGGGGCTTGCTTGAAATTAGGGAACTTGTCTTTCATTTCTAAAGCCCCTAGAGTTAGCACCTAAGAGGCAGATATGTGTGGAGTGAATACATGTCTATAGCTCTCCATCTCCATCTACACCTGTGCTCTGATCCATCTGTATCTCTGTCTACATTCGTATCTCTGTCTATCCACCCGTCTATCCATCCACCTAACCACCCATCCACTCACCCATCTATCCATCCATCTATCTACCTATCTATCCACCCATTTATTTGTCCATTTATCCACCCATCCACCTATTTATCCATCCATCTTTTCATGAATCTATCCATTCATTCACTTATCTATTCATCCATCTATCCACCTGTCCATCCACCCATTCATTCCTTTTTCTATCCACTCATCCACCCATCTATTCATCCAACTATCCACCCATCCACTCATCTATCCATTGATCTACATATCTATCCATCAATTCATCCACTCATTTATTCATCCAT
This sequence comes from Homo sapiens, assembly GCF_000001405.40. Taxonomy (NCBI): domain Eukaryota; kingdom Metazoa; phylum Chordata; class Mammalia; order Primates; family Hominidae; genus Homo; species Homo sapiens. The sequence goes on along the minus strand of NC_000010.11, from coordinate 128,816,208 downwards.
CTATCCATCATCTATCTATCCACTCATCCACCCATCTATCCACCCATCTACTCATCCTTCTCTCCATCCATCCATCCATCCATCTGTTCACCCATCTATCCACCCACCTATCCATCCATCTATCCACCCATCTATTCATCCATCTATCCATCTATCTATCCATTCACCTATCCACCCATGTATCCACCCATCTGTCCATTCATCTATTTATCCATCTATCCATCTTTCTAGCCACCCTCCTATCTATCCATCCATCCATCAATCCATGCATCCATCCACCCCTCTATCCTTCTAATATTTATATATGCATTATATTTGTCTACATTTATATCAATATTATGCATATGTATCTATGTCTATGTTCTTGATGCCTATCTATATCCAGATTCTATCCATGTATATCCATATATGTATCTAATTTTATTTGTATCTGTATGTATCTATATTCATCTATTTCTATCTGCATATCTATATACCCATCTACAGCTACATTATGTCTATGTCTATATTTATATTGATATTATGTGTGTGAATCTCTGTCTATGTCTTTGTCTCTATTCGGGACCCTATCCATCTATATCTATATATGTATCTGTTTTTATCTGTATTTGTATATATCTATATTAATCTATCTATATATAACTTTTTTAAAGCCTCACTATATAACTCATAACACAGACATCCCTGAAGCATGTGACCCAGGGCTGAAAGTCATGGTCACATTTACTTTCCCCACAAAGCAGAGAGCTGTGTCCCCTTACTGCTTATATCTTATTCCCGCAACTCTGATGTCTCGTTCTTCCTGTTGCAGGACGATGTGACTCTACTACCCACAACTATGGAAAATTTGCAGAGCAGGTCTTGCTCTTTGCCTCTAGAACTACTTTGTGTTCTGTAAACAAGGTCCAGCACTGATTTTCTAATGTGCAGATTTAAAGGTGGCTTTTATGTTTTGTTGGCAGAGTCCCTGTGCCTTTCATTATCTGAATTTTATTTTAGAACATTTCTCCAGTTTAAAAACTTACCAGAACATAAAAATAGTTCTGGAAATCTGGAATTTTTCATAACACAACTACGCAATATAGCATAAAGTTTCAAATTACCTTTGTAAAATGAGAGGCCCAAGCACGGCGCCCCAACCCCCCGCCACACCCCCCCACCCCCTACCCCCCAGCTGTAACTGAGTGAAATTAGAGGCTGTGCATTGCATCATTCAGATGCTGCCTGACCACTTGGACTCACAGTGCAGCCTAGGACTTCACTGACTGTTATAAACTGATAGCATCCCCCTTCCAAAGAAGACCTTCCTAGTCCTGTAAGCACTGATCCTAAGCTGCTTTTCCAATGCTACTTTGCCATTGGGTGAAGCAAAATGTCAGATAAGCTTACTAGCAAATGTGCCTCTGAGCACAGCCCACTTCTGCATCCCCAAGACGGCATCCTTTGTGCTCTGCTGATGGTGGAGGTGAGTGAGTGGGTCCCTGCGTAGGGGCAGAGCCTGGAGGAATCATTGCAGATACTCTAGTCAATTCCTCCCATAAGTGTGTCAGCTCTGTTCTGTACAATGGAGAGGGTGGGTCCTGGTGGGCTGGAGAAAATAGGAGTGGATGGGCAGGCAGGGGGCCGAGGGGAAGGAGCTTATGAATGAGACAAAAAGGGCTTTCTCTTGGGAAGAAAAAGTGACATTTTAAGATGATTTCTTTGTAAAATAGCCAGAAGCCATGTGAAGTTTGGCCAGAGCCTCTCAGCAGGAGCACCTTGGAGATTTGCCTTGGCAGGAGGGCTCCTTACCATGGCTAACACGAGGACAGCCCTGTCCTGAAGAAAAGGCAATGCCAGTCACCTGCACCTGGCTCGTTGAAAGCGCGTCCCTCTGTGAGCACGGGCGCTGCACGAGCTTCATGTCTACCTCTCTGTCCAGGAGCCACCCGTTGTTCTTCAGCTTCAGGTCACTGGACCTAATATTGATCAACTAAGAAGATTCATAAAGTGAAGAGCAAGGCTGCATGCCACCAAGAAGCTGTGCGGCATCCGAAAGGCGTGCCGCCACCATTGTGTGGCATAGTGCCTGACTGGAGCTTGCTGCAAGGATGAGTCCTGAGTACTCACTGTGTCATGAGAAACCTGGAGGCCTTATTTGTTCACAGCATGACTTTGATGGACAGCACCCCTGCTTCCTGAGCATCTTAACTTCCAATAAAATGGTCTTGAAAGGGAAACTGGGAGCTAGATCATCAGGAAATTGAAAGAGCTTGGAAAGAAGATTTCTTTTCCATAAAGCAATCACTTTCTCATACTAGCTGTGTCCCAAGGTTCAATCACTTACTATTTATGTGGGTATGAAATAACACTGATGAAGTAGCCTTTTTAATCTGTCATGAATCATTTGACAAAGACTTCCTATTCAACTTGCATTGTCTGGACCACACAATGTTGTTGCTGAAATGAGCAGGTGCCATTGCTGCTACAAAGAACAATGACAAACTGCGGACTTGGGGCCAACACCAGACTGCGTGAGAGGTGGTGACCTTTGTACGTTTTTTTTTATTCACAGAGAATCAGCAACCCTCCTTTCCTGAGTGAGTACCTGGCAGTCATCAAGATCCTCAGAAAAGGAGAAGAAAATGGAGAAACTTAGGAGAAGAAAGTAAAAGGTGACAGACAAGGAAAATCGAGCTGTGAAATGCCACATTCATCTGTCCTGGGTCAGGTCGTTGGTTTATCTTTCTCCTCCCTGCTTCCTTCCACCCTCCCTCCCTCCTTCTGTCCCTCCCTCCCTCTCTCCCTGCTCCCTCCAGGCCACAGTCATGACACGATTATAGCACTGCGATGGTACCAGGTAGACAGACACTAAAGATCAATTTTCTCACTGATACCGATCTCCAAATTTTAGGCATATGCCCCAAATATCCCCATCTTTCATTTAGCAGTGGGGACTTTCAGGACACATAAATTAGCTCAGCTTTTCACAAACGTTTTCATAATGAGCAAAGCATCAAAGCCAAGCTTCTGCCAGAATCAGAGAGAGAGAGCAAATGAGCTTAACCCCCTATTCCACAGCTTACTAGCTATGTGCCCTTGGGCGATTTCCTTTGTCTCTCTCAGTTTGCCTCATCCGCAAATGGGAATCTTAACACTCTATTACTTCTCTTCCAAAATGACTTAGATCAATGGCAGGTTTTTAAATTGATGTGCATATGGAATGTGTGGTATTTGTTTTTGCCAGATGATATTATCAATTATAAGACCGATCCCAATTTCAGAAATATTAAAATGTACCACATGTCTAAAAAATAGAGGAACTACGTAGCATCTTCCTGGGCTTAAATGAACCAAGGGCTGCAAAGCGATTTGCACTGAGCTTGGCATGTAGCAAGGGCTCCGTGAGTGAGGGCCGCTCTTACTATTATTCTCAGGATAATTAGGAAGGATGTAATTATGACATTACAAAAGTTAGGCCATATCTGTTAGGAATTTACACAGTGAGCTTTGAAGCCATGGAAACTCCTAAATGAAACTTCCTGTGTTACCTGTTTCTGAGGACACTGCAAAATGTCACCAAAGCCAGAACTAAGCTTTCGAAGGAAATTGTTGAATTTCAAAATTTGTTTTTATTCATAGATTAATGCTCCACATGCTGGGTTGCTGTAGTAGCACATCAGTGGTAACAACTCTTAAAATATATTTGCTTCCATTTAATTAAAGTCGGCCGTGAGGAATGTATTCACAAGTGTTGGCCAAGTGTGTGATTCTTCTGGGGAGTCCTTCAGTCATTGGCTTAAGTAAGAAGGGGTCTGTGCCACAGAATCTTCTGGGGCCAGGCCATCACTGAAAACACGTTTTCCACGACCCAGCCTCTGCATTCTCTGCTGGCAAGCCCACAGACGCCGAAGACAGGGCTCAGAAACACAACGCAGCTGCCAAATGGCTTCCCTTCCTCACTGCTTTATGTTCCCGGGGCCAAATGGGCCTCAGAACAGACCTGAAAATCTGTGAGATGGAAACCGGGAACTGAGCGGTCCCGTGCAGAAAAGAGGCTCCGAGTGTTTACACAACATCCCCAGGACGTACTGCACTTTCCAGGGCGAGTGTCTTTCCAAAACGCCTGCAGACCCAGCCTGCGTCAGGCACAGCTCCAACTTTCCTGCAAAAATCGCCTTGCAGGGCCCTTCATCCTCCTCTCAGTTCAGAAATGGGGCTGGAGAGTTTCACACACGCAGCCCAGATAGGCACACGTGTGGGATCTTGCTGTGTTGCAATCTCATGGGGGTAAAACGGCTGCTGAAATTGGGTAGTCACGGACTTTGGATTTTTAGAGAATACCCAATTCTAATCCTAATGGGAATGAGGATGACGATGATGATGATTCTGTGAAGTAGCGAGCTCCATTTCCCTCACGGTTCAGACCGAAAACCATCTTTCTTTCCAGATACTGCAGTGGAACCCTAGGAAATCATGGTGTTTTGTGAAAAGCTCCTCAGTCTGTGGGATGAACCTGGAGCTCCGACAAGGATAGCTCCAGGCTTCTTTTCAAATCCTCTGGAGAGGGAATGTGTGCGAGAGGAAGTCGGGGGGAAGAGCAGAGACAGAAAGATGTAAATCACCGTCACTTCATAAAACGGAGTTTTCTTGTAATATGCTTTGGTAATGTTGAGCTGAAAATAGATTGACAATCAAAATGGGCTTAATCTGATATTAAAGAATTCTCTTAAAATCCCCCAAACAATTGAGATTTTTTTTTCCCTTTGGTTTGTTTTGCGTTAGCTCTTCCAAGAGGCTGTGGATGTAAAGAAATATATTGACATTAATTAAAGTGAGTTTTGTGTTGCTTAGTGGGGGCAGTTTTGGCTCTGGATTATCAACTGCAAATAATCCTGCCTGGTTCACATAGCCGGAGACTCGCCCCCCAAGTGATGAACCACCCCTAACAGGAAAAGGTCAAAGAAAGACTTTTTGACCACACCACACGGAGGGTAGATGGTCCCATAGCTAATCATCTTTCCAGGTCAGACCCAGTGCATCCAAAAAGATTGAAAATCTGCCAGGTGTGGTGGCTCACGCCTATAATCCCAGCACTTTGGGAGGCCAAGGCGGGCGGATCACCTGGGGTCAGAAGTTCCAGACCAGCCTGGCCAACATGGTGAAATCCGTTTCTATTAAAAATACAAAAATTAGCCATGTGTGGTGGCGGGCACCTGTAGTCCCAGCTACTCAGGAGGTTGAGACAGGAAAATTGCTTGAACCTGGGAGGTGGAGGTTGCAGTGAGCCAAGATCGTGTCACTGCACTCCAGCCTGGGTGACAGAGCAAGACTCCATCTCAAAAATAAAAATAAAAATAGACAAAAGGATTGAAAATCTACATCATCCCTGCTCACATGGTGCCCAGACAGACCCTGAGTTCCAGCCTAATCCTTCGATTTCTCTGGTCAGAAACTGGGAAAGTGGCAAATTTTAGGGAAATGCTCCACATGAACTAGAACCCTATCTGGCCCTTCAGAAAGGTGGCTGTAGTGTCTTTAAAACAGGAAAAATGCACATCTTTTCCTTGGCTTTTGGTCATAATGCAGACCCTTTCATCTGGGGGAAGTAAATCTATTTCACAGTACATCCATTACTTCAGTTGATGAGGTCTAATAAAAATTCTTAATTAAAAATAATTGTATTAATGATAATATCATAATCAGAGCCATAATTCCTATTTTCACACATAAAATCCTTTGATTTTGAAACAAATCACCACACAGCTCTCACTTGGCTTCTTATTGACCAAATTAATCAAATGGGAGATAATATTTTAAAGGAAAACCACTATGTTTTAGACTCTTTACTTCATGACTAACAGCACGTTAGCAGCTCCTAATTTTGAAGGAAGTGTGATGGATCTCGTCTCTCTATCTGGACACAGCACCCAGCTACACAGGCATTGCAGAGCCCACTCTTGGCACACACACGCATTTCCTGCTAAGCTGCACACTGACTCACAAGGGCTGTGATATATTTTCCAATGCCCACTCTGTGTCTTCACAGTAAGACTATGCCATTGGACACAGACAACAAACCACTGTAATTGTTCTAATATGGCCATGGCCACATGGCTGGAAAACCTTGCCTTTTCCAAGGTGCTTTAAGCCCCCTTTGGCACAGTCCATGCCTTTCCTCAGGGAGTGGAGTGGGTACTTTACAGGAACAAATGTAAGGATAACTCCGTATTCACCTGTTTTCTGTTGCTTTTAACAGAATACCTGAAATTGGGTAACTTATAAAGAAAATAAATGTATTTATTGATGTTCTAGAGGCTGAGAAGTCCAAGGTCAACAGGCCCAATCTGATAAGAGCCTTCTTGCTGGTGGGGACTCTCTGCAGGCTCCAGAGGCATCACAAGTCATGGCACAGCAAGGGGCTAAGCATGCAAAGGTGGTCGGTCACTCAGATCTCCCTTCCCTTTCTTATAAAGTTACCAGGTCCCCTCCCATGATAACCCATTAATCCATTAACCCATTAATCCATTAACCTGTGAATGGACTAGCCCATTCACAAGCATTCTGCCCTCCTGATCCAATCACCTCTTATAGGATCCCTCTCTCAATACTGTCACATTGGGGATTAAGTTTCAACATGAGTTTTGGAGGGGACATTTAAACCATAGAAAGACCCAAAACCAGAACTGTTGGTGGCAGAGATAGCCTCACCCTGGGTCCATAGGGATGGCTTGGTGATGGGAAGTCTGCCACACATTCAAGTTGAGTTCTCAAGGATGCCCTCAGCCCTGTGGTCCTGCAGTCACATGAGTGGTGCCTGCTCCAGTGGCTTTCAAGGTAAATTACGACTTCAGAGGCAAGACACACATGATTGATGAAACTGAAAAGTGAAAGGCGAAAAGGAAATGAATGAGAAGCTGAATATGTTGGGCAGAGTGTGGGATTTTTTAACTCTGATGATTTCATGTAAATCTTTCTTGGCTATTGAGGTTTATGAATAAACTCAGGGCCAAATTCTTAGTCATTCAAAGACTCTCAGTTTTCAAACTGTGTATCGCTGGCTGTTGTGGAAGGGTTCTGAGAGTCATCTCATTTTGAGGATGGCTGTTTTATGGTTGCTGGACTCTTGGCACCTGGGCAGCCCTTTATTACACTTGGCAGGCAATGGTGGAGAGCAGTTTGCTGTGAGTGGTTTTGGACACAGCCTTTTGTCCCAGCAGACCAGTGGGTGGAGCAGGGGGAAGGAAGCTTAGTTGTCCAGAACACGTTGAATCTACCATTTTGGATCTTGGCAAAGGGCCTTAGATGACAAATGCATTTGTCATGGGTTGAACTCTCTCTCCCACCCCACAAAGACATGTCCACTCTGTGGATACCCCTGTGGATGTAACCTTATTTGGAAAAAACACCTCAGAAGAATTAGTTAAGATCTTGAAATGAGCTTGACTGGATTTAGGGTAAGCCCTAAACTCATTGACAGGAGTCCTTCTAAGAACAGGGAAGACAAAGGGACAGGCAGAGAGGAAGGGTTTTTGAAGATGGAGGTGGCACAGCAGCAGCGATGCATCTGAAATCAAGGTGCACTGAGGACTGTGGCAGCCCTAGCAGAGAGGAGAGAGGCAGGGAACAGATTCGCCCACAGAGTTTGCAGAAGGAATTCACCTGCCGACACCTTGATTTTGTGCTTCTGGCCTCCAGAACAATGAGCCAATAAAGGTCTATTGCTTTATGCAACCAGGTTTTGGTAATTTGTTACAACAGCCCTAGGAAACTGATCCAAAGTCTTTAATTAACACAGTATCTATAACTGGTGTTCTGGCTATCTCTACCCTTATGGAAATTTTAAGTGAATGTAATATTTCCTTCCTCATATTTTGCTATTTGTTCACATATCTGAAGCATGGGTTTCTTTTCAGTGGGTAGATTTTCATTGGCCAAAGGGTACCTCTGTGCTCTGTAGTCTGTTTGCGACACCTTAAACCACAAGGGCTCCCTCACAGTGCTTCCGCCTTAGGTCAGACTCCCAGAGGCAGACCCTGAGGCAGGGATTTGGGCAAATGTGGCTGAGACTGAGGGAATGCACTTCAGGAGCACAGCAACAGGGCTAAGGCCAGGAAGACAGGGAACGGGAAGTACTGGGCAAGGACGTGGCCTCGGGTGGAGCCTGGGGGCAAAGGAGACCTGTGGGGCATAAACTCTACCCCCTTGTGATGAGACAACTGGTCTTTGCACCTCCATTTCTGTCAGCCATTGGTTGCAACTGAGGAGGGCATGGGGTGATGTAGCCCTCCTGGTTGCTGGACACTGGGGCCTGGGAACAGGAATGTGGTTGGGCACCAACAACACCTACTCCAGGGGTACCCACAGGTAAGGGGTTCCACAGCAGACACCCCACAACCTCCTTGTTACTGGCCTATTTCAGAGTGGCCACCCTATTCGTATTTTGAACCAACTAAGACCTAGCTGTCCCTTGGCCATTGGGTTTTGCAGTGTCCCAAGACATAGACCAAATTTCTCCTCCATTTTCCTAAGCACAGGTGTTTGAAGTTCCTGTGTTGGAGTGGCTACAGGCATCCTCAGGTTGGCATTCTTGTTATTTCTCAACATTTCAAAATGAAACATCCAGCAAATGGTGTCCCTTAACTTAACCGTTCACTCTGTCCTCCCATCCCCAATGAATACTGAGGGTGGCCTCAGTAGTTGAGGCTGCAACAGCAAACCACACACACTTGCTCTTTTAAAGAGCTCAGAGCCTGGGCTGGAGACAGGAAATTAGCAGATCATAAGGACCCGGGCAGATGGCTGTTGCCGCCACAGATAGATGGATCAATGGCTATGTGGGTGCTTCAGGAGCCCCTGACTCTGGAAGATCATAAGAGCAAGCCGAGAAAGATTCACAGTAAGGTAGGTACTGACCAGGTAGAATGAGAACAGAATGGCAAAGCCTCAGAGATGCCAGAAAGCACTGACTTCCCCACACTCAACAAGGAGTTTGGTGGGGTTAAGGGAGGGTGTGCTCGGGAGAGCAGTGCAAGACTGTGTCAGATGAGGTCAGCTCAGAGCAAGCCCTTTAATAAGGATGTTGAGGCTGACAGGTTTGACATTGCTATTAAAATTTGGGAATTATGGCAAAAAAAATAAAAGAAGTGTCACATTTCTCTGAGGTTTGAGGCAGTATAGCCCAAGTTTAGCACCCAGACACTGGAGGTGACAATCTGTCCAACCCAGCCCCTTCTAGTTGAGTGACCTTAGACAAGGGGCTTGAAATGGCTCTGCCTCAGTTTTGTCACTTGTCACGTGGGAGGTTGAAAAAGGCCTCTAACTCCTAATCTTGTGAAGATTAAGTGAATATCACATAATGCTCAAGACAGTGGCTGGGGACAGAGTGTGTGCTTGATGCATTTTAGCTACGAGGCCTAAAACAGTACCCAGCCTATTGCAAGAAATCAGTTAACATTTGCTGAATGAAAATCTTGCACTGTGTTGTGAAATATCATGCACACTTTAAATCTGATTGACATAATATCTTCTTTTTAATACAAGATGGTTTTTTCTCCAATGGTTTAGTCAACATAGCAGCTCCAGCAGGGTGCCTCTTGCCCGTGTTTGGATTCTGCAGCCTCCTGGGGGGGTGGTCTAGAAAGATGTGTGAGCCCCAACTCGGGAGTGGAGGCAGGGGCTGAGGACAGCCACTAAGGGAGTATGGGCTGAACCAGTTGTGTGCCCATCACTACAAGCTGTCTACTTAATCCCAGGAACAGGTGGTCAGATGGGAGGTCACAGGTCACTGTGGGTCTGAGAAATGACATGGTCTGCATCAATGTGCCCCAGTGCATCCAGCCAAGAAGACCAATCATGGGAAGAGCCACATGCAGTTAGAGGTTGGGACTCAGCAGATGGGGACTAGGTCTGAAAGGAAGCATTTTGCACAAGTTAAATCATCTTTGTAGATAGGACCCTATTTAGGTCAGCAACTGAGGCAGGCCAGGACCTTGGATTTATAGGCTACTGCTCACAGCCTAGTCTACCAACATAGAGGAAATGTCCCTGGGTGAAGGCATGAAAAGCCCAAAGGCTCAGGTTGGAAATCTCTTTGCTCCTCCTGGCAGAACATCTGATGCTCAGCTTGTCTGGGTCGGATGAGGTGTCCATACATTTTTCTCTCTCTCTTCACGCAGTTAGCCATTTCTCTAAAATATTAGCCAGGATGTTCTTCTTGTTATCTAGTATTATGGAATCAGGCAATAAAAGAGTTGTCATCATGCATTTGTGTGCTGAAACAAAGAAGGTTGCTGTGGGAACTTTGACTCTTAACTTCTAGAAGTTTCTGAGCTTGATTCATAAACTTAATGCTTCAGGGACCTAGCTGTTACCAAACACAGAAAGGATACCATTTTATTTATTTAATCACACATTTATTTACTTATTTATTTTTAGAGGGGGTCTATGGGCAGGAAGATCATTTGAGCCCACGAATTTGAGACCAGCCTGGGCTCAAATGATCCTCCGTGGGTTATGTTGCCCAGTCTGGTCTCAAACTCCTGGGCTCAAATGGTGTTGAGCCTCCCATGTTGTTCTCTCAAACTGCTGAGATTAAAAGTGTGCCCCACCTTGCCTCGCCAAGAACACCATTTTAGATAGCACTTCCATCAAGAAAAAAACAGATCCCCCAAATACTTTTAAAAACATTCTAAGACACTCTTATGGAGTACATTATAGCATGTATTTGACGCATGGATAAGGAAAACCAGGAAATTCAACTTTCCAGTGATGATATTGCAACTTTCTACAGCACACAGGGCAAACTGTTCAGGCTTTAGCAAAGTTCAAGTTCTTTTCAAGCTTTTCTCAGAAGAGTGAGCAGCACTGTGTGCATCTCTCTGCGAATCTGAAAGAATTGGCTGTTAAATGGTTTCTTATAATGCTGCTTCTACTACCACGGCAAAAACAAGTCTGTTAATAAGAGAGTCTCAGTGCAAACGCAGCAGGTTTTCATGATGTACTTTAGGAAGAAAAGAGAGCAGATTAGAAAGAGGAGCAAGGAAAGGTGGAAGGGAGTGGAGTGACCCCTTTGTGCCCAAGTCACTTCTACATGGCCTTGGAGATTGAAGAAAAACCTCAAGATAGATGAGCTCTCATCCCTGGGAGCCGGCCATGCCTCTCCTCTCTTTCTCCTTCCTTTTGGCCTTCCAAATGTACCTTTCAGAAGCTGGTCCAAGTATTCTAAGGGTCAAGTGTGAAGGTTTCAGAGTGGCTATGGTTGTTCCAGCAACTTCCACATGGTGATTTCCTGAGCTGCTCTGGGGCCACAGTCCAGCTATCACTGAAGCTGGACAGTGATCCAGACAATGCGCCAACTTGCAGACCCACAGTCTCATGACTCTCTTCGGTGATAATCTTGCTTCTTCTCATAAGCTAGCTGCAGCTTGGTTGGAAGCCACACACAAACTGTTCCTGGATATCAACGATATCAATATCCCCTGCTCAGAAGTCCATAATTAATCTGCCTCAGGGATTCCTGCTCCAGAACCCATGCCAAGCCTGGCTGCTAGGTAATCCACAGCATCCAGAAAAGGATTCCAGAAGAATCAGGAGCCAGCAGCAAATATTTCACAAGATGCACAGACAGTTGACTTGCTAGGGAACCACCCTTTGGGCACATTTGCTGAGTGCATGGCCAAGCACCCTGCTGTGTTGTAGTCAAGTGTGCTGAGACCTCATGCCTTGGCAGTAGCTGAGGAGTAACAGGAAAGGTGATGCATTGAAACACAATTGATGGGCACTCTGAAGCCAGGCGGGTGCAAATCAGGCAGGAGATGGGCACATATTGGACAGGCTCAGGATTGGAGAGTGAGGTTTTGGAAAAAGGCTTCCTGGATCCCAGGCAGCTAGGATTCCTGCCGGGAAGCAGTGAAGACACACCCACGCTCACATTTGACTTGTTGTATTGAATGTGGAGGAGCTGAGAGCTCTTCTGTCTTGCTTGTGCTCAGTGTTTGTTGAATGGCTGAATAAACAAATAAGAGCTACCATTAAAGTCTAAGAAATGTAAAAATTATAAAGGTAAACATAAGCATAGGGTCTCACGTTAGCAAGCTCAAAAATGCCTGACAGGCTCTGGCAATATAGCTCAGTTTTGACGCATTGATTTCCCCCTGCAGGCCAGGCTGTGAGCTGACCACTGGGGCTGCCTGCAAATCGCATCCTCTGCCTCTGGGAAACCCGTGATGGAAGGGGGTCTTGGTCAAGTGGACGTTTCACAGGCCCGTTTTCCTTCTGACTTGGTGATTAAGGATGCCCAAGTGTGAAAAGCCCCAAAGTGTGGAATGACAGACTGTGACCTAGCACAGCTCCCCAAACGCCCAGCGTAGGGCAGAAGTTCTCACTCTTCACTACCACCAGAATGGCAGAATGGGGGCAGGGGTGGGGGCTTCCAAACATAGAGGTATCCTGAGGCAGAGCCCAGGTTTCCTGAATCTGCATGACAAAGAACAGTGGGGAGCAAAAGGAAAAAAATAACTAAGTGACTGCATCCTAAAACCTTAAGGGATTGCTTTTCTTAAAATCTAAATTAAGCATCTAACAGGACATCCTTGCTGGCACAAAGAGCCATTGGCACTAAGTGGCTTGAAAACCACTTACACAGTCAACGCTAAGCCCAGGCTGGAGCCTTTCTCCCCAGCCAGACTCCTGATTCACAGTTGCTGATTCTCCTTATTGCTCCTGAATGTGGTGAAAAAAATATGAAATATAACTTGAAGTAGGTCCATATTCTTATTCAGGTGGTTTGTATTGCTTAGAAAAAGCAAAATTGTCTGGTCTGGGTCATGCTCTCTGGGTCTTCCTCTCCAGAGGTAAAGGTAAAGGGAGGATGCATGCTAGGATCATCACAGCAGTGTCCAGGTGTGAGTGGATCCAGTCATGGACATCTCACCAGGGCAAAAAGAAACACAAGATGTGTCCCTTGGTTCTAGTTCAGGCGAGGACCAGAGAGTTCCTCCATCTTCTTGGAAGGCTGATGCGAGCAGAGGAGTCCCTCGGCATATTTTCATACATTCCATTTGATACATTCCTTTTTTTCTATAAAGTTGCCTTGGAGATGACTTCTCCACTACTGGACCAGGGAATCGTCTGGTCCCGTGGCTGTTCCAATTGTTAACCCAACCCTCCTGCCTTCTACATCTGCTCTACCAAGGAATCCCAATCTTGCAATGATGCATAGCTCCTGGTTTCCTGAGAAGGCTGTTAGAACTTTCTTTCTGATGACCCCAAAAGCCAACTCTGTGAAATCCTCACCCACCATCCAAACTCAGGCTTTCTTCCATGAGAAGATAGATTTGCACATTCTTCAGGGTGTCAACAGGATTTAGCCCAACTCTTTCCTTCTCCAGGATGAATGTCCTGGGTTCTTTCCGCTTTGCCTCAGGGGACTGGTCACCTACCCTCTCTCATCAGGGACACCCTCCCTCAGACACATTCCTTTTTGTCAAAGTCTTTTTAGGCGTGGAACTCAGGCGTGATTGGACCCTAGATGCATGCCAAGGGTGGCATCCTCTTCATTTTGGCCCCCTTCTCTGTAGGTGCAAAAGCCTACAGAGTGGGTGCAGGCTCCTGCACGCATGCCAGAGTGAGAAGCTAGCCCAGAGAGCGTGGAAGCATGAAGCCAGGAGCCCCTGATGATTTAGAATACTTTCAGATTCCCTGTGATAAGTTAGAGAGACGGAGAAGGCTTAGCGGACTGATACAGTGGTTATTTTCTCAGGATTCCAAGACTGAATTAATTGTGTACACCTTGAGGAAAGTGTGGAGGAAACAATAGGAAAGCTTCCTTTAAAGTCGTCTTATTAAGGGAAAAGCATCCTGGCCTCTCTCTCTCCCAGGGAACCTCCATTCTGCCTTATCAAACACAAGGTGCTTGCTCGATGCAACAGGTTCCTTCCTCCAAAGCTGTGTTCTCACATTCCTCACACCCCCTGTAGGCTTTGAAATCAGTGTTCAAAGTGGACTTTCTGAATTCATGAAAACCCACAGGTCTATAATCCATCCCTAATGGAAGTCAAACATGACACCGGCAAGATAAAACACAGTGGCCTCCCCCTCTGTTCACAGTAGGTGTCTGCGTATAATAAATATTTTATTTTACTACAAAAACAAATAACTAAACATACCCCCTGTGTTTGTTCTGAACTCGACAGTAGCTTTTGTGAGTTTACTATATTTCAAAGCCGAGCGAGGAAACCATAGTGTCATGCCGGTAACTGGGTGCACTCGTACAAAAGAAAACCAAAGCTGCTTTCATTCTCTACAAACCGCGTATTACAGGGATGCCAGCCAGTGCCCCTCTGTGGAGAAACTTGTTGGCACTCTTCTTCTGAGCCCTGTTTGAGAGCAAAGAGTGGCCACCATAAAAACAGGCATAGAGCAAAAGTGTTTGGAATTAGCCATCTTTTGACCTAAGTGATTCGGATTCATTCTCCACAGCCAACATTCACCAATAAACTATCAACACACTTATTGACTTGGTGCTGTGCAGACATCACCTTCCTGTTCTCAGAAGGCCCAGGCCTGGGGTCTTTGGGGTCCCCCGAGAGCAGAGAAGAAGAAGCAAAATTCTAAGGCTACTGGTCTCCAGGGGGATTCAAAGTCAGCCTTGATGATTTTCAGCCATTTCATGGACTCCATCAGTCTGTAGAACCCTTAAAACCACAGTATTTAAAGGTTTCAGGGAAGTCCTTTTGGTATGTCACAATCTTTTACTGAAGTTGACGCTTGAATAAATTGAGAAATACAAGAAATTCATCTCCTTATGTTGCTCACCTTAAAGGCTGTGGGTTAGGGTGCGAGTTGTCTGGGTTGGTGATAACACTGACAACTCTTCGGGAATATTATCTTACCTGTTTGTTTTTGGTCATGTTGCTATGACTTAAAGATCCAGGGAAGATTTTAATGGGACCAGGTCTCCAGAGCATCTGTGCAAACTAGTGGCTAGAGAGAGTACTGTCTCAGTGCTGCTGAGCCAAGTGGGGCAAACTGGTGGCCAAGAGAGTGTTGCCTCAGTGTGGCAGTGACCAAAGTTAGAGATGGCTGTAAGCCATCTCCGGGAGAAAAGGGCCAGTGATAGCATCATGCTACTTAAATTTCATGTTAGATTGCCACCCACACCGTTTCTTCTTCTGACTTCCAAAGGATGTGGATCTGTCTGAATTCTCACAGTTGTCCATAAGAGTATCACAACAGACTGTCATCTTGGTATACACCTGAAATCTCAGCTCTGCTTCTCTGATGACTAATTGTATGCATCAACGTTGACAGTGTTTTTGGATGAGATTAACATGTAATTTAGTGAACACTGAGTAAAGCAGATTTCCTTCTCCAATGTGGGTGGGCTTCATCCAATCACTCAAAGGCCTGGATGGAACACAAAGACTGCCCTCCCTAAGCAAAAGGGAATTCTCTAGCAGATTGCCCTCACACTGGAACTGCATCCCCACTGTTTGCCCTACTGAGTCTCCGGTCTGCTGGCCAACACTGCACATTTGAACTTAGCAGCACCCATAATTGTGTGAGCCAATTTCTTAAAATAAACATCTTTCTTTTTCTCTCTTTGTACATATGTACATACCCTATTGATTCTGTTTCTCTGGAGAACACTGACTAATACAACCTCCTAGCCAAAGCCAATAAGAGCAAGATGATATCTAATAAGCAAAACAGCAGAGACATGGTTAGATAGCTCGTCCTTAGAGTGAATTCTACCCAACAATCTGGGAGCCAAAGAAAAATTTGTATATTTCACCTTTACTGAGCTGTGTTTCAGGGCCAACTCTCCAGCCAGTATGAAAGGTAAAACACAGGCATGAGACAGCACTGTGGATTCATTGCAACTAGTTGCTCCTGACAGCAACAACTTTTTTGCTCAGTGTCTTGTTTTGAAGGCTCCTCATGAGAAATAAGGTGTCCTGACTCTTTCAAGGGGAAGGATGTATAAACCATTGTGTTGTCCTTTTTGTTTTTGTTGAACTTCCTCCAAATGATGGTGGATGCCAGAATCTACATTATCTTCCTTACCAACACACATCCTTCCTCCTGCTGCCTTTGTCATCATTATCTTTTTCTATGTTGTTTTCTATCTTTAAGTAGCTAGACATTATTTTGGGGAGATGGGGCAGAAATAGCACTGGTTACAGTTCACGCTGAAGGTCCTCCGTTGGCCACGGTGGGTCCTCCCTTTATCCTTCTCAACCTTGTTCTCAGCTTGGAATTTTTATCCACTGGTTCAACCCACAAGGATCCCCATGGAAGAAACAGAAAGAGGGCTACTGGAAAGTAGAATCAAATTACTCTCCCTCTGAGGCCCCTAGGGCTGGCTATGTCCCCCAACAGGTGATCCGTGCTCCCCTCAAGGTAAGTCTGTCCTGCCCTGCTCTACCCCTCCCCAGTTCTGACCACCACTTCCTCTCCATGTCCCTTTGGGCCCAGAGCAGATATAACTCCATTGTAGGAAGCCCTGGCGATATCCCTACTGCCTTTACACGCCTGTAGTTAGGTCATTGGTAAATAAGCTGTCCTTGGATTATTCTGTCAGAGAGTGTCATCTGTTTCCTGCCAGGACCCTGATTCTCAGCTGGGATTTTTTTTTTTTTTAAGACCAGAAAATAACCCGGAGTGGGGACATTTGTAATAGAAAGTCTAAGTCCAATTCTGGGGAAGTTGACCATGGTCTATAGTGAGCTCAACTGGTGGCAGGAGAAACATGGAACAAATCCATCCACGGATTTAAATAGACCAGTATGAGGCGGGGCCCTCCATGTGCAAGGAGCTTTAAGAGATCTAGAGGGGCGATGGCTTTGACCTTGACCTCCTGCTTGCAGGGACAAGCCACTGCCCTTTGTCACCAGTTTCACCCTAAACTTGCTGAGTCCTGGTACCAAAACAATTCAGTAGATTCCATTTCCCAAAGTGTGAAAGTGCACATAGCAGAAGAGCGTTTGCTTTGGCAACTTTTGGTAGCCAAAGGAAGAAAAAGGCAGGGATATTTGAGGCAAAACCAAAGATACTCATGACCTAATCAAAGCAGCTTTTACATTTTGGCAATAAACATCTCAGAGTCCTATGCCAAGATCATTGTCAAGGGAAGGGCAAAGACCAGGAGAGTGAAGGCCATAGAGTCGATAGCTAAGGCCAAATGTCACCACCCTCAGGAAGTCTGCCCAGGGTGAAAGGCTCTCAGGTCTCCAAAGACAGAGGCTGGGGTGACCTCGTGGGGCCTGTGACTGGGGGACTGGTGAGGTGCCTGGCCACATCACCCCTTACCTCAGGCTGGATAGTGGCTATGGGCATCCTATTGGAGAAAGACTGCTGTCACATGGCCCCAGTTCCTGCAGAGCCAAGCTTGCACCCTCCTTGGCACTTTTGCTCCAGAATTCCCTCTGCTGAGTCTGGGGCCCAGCTTAAATGCCCCCTTCTCCACAGAGGCTCACTGCTGAGTTCTCTTCACTGTTGGGAGGAAACTCTGAAAAAAAGTAACATAAAGAAATACTCAGATACACATAGATATACATGTGTATGTGCATATGTGTGTATGTGCATATGTGCATATGTGCATGTGTGTATATGTATGTCTGTGTGCATGTGTGTGCATATATGTGTATATGTATGTCCATATATGTGTATGTGCATGTGTGTGCACCACGTCCCGCCTAAATTAGCATATAAAATTAACCATCCTGGATTATTTAGATGGACCCTAATTCCAAGGTGTGTATACGTACGTTCATATGTGTGGATGTGCATGTGTGCATATGCGTGAATATGTATGTCCATATGTATGCATGTTTGTGTGCATGGGTGTGTATGTGTGCCTATATGTGCACATGTGCATGTGTTTATGTGTATATGTATGTGTATGCATGTGTGTATATGTGTGTGCATATGTGTATTCGTGTATGTGCATGTGTGTATGTGTGCATTTGTGTGGGTATATGTATCTATGTGCATGTCTATGTATACATGCACATATGTGTGTGTGTGTTTAAGTGTGTATGTGTATATATGTGTGGGGGCGTGTGTGTGTGTGTACGTGTGTGTGTATTCATTTCCTGCAGTTGCTGTAACAAATTACAACAAACTGGGTAATTTTAAAACACAGAAAAGTATTCTATCAAGTTCTGGAGACTAGAATTGTGACAATAGTGTCACTGGGCTGAAATCCAGATGCCAGCAGGGCCATGCTCCCTCTGAAGGCTCTAGAGGAGGATCCTTGCTTGCCTCTCCCAGGTCCTGGTGGCTCTGGTGTTCCTCAGGTTATGGCCACATCACTCCTGTCTCTGCCTCTGTCCTCACGGGGACTTTTCCTCTCCTGTCCATGTCAAAGCTCCTGCTGCCCCCTCTTCTCCAGACCTTTGTGGTTGTATTTATGGCCCATCCAGATGATCCAGGGTAATCCCCCCATCTCAAGATCCTTAACTTAATCACAGCTGCTAAATCTTTGCCACGTAAAGTAACATTCCTAGGACCCAGAGATTAGGATCTCATAGCTTTCGGAGAGCCCGTATTCTGCCGGCCACAATGCCCATGCACACTAAAATGCCATCTATAAAAATAGCATATATGTGTGTGTGTGTGTGTGTGTGTGTGTGTGTGTGCGTGTATTTAATTTTACAAACGTATTTTTTTTTGAGACGGAGTCTCCCTCTGTCGCCAGGCTGGAGTGCAGTGGCGTGATCTCAGCTCACTGCGACCTCCGCCTCCAGGGTTCAAGTGATTCTCCTGCCTCAGCCTCTCGAGTAGCTGGGACTACAGGCATGCACCACCACACCCAGCTAATTTTTGTATTTTTAGTAGAGACGGGGTTCCTCCATGTTGGTCAGGCTGGTCTCGAACTCCTGACCTCAGGTGATCCACCCACTTTGGCCTCCCAAAGTGCTGGGATTACAGGCATGAGCCACCATGCTTCAGCCAAGAAATAACCTTTTAGCCACTATCTGGGCATCCGTTAGCCCAGTTCAGTTGACACATGAAATTACCATCACAAATACCTGCACAGTGACATCTAGACTAATGTTTGACCAGAGATCTCGGTACTGTGTCCCAACAAAATGAGCATATAAAATTAACCATACTGGATTATCTAGATGGACCCTAATTCCAATAACAAGTATAGGAGAAAGACAAAAAGAGATCTGACACAGATAGAAGAGGAGATGGCGCTGTGAAGGTGGAGGCAGAGATTGGAATGGCACAGCCACAGACAAGAAAGCCAAGCTGGAAGATGCAGAGCAACAACTCTTACCCTGGAGTCTTCAGAGAGAGCACGAACCTGCCAACACTTTGATTTTGAACTTCTGACCTCCAGAACTGTTGGGGAATAAATTTCTGCTGTTTTAAGCCACTTATCTTGTGCACTTTGCTATGGCAGACCCAAGACGTTGATATCCAGCCTAAGGTAGTGCAGGTGATGCAGGACCAGAGGGGACCTTGGCTTTGACTTTGCAGGGGCAACAGCAGTAATGGACTTTGTGGAGCTTCTCAGGCTGGAGGCCTGGGGAAATGCCTCTGTCTGTGGCTGCCCAGAGGCACGATGGCTGAGGCATCAACATAGGCATCCACTTGTCTGTTGCTCGGCAGCTGAGGACAGGCAGATGGCATCTGGAAGAGATGCTTTGCAGAGTGCCATGGAGCTTACCAAGGGCCATTCTTCACATGGTTCAAGCAAAAAGCCCAGGCCTCAGACATGGCTCTGATGCTGATGCTCTGATACTGATCTCTGGAAAGTTTGCATCTGGACAGTTACAAACTTTGGGTCTTGCCCTCCCAAAAAAACATCTGATGACACTTACTGGACCCGGTGTGTATCTGGTCACCCAGTCTGGATGCCGACTGTGTTTCTTCTGTGGATTTGCTTGGTTGGAAATATGCCACAGTAATTACCGGAAGTCCTCTATGCCTGCTGGCCTACCCTGCCAGTCTGTGGGCTTTGTGTGCTGAAATTAGACCCTAAATACTGCTTTAATGCAGTTTGGGGAACTTTTTTTATGTGTTCTAGTGGTTTATACCATCATTTGTACTGTACTAAAATTTACATGCCCTTTTTAAAAAAATAATATTGTCATGTAAATTTTTGTAAGCTCTAGGTTTATTTTATGACTCATAAACTTAGACAATATATTAAAATCTTGGAAGAATTCAATATCAGCAGCAGATTATCCTAAAAAATACCCACCCCTAATCCTGGTATTCCAGGGAGAGAGTCCTATCAAGTATGTTTCAAGGTTTAATGGCTGTTAATAAATTTTACTGCTGCCGTCAATAACTCCGTAATATATTGGGCCAGTTAATAGGTCAATGGAACATATTTATATCTTGCTATGAACTGTTTACCCAAGAACAAACTAATTTCTAATGATAATGAAACACCAAGTCAATAAATATTAATTTTAGCATTTCTAATTTAAATACAATTTTTCACATCTGCCATAAAATGTTGGGCTGGCAGCATTAAAACATACATGACTGGTTTTGTGTACCAAGGGCAATTGTGTTAAAAACTAACTGTGATATTTAGCTTATGAAGCAATGTTTGTGGATGACATAACCTTCAAGGTGTGTGATTCTTTATCTTGTTATTAAAGCCACAAAAATACTTAGGATGTCATCTGAAATATTTGTTCAATCACTTTGCAACATTTTAGTATATCTCCTACAGATAAACATATTTTAAGTGCATTTTTAAAAAATATACTGTTTAAAAATCATGGCAAGCTTTTGTATTTAATACATTTCGAATTCAAATCCAACTTAAAAAATCATTTTACTCTCTTTCATTTGGTTATCCAAGAGTTCAATTAAGTTTTATAGTTCAACTGCATAAACTCAATACACGTGTATCTCACTTTAGGCTATGGACATGTTTCTAGTGAAGAGAACAATGTCATAAATTGACTACGCTTCCAACAGATTTGAGAGTTAGAGAATGAATTGCCAATGGTGAGTCCTTTCGTAAAACAATAACACTTGGAAAGTACACGTTTGTAAGATTTTTCATCCTATGGGATCTCCTGAAGAAGGATGCACTCACATATGAAAAAATATATAGAAGCAATCTTAGCCATATCACTTTTTTAACAACAGATAAAATGTTATGGCACATTATTCACCAGTGGACAAATATTTAAAGATCTCCCTCTGCCTGGCACTTTGCTGGGCCCAGCAGCTAGCCAGCCATCCTTTCATCCATCCATCCATCCATCCATCCATCCATCCATCCATCCTTTCATTCTTTCATCTATCCTTTGATTGTTTGTTTATGTCACTGACGTTGTCTGAGTTGCAGCTACTGTTAAGTCCCCTGACCTGAGTTTCAATTCATCTTATTTATTCTTCCAATGTCACTTGTTGTTATGGGCATTGTAAGATATTTAGTAGCAACCCTGGCCTACCCAGTTAGAACAATTAAATGTGTTTCCAAATATTGCCTAATGACCCCCAGGATGGAGCCGTGGAGCAAAAATGTCCCTTGTTGAGAATTACCTGCATTGAAGACATGCATGCTGCATGTGTCCATGAAGCTACAACATTGCCTGTGTACATCATGTAACGAAGCACAAAGAGTACAAGGGGCCTTAGAAGCCACCCACCTATACCTGTATTTCTCAGATGAGGTCACAGACCTAGCAGGAATGGTTTTCCCAAAGGCCACCAGGCATTAGGCCATCACCAGAACATGGTTTCGACCTTCTCCCTGTGCACAGCACTGAGGGCCCTTCCTCTGCTTTCCATGGGAGGACAGGGTCGGCAGAGATTGGCGGATGGTGCAGTGGCTAAGGCAAATTTGCAACTGACCCGCACTGCACTGACCTGCACTTGAGGTTCGTCCTGTTCCAGCACTGGTGTCTCTTTCTAGAGGTTTCTCAATGCATTGCACTTCTTCCAGCTGCCTCTCACTCTGATGTAGGTAATCTGCATGAAGCGCTGGCAAATGCAAATATGATCTATTTGTCATCAATGAGAAAGTGAAACCCCACCCCAGCTGGTGCCTTCCCCACATCTGCCCACCATGCTTTGTGCTCTGTGGGGCTGGCATCCTGGCCTCTCTTGCCCTCTGGCTTCCAGAGGGTGTGGGCCATGGGAGGAGCTGGCAGGAGCTCTAAAGAAAGAGGAGAGAGAGATCAAGATGTGGACTCTCCTGGTGCCTTTCTTGAGAGGCTGTGGACTGGGCAGGGACAGAATCTTACCATGCATTCCCTAAAGCCCTTCTCAGTGGCCAAAGCCCTCACTGGGCTGGCACCACTGTCTGTGCCTTTACCAGGCCCAGGTTGGCAACAGCTTCCTGCTGCTACTAGTTCCCAGGGCTTCACCATTCCTTGCTCACTTCCTCACTCTGCCGCTGGCTTGGTAAACAGTACTTCAAGGAGACCTTCTGCCTGCATCTGCCAGAACCTGACTGCTGGAGATCCTTCTCTGCTTTCCGATGAGCCCAGCCTCCAGCTGGTGACCGTGGCCATTGTGCTTTCTAAAGGTCACT